>NC_000010.11:125367423-125678903 GCF_000001405.40 Homo sapiens | reverse complement strand
TGCCTGCTGTCATATTTTGGGGGCCTGAGCGCAAGCCCACCCAGCCGGGCTTTGCCTCCTCTTCCATGACAGAACACAGAGCCTCACGTCCTTGAGCTTGCCCAACCCATCTACCACCTTGAGTACACTCCTCCCAGGGAACTCAGATTGGGCCTAAACTCCTGGCCACTACCATCTCAGCTGGCCCCCATGTGCAAGCACCACCTGCAGTCCTAGAGACTGGCCTGCCCAGCCCATCGCAACCACTGCCAACATCAATGCACACCACTCAGGACCCAAAAAATTATCCTGCCACTGCTACTGCCATCACCCATGCCACACCAGCTGCCTAGGGGCCTGAGAACCCACCCACCTGCCTCGTTCATTGCTGCCACTACTAGTATCAAAGCAAGCCACCGGGAGGCCCAAGAATTGGCCCACCAAGAACTGCCAAAACAGGTGCCAGCTTATACTACTCTGAGGCACAAAGATAGACATGCTCAGCCAACTGCTGCCACCAATGGGGCCTGAAGACTGACCTACCTGGCATCTCAGTCCCCAGCACAACTTCATCACAGCCTCTACTGTTAACCACACCCTAACACACTGAGGAAATCACAGGTACCACTAATTGTGGTTACAGACAAAGAAATCATATAAAGCCTGCATGACTACATGCATGCAGAATCAAAGCCAAAGTACTCTATCCAACTGACACCATGGAAACATCTTCAGGAAAATGTCCTCCCTTATAAAAGTAAATTTAAAAATAGGAAGAAGAGACTGTTACACCAGATGTGCAGATAGCAATGTAAGGACAGAATAAACATGAAAAAGCAAGGAAATACACTTCCAAGAGACAAAATAATTCACCAGCAATAGATCTTAATCAAAAAGAAATTTCCCAAATACCAGATAAAGAATTGAAAATATTCATTTTAGGGGCTGGGTGCAGTGGCTCATGCCTGTAATCCCAGCACTTTGGGAGGCCGAGGTGGGCAGATTATTTGAGGTCAGGAGTTGAAGACCAGCCTGGCCAACATGGTGAAACCCCATCTCTACTAACAATACAAAAATTAGCTGGGCATGATGGTGCATGCCTGTAATCCCAGCTACTCAGGAGGCTGAGGCAGGAGGATCAATTGAGTCTGGGTGGCGGAGGTTGCAGTGAGCCAAGATCGCACCACTGCACTTCAGCCTCGGCAATAGAGTGAGACTATGTCTCAAAAGAAAAAAGAAAAAAAAATTCATTTTAAAGAAGCTCAGTGAGATACAAGAGAAGGCTGAAAAATAATACAAAGAAATCAGAAAAATAATTCAGGATATGAATGAGAAATTTTCCAAGGAGAAAGATATTTAGAAAAGAAAAGAACCAAATAGAAATTCTGAAATTGAAGAACTCATGGAAGGAAATACAAAATACATTTGAAAATTTCAACAATAGACTTGATCAGGAAGAAGAATCTCAGAACTTGAAGACAGGTCTTTTGAAATAATCCAGTCAGACAAAAATAAATAAAAAAGAATTGAAAAGTATGAGCAAACTCTTTGTTACATTTTGGATAACATAAAGTGATCAAACATTTAAGTTATCAGGATCCTCCAGAGAAAAGAGACAAAGAAAAGATTAGAAAACCTATTTAACACAATAATAGATAAAAACTTCCCAAGTCCAGAAAGAGATCTAGACATTCTGGTACAAGAAATTCAACAGTCCCCAGGCAGATACAATACAAAAAGGTCTTCTCCATGAAATGTTATAGTCAGACTATCTAAAGTCAAAGATACAGAACAAATTTTTTAAAAAAGCAAGGGAAAAGCATTAGTCATCAATAAAGGAAACTCCGTCAGACTAACAATAGGTTTCTCAGCAGAAACCTTACAGGTCATAAGACAATAGGATGATATATTCAAAATGCTGAAAGAAAAAACTGCCAGTCAAGAATGCTATTTCTAGCAAAGCTCTCCTTTACAACTGAAGGAGAAATACAGTCTTTCCCAGACAAGCAAATGCTGAGGGAAGGACTTTTTTACCATTAGATTGACCTTTTGAGAAATACTCAAGGGATCCCTGGAAGTGAAAGGACAATATTTACCATCATGAAAACATACAAAAGTATAAAACTCACTCGTAGAACAATCACACAAAGGAGGAAGAGAAAGGATTCAAATTGTACCACTACAGAAATCCACCGAACCACAATGACAAGCAGTAAGATAAAAAGAAAGGAAGAAAGAAGATGTAAACAACAAGAAAACAATTTAATAACATGATAGGAACAAAGCCTCACATATCAATAATAACTTTGAACAGAAACCTTAAATTATCCATTTACAAGATACAGAATGGCTGGCTGAATGGAATTTAAAAAAAAAAAGATCCAACTATATGCTGCTTACAAGAAACTCACTTTGCCAGTAAAGACATATAGATAGACTGAAAATAAAGTCATGATAAAAAGATATTCCATGCAAATGGAAAACAAAAGTGCACAACAGTAGCTGTACTTAGATAAAACAGTCTGTAAGTCAAGAACAGTAAAAAAAATACAAAGAAGGTCATTATATAATGATAAATGGATCAATCCAGCAAGAGGATATAACAGTTCTAAATATATGGCTATCCAACACTGGAGCACCCAGATTCATAAGGCAAATATTATTAGATCCAAAGAAATGGACTGCAATGCAATAATAGTGGAAGTCTTCAATTCCCTACTCCCAGCATTAGACAGACAATCTAGACAGTAACTCAACCAAGAAACACTGGATTTAAACTGAACTTTAGGCCAAATGGACCCAACAGACATTTACAGTTCATTCTATCAAACAACTGGAGAATATACATTCTTTTCATCAGCCTATGGAACATTCTCCAGGATAGACCATATGTCAGGCCACAAAACAAGTCTCAGCAGTTTAAAAAAATTAAAGTCATTACATATCTTCTCAGACCACAGTAGAATAAAACTAGAAATCAATACCAGGAGGAACTTTGGAAACTATGCAAATACATAGGAATTAAACAACATGCTCCTGAATGACCCCTGGGTCAATGAAGAAATTGGGATAAAATTAGTGGGGAGGGGCCAAGATGGCCAACTAGAAACAGCTGTGGTTGGAGGTTCCTACTGAGAAGAATGAAAATGGTGAGTGAATCCTGCACTGGCAACTGAGGTATCCTGATTCTGTCAGAGACTGACTAGGTGGTTGGCATGACCCACAGAGAGTGAGGAAAAGTAGGGTGGTGTGTCTGCCCACCTGGGAGCCACATGGGGTTGAGTTCCCACCCCCAGCCAAGAAGGGTGGTGAGTGATCATCTTGCCCTGCCCTGGAAACCATGCTTTATCCATAGATCTGTGCAACCCATGGATCAGGAGATCCCCCTCATGAGCCCACACCACCAGGGCCTTAGGTCCCAAGCACAGAGCTGTGCAGATTCTCAGCAGCCACTTGGTGGGGACTGCCTAAGACTACCGAGTTCCTGGGGGGAGGGGTGGCCATCATCACCGTGGGTGCCTGCTGCCTAAGACGACTGAACTCCCCAGGAGAGGGGCAGCTGTCATCACTGTGGCTGCCTGCTAAGACAACTGAGCTCCCAGGGGGAGGAGTGGCCACCATTGCTGTAGCTCCAGTCTGCCATTTTTACCCTGCTGGTGCTGGAGAGACTGGACCATGTGGACCCAGGAGGAATTTCCCACAGCACAGCATAGCAGCTGTGGCAGATCGTGGCCAGACTGCCTGTTTAAGCTGGACTCTGGTCCATCCCTCTTCACTGGATGAGGACTCCCTGCATGAATTTCAGCAACTCCAGCCAGGGGTTTAAGGACAGAACTCTTGTCTCCCTGGGACTGAACCCCTGTGGGGAGGGGTGGCTATGGTCTCCCTGGATCAGCAGACTTAGTCTTCTCCCCTGCTGGCTCTAAGGAACCTGGGCAATCTGGATGAGCGGAGATTCCCCCAGCTCAATGCACCCACTTTGCCAAGGGGCAGCCAGAGTGCTTCGTTAAGCAGGGCCCTGGTTCCCATGCCTCCTGACTGGGTGAGACCCCTCAGTCAAGTTACACAGGAGTGTTCCTGCTGGTATCAGGTCAGTGTCCCTCTGGGACAGAGATCCCAAATGAAGGAGCAGGCTGCCACCTTTGCTGTTCTGCAGCCTCCACTGGTGGTAATTCCAGGTGCCAGAGGGACCCAGGCAAATAGGGTCTGGAATGGACCTCCAGCAAACTGCAGCAGTCCTGTGGAAGATGGGCCTGACTGTTAAAGGAAAGACAAACAGAATGCAACAAAAACAATAGCATCAACAAAAAAGTCCCTGTAAAAATTCCATCCAAAGGTCAGCAGCCTCAAAGATTGAAGCTAGAAAAACTCACAAAAAGGAGAAAGAATTAATGAAAAAATGCTGAAAACTCAAAAAGTCAGAGTGCCTTTTATCCTCTAAATGATGGCAACACCTCTCCAGCAAGGGCACAGAACTGGGCAGAAGCTGAGATGGATGAATTCACAGAGGTAGGCTTCAGAAGGTGAGTAATAACAAACTTCACTGAGCTAAAGGAGCATGTTCTAACTCAATGCAAAGAAGCTAAGAACCATGATAAAACATAACAGGAGCTGTTAATCAGAATAACCAGTTTAGAGAGGAACATAAATGATCTGATGGAGCTGAAAAACTCAACATGAAAACGTCACAATGCAACCACAAGTATCAATAATTAAATAGACCAAGAAGAGGAAAGAATTTCAGAGCTTGAAGACTGTCTTGCTGAAATAAGACAGGCAGACAAGAATAGAGAAAAATGAATGAAAAGGAATGAACAAAACCTCTGAGAAATATGGGATTATGTAATAAGACCAAACCTATGACTGATTGGGGTAACTGAAAGAGACAGAGAGAACAGAACCAAGTTGGAAAACGTACTTCAGGATATCATCCAGAACTTCCCCAACCTAAAAAGACAGGTCAACATTCAAATTCAGGAAACACAGAGAGCCCCAGTAAGATATTCCACAAGAAGATCAACCCCAAGACACATAATCATCAGATTCTCCAACGTGGAAATGAAGGAAAAAATGTTAAGGTCAGCCAGAAAGAAAGGCCAGGTCACTTACAAATGGAAACCCATCAGACTAAGGGCAGACCTTTCAGCAGAAACCCTACAAGCCAGAAGAGACTGGGGGTCAATATTCAACCTTTTTTTTTTTTTTTTTTTTTTTGAGAGAGAGTCTCTCTCTCGTCGCCCAGGCTGGAGTGCAATAGTGTGATCTTGGCTCACTGCCACCTCCACCTCCTGGGTTCCATTGATTCTCCTGCCTCAGCCTCCTTAGTAGCTGGGATTACAGGCACCTGACACGATGCCCAGCTAATTTTGTATTTATAGCAGAGACGGGGTTTCACCATGTTGACCAGGCTGGTCTTGAACTCCTGACCTCAAGTGATCAGCACACCTTGGCCTTCCAAAGTGCTGGGATTACAGGCATAAGCCAGTGCCCAGCCTCAACATTCTTAAAGCAAAAAATTTCCAACTCAGAATTTCATATCTGGCTAAACTAAGCTTCATAAGTGAAGGAAAAATAAAATCCTTTTCAGACAAGCAAATGCTGAGGGAATTTGCCACCACCAGGCCTACCTTGCAAGAGCTCCTGAAGGAAGCACTCAATATAGAAAGGAAAAACCATTACCAGCCACTGAAGTACAAAGACCAATGACACTATGAAGAAACTACATCAACAAGTCTGCAAAAATAACCAGCTAACATCATGATGACAGGATCATATTCATAGATAACATTAACCTTAAATGTAAATGGGCTAAATGCCTCAATTAAAAGACACAGAATGGACAGCTGGATAAAGAGTCAAGACCCACTGGTGTGCTGTATTCAAGAGACCCATCTCACGTGCAAAGACACACATAGCCTCAAAATAAAGAGATGAAGGAAAATTTACCAAACAAATGGAAATCAGAAAAAAACAGGGGTTGTGAGCCTAGTTTCTGGACAAAACACACTTTAAACCAATAAAGATCAGAAAAGACAGAGAAGGGCATTGAATAATGGTAAAGGGATCAATTCAACAAGAAGAGCTAACTATCCTAAATATATATGCACCCAATATAGGAGCACTCAGATTCATAAAACAAGTTCTTAGAGAACTACAAAGAGACTTAGACTCCCCACAATAATAGTGGGAGACTTTTACACCCCACTGTCAATGTTAGATCATTGAGACAGAAAATTAACAAGAATACTGAAGACTCAAACTCAGCTCTGGATCAAGGGGAACTGATAGATACCTACAGAAGTCTCCATCCAAAAAGAACAGAATATACATTCTTCTTGGTGCCACATGGCATTTACTCTGAAACTGATCACATGATGGGAAGTAAAACACTCCTCGGCAAATGCAAAAGAAGTGAAATAATAACAAACTGTCTCTCAGACCACAGTGCAGTCAAATTATAACTCAAGATTAAGAAACTCACTCAAAACCACACAACTACATGGAATTTGAACAATCTGCTCTTGAATGACTCCTGGAAAAATAATGAAATTAAGGCAGAAATCAAGTAGTTCTTTGAAATCAATGAGAACAAAGAGACAATGTACCAGAATCTCTGGGACACAGCTACAGCAGTGTTAAGAAGGAAACTTATAGCACCAAATGCCCACATCAAAAAGCTAGAAAGATCTCAAATTGACACACTAACATCACAACTAAAAGAACTAGAGAACTAAGAGCAAATGAACCCCAAAGCTAGCAGAAGACAAGAAATAACCAAGATCAGAGCGAAACTGAAGGAGATAGAGATACAAAAAACATTTCAAAAAAAATCAATGAATCTAGGAGGTGGTTTTTTTGAAAACATTAATAAAATAGACCACTAGCTAGACTAATAAAGAAGAAAAGAGAGAAGAATCAAATAGACACAATGAAAAATGATAAAGGGGATATGACCACTGACCCCACAGAAATATAACCAAACATCAGAGAATATTATGAACACCTTTATGCAAATAAACTAGAAAATCTAGAAGAAATGGATAAATTCCTGGACACATGCATTCTCCCAACACTAAATCAGGAAGAAGTTGAATCCCTGAATAGACCAATAACAGTTCTGAAATTGAGGCAGTAATTAATAGCCTACCAACCAAACAAAGCTCAGGACCAGATGGATTTACAGCTGAATTCTACCAGAGGTACAAAAAAGAGCTGGTATCATTTCTCCTGAAACTTTTCAGAACAATTGAAAAGGAGGTACTTCTTCCTAACTCATTTTATGAGGCCAGCATCATTCTGATACCAAAACCTGGCAGAGACACAATAAAAAAAGAAAACTTAAAGCCAATATCCATGATGAACATTGATGCAAAAATGCTCAATAAAATACTGGCAAACTGAATCCAGCAGCACATCAAAAAGCTTATCCACCATGATCAAGTCAGCTTCATCCCCAGGATGCAAGGCTGGTTCAATGTATGCAAATCAATAAATGTAATTCATCACATGAACAGAACTAAAGACAAAAACCACATGATTATCTCAATAGACATAGAAAAGACCTTTAATAAAATTCAACATCCCTTCATGTTAAAAACTCAATAAACTAGGTACTGATGGAACATACGTCAAAATTATAAGAGCCATTTATGACAAACCCACAGTGAATGTCATACTGGATGGGTAAAAGCTGGAAGCATTCCCCTTGAAAACCAGCACAAGACAAGGATGACCCCTCTCACCATTCCTATTCAACAAAGTATTTGGAAGTTCTGGACAGGACAATCAGGCAAGAGAAAGAAATAAAGTGTATTCAAACAGGAAGAGAGGAAGTCAAACTGTCTGTTTGCAGATGGCATGATCCCATATCTAGAAAACCCCATAATCTCAGAAAAAAACTGGAGGCATCATGCTACCTGACTTCAAACTATACTACAAAGCTAGAGTAACCAAAACAGCATGATACTAGTACAAAAACAGACACATAGACCAATGGAACAAAATAACTCAGAAATAAGACTGCTCATCTACAACCATCTGATCTTCAACAAACTTGAAAAAAACAAGCAATGGGAAAAGGATTCCCTATTTAATAAATGGTGCTGGGAGAACTGGCTAGTAATATGCAGAAAATTGAAACTGGACCCCTTCCTTATGCAACAATTAACTCAAGACAGACTAAAGACTGAAATGTAAACCCCAAAACTATAAAAACCCTAGAAGAAAATTTAGGCAATACCCTTCAGGACATAGGAAAGGGCAAACAAATATTACATGATTAAAATGTCAAAAGCAATTGCAACAAAAGCAGAAATTGACAAATTGTATCTAATTAAACTAAAGAGCTTCTGCACAGCAAAATAAACTATCATCAGAATGAACAGGCAACCTACAGAATGAGAGAAATTTTTTGCAATCTATCCATCTCATAAAGGTCTAATAACCAGAATCTGCAAGGAACTTAAACAAATTTACAAGAAAAAAACCCCATTAAAAAGTGGGCAAAGGACATGAACAGATACTTCTCAAAAGAAGACATTTATGCGGCCAACAAACATATGAAAAAAAGCTCAGCATCACTGATCATTAGAGAAATGCAAATCAAAACCACAATGAGATACCATCTGATGCCAGTCAGAATGGCAATTATTAAAAAGTCAAGAAACAACAGATGCTAGTGAGGCTATGGAGAAATAGGAATGCTTTTACGCTATTGGTGGGAATGTAAATTAGTTCAACCATTGTGGAAGACAGTGGGTGATTCCTCAAAGACTTAGAACCAGAAATACCATTTGATCCAGCAATACTGTTACTGGGTATATACCCAAAGGAATAGAAATCATTCTATTATAAAGATACATTCATGCGTATGTTCTTGCAGCACTATTCACAATAGCAAAGACATGGAGTCAACCCAAACATCCATCAATGATAGACTGGATAAAGAAAATGTACATGTACACCACGGAATATTATGCAGCCATAAAAAGGAATGAGATCATGTCCTTTGCAGGAATCTGGATGGAGCTGGAGGCCATTATCTTCAGCAAACTAAGACAGGAACAGAAAACCAAACACTATCACGTTCTCACTTATAAATGGGAGCTGAACAATGAGAACACATGGACACAGGGAAGGAAACAACACACACTGGGGCCTGTTACGGGGGGTGTGGGAGGGAGAGCATCAGGAAAAATAGCTAATGCATGTGGGGCTTAATACCTAGGTGACAGGTTGATAGGTGCAGCAAACCACCATGGCACACTTTTACCTATGTAACAAGACTGCCTCTCCTGCACTTGTATCCCAGAACTTAAAATAAAGTTAAATAAATTTTAAAAAGATAAAAATTTAAAAAATTCTTAAAACAAATGAAAATGGAAACTCTACATACCCAAACCTTTGGGATACAGCAAAAGCCGAGGAATTTTTCTTTTTTTTTTTGAGACAAAGTTTCACTCTTGTTGCCCAGGCTGGAGTGCAATGGCATGATCTTGGCTCACTGCAACCTCCGCCTCCCAGGTTCAAGTGATTATCCTGCCTCAGCCTTCCGAGTAGCTGGGATTACAGGTGCCTGCCACCATGCCCAGCTAAGTTTTGTATTTATTTATTTATTTTATTTATTTATTTTTTTTGAGATGGAGTCTCACTCTGTTTCCAGGCTGGAGGGCAGTGGTGCGATCTCTGCTCACTGCAACCTCCGCCTCCTGGGTTCAAGCAATTCTCCTGCCTCAGCCTCCCGAGTAGCTGGGACTACAGGTGCACACCATCACACCCAGCTAATTTTTGTACTTTTATTAGAGACAGGGTTTCACCATGTTGGCCAAGATGGTCTCGATCTCTTGACCTCGTGATCTGCCTGCCTCAGCCTCCCAAAGTGTTGGGATTACAGGCATGAGCCACTGCACCTGGCAACTTTCGTATTTTTAGTAGAGACAGGGTTTCACCATGTTGGCCAGGTTGGTCTTGAACTACTGACCTCAGGTGATCCACCTGCCTCAGCCTCCCAAAGTGCTGGGATTACAGGCGTGAGCCACCGTGCCCGGCCAAGCAGAGGAAAATTTATAGCAATAAATACCTACATCAAAAATGGTAGAAAGATTACATAAATTAACTATCAACAATGCACTCCAAGGAACTAGAAAAGCAAGAATAAACCAAACCCAGCATTAGCAG
Organism: Homo sapiens; assembly: GCF_000001405.40. Taxonomy (NCBI): domain Eukaryota; kingdom Metazoa; phylum Chordata; class Mammalia; order Primates; family Hominidae; genus Homo; species Homo sapiens. The sequence goes on along the minus strand of NC_000010.11, from coordinate 125,668,748 downwards.
AAGAAAAGAAATAATAAAGACCAGAGCCAGAACTAAATGAAATAGAGACTAAAAGAAAATACAAAGGATCAATGAAATTAAAAGTTGATTCTTTAAAAAAGAAAAACAAAATTGATAAACTCCTTGCTAGACTAGCCACAAAAGAGAAAACCCAAATAAACAAAATCAGAAATGAAAGAGGAGACATTACAAGTAAGACCACAGAAATATAAAAGATCTGTGGAGATCTTTTATTAAATAAAAAGTTGGAGATCTTTTTTTAAATAAAAAAGTTGGAGACTACTGTGAACAACTATATGCTGACAAACTGGGAAACCCAGAGGAAATAAATAAATTCCTGAAAACATACAACCTACCAAGATTGAATCAGGAAGGAATGAAAATCTGAACAGAGCAATGCTGAATAGTGAGACTGAATCAGTAATTAAAAAAAAAAAATCTCCCAACAAAGAAAAGTCCAGAACTGGTTGGATTCACAGCTGAATTTTACCAAACAAAACCCAAATACCAATTGTCTTGAAACTATTTCAAAATATTAAAGAGGAGGGAATTCTCCCTAATTCATTCTATGAGGCCAACCAGCATCACACTGATACCAAAACCAGAGATAGACACAACAAAAAAAAGACAACTACAGGGTATGCAGAGGTGCCCCAACCACACTCTGTCCACAGACTCTCAGTTATTTTAGGAGATCCCTGGCCAAAGATTTATTTCTGTTGACAACCAAGGGCCTCCGTCTGGATTTCCAAGGAAGAAATTTCCTTTGAAGCACTGGAACTTGCCACCACCAGCACCATGCCCTACCGATATCCAGCATTGACCCTGGAGCAGAAGAAGGAGCTGTCTGACATCGCTCACCGCATCGTGGCACTGGGCAAGGGCATCCTGGCTGCAGATGAGTCCACTGGGAGCATTGCCAAGCGGCTGCAGTCCCTTAACGCCGAGAACACCAAAGAGAACTGGCGCTTCTACTGTCAGCTGCTGCTGACAGCTGACGACTGCGTGAACCCCTGCATCGGGGACGTCATCCTCTTCCACCAGACACTCTACCAGAAGAAGGATGATGGGCGTCCTTTCCCCCAAGTTGTCATGTCCAAGGGTGGTGTTGGGGGCAGCAAGGTAGACAAGGGCGTGGTCTCCCTTGCAGGGACAAATGGCGAGACCACCACCCAAGGGTTGTATGGGCTGTCTGAGTGCTGTGCCCAGTACAAGAAGGATGGAGCTGACTTCACCAAGTGGCATTGTGTTCTGAAGATTGGGGAACACACCCCCTCAGCCCTTGCCGTCATGGAAAATACCAACGTCCTGGCCTGTCATGCCAGCATCTGCTAGCAGAGTGGCATTGTGCCCATTGCGGAGCCTGAGATCCCCCCTAATGGGGACCATGACTTGAAGCACTGCCAGTGTGTGACCAAGAAGGTGCTGACTGCTGTCTACAAGGCTCTGAGTGATCAACACATCTATCTTGGAGGGCATCTTGCTGAACCCCAGCATGGTCACCCCAGGCCATCCCTGCATCCAGAAGTTTTCTCACGAGGAGATTGCCATGGTGACTGTCACAACGCTGCACCGCACAGTGCCCCCCGCTGTCCCTGGGATCACATTCCTGTCTGGAGGCCAGAATGAGGAGGAGGCATCCATCAACCTCAACGCCATTAACAAGTGCTCCCTGTGACCTTCTCCTATGGCCGAGCCCTGCAGGCCTCTGCCCTGAAGGCCTGGGGCAGGAAGAAGGAGAACCTGAAGGCTGCCCAGGAGGAGTCAAGTGAGCCGTGGCCAACAGCCTGGCCTGTCAAGGAAAGTACACCCCAAGCAGTGAGACTGGGGCTGCTGCTAGAGAGTCCCTCTTCATCTCTAACCATACCTACTAAGTGGAGGTGTTCCCCGGCTGTTCCCAACACTCCAGGCCCCGCCCCTACTCTCTTGAAGAGCGGGCCTTCTCCTCAGGTCTCCAGGTTGGCTTGCCCGTGCTCTTGCCTCCCTCGTGACAGTGGTGTGTGGTGTCGTCTGTGAATGCTAACTCCATCACCCTTTCCAGCACACTGCCAATAAACAGCTATTCAAGGTTGGAGGAGGGGGGGCGGGGAGAGAACTACAGCCAGTATCCCCAATGAACATAGATACAAAATTTCTCAACAAAATACCAGCAAACTAAATGCAACAGCACATCAAAAAGACAATATACCGTGATCAAGTGGGATTTATAGCAGGGACGCAAGGATGCTTCGACACACACAAATCCGTAAACATGACACATCACACCAACAAAATGAAGGACAAAAACCATATGATTATCTCAATAGGCACAGAAAAAGCATTTGATAAAATTCAACATCGCTTTATGATAAACACTCTCAACAAACTAGACATAGAAGGAACATAACTCAAAATAACAAAGACCATATACAGCCAACCCACAGCTAACATCATACTGAATGGAGTAAAGTTGAACGCCTTTGCTCCAAGAACTGAAACAAGACAAGGATTCTCACTTTCACCATTCCTATTCAACATAGTACTAGAAGTCCTAGCCAGAGCAATCAGTCAAGAGAAAGAAATAAAAAGCATCCAAATTGGAAAAGAAGAAGTGAAACTGTCTCTTTTTGCTGAGGACATGATATTATATCTAGAAAAACCTAAATACTCTACCAAAAAAAACCCCACTTAGATCTGATAAATATATTCAGTAAAGTTGCAGGATACAAAATCAACATACAAAAAGCAGTAGCTTTTATATATATCAGCAATGATCTAGCTAAGAAGGAAATCAAGAAGGCAATTTCATTTATAATAGCTACAAAAATATATAAGAATAAATTTAACCAAGGAGGTAAAATATCTCTATAAGAAAAACTATAAAACATTGATGAAAGAAATTAAAGATGACACAAACAAATGGAAAAATATCTCATGCTCCTGCGTCGGAATACATCATTAAAATGACCATATTGCTTAAAGCAATCTACAGGTTCAATGCAACCTCTATCAAAATACCAATGTCATTCTTCACAGAATTAGAAAAAACAATCTTAAAATTCATATGGAATAAAAAAGAGCCAGAATAACCAAAGGAATCTTGAGCAAAATGAACAAAGCTGGAGGCATCACTTATTACAAGACTATAGTAACCAAAACAGCATGGCATTTGTATAAAATTAGACACACAGACCAATGGAACAGAATAGAGAACCCAGAAAACTGATCTTTGACAAAGCCAATATGAACTTATATCGGGGAAGCAGCACCCTGTTCAATAAATGGTACTGAAAGAATTGGATAGCCACATGCAGAAGAAAGAAACTGGACACCTATATCTCACCATATAAAAAAATCAACTCAAAATGAATTGAAGACTTAAATATAAGATCTGAAACTGTAAAAAACACTAGAAGAAAACCTAGAGAAAACTCTTCTGAACCTTGGTTTAGACAAAAAATTTATGACTAAGATCTCCAAAGCATAAACAACAAAAATGAAAATAGACAAATGGAACTATATTAAATCAAAAAGCTTCTGCACAGCAAAGGAAACAATCAAAAGAGTAAACAGACAATCTGTTGAATGGGAGAAAATATTTGCAAACCATTCATCTGACAGGGGAATAATATCCAGAATATACAGGGAACTCAAACAACTCAACTGTAAAACAACAACAACAACAACAACAACCAAAAAACCAAGTAATTCCATTAAAAAGTGAGCAAAGGACATGAATAGACATTTCTCAAAAGAAGACATGCAAACGGCAAACAGGTATATGGAAAGGTGCTCAACATCATTGATCATCAGATAAATGGAAATCCAAGCTACAATGAGATATCATCTCACCCCAGTTAAAATGGCTTTTATCCTAAAGACAGGCAATCACAAATGCTGGTGAGGATATCAAGAAAAGAGAACACCTGTACACTGCTGGTGGAAATGTAAATTAGTACAGCCACTGTATTAGTCTGTTTTCACACTGCTATAAAGGACTACCTGAGACTGGTAATTTATAAAGAAAAGAGGTTTAATTGATTCACAGTTCTGTATGGCTGGGGAGGCCTCAGGAAACTTACAATCATGGCAGAAGGTGACAGGGAAGCAAGGCATATCTTACATGGCAGCAGGAGAGACAGTGAGCAAAGGGGGATGTGCCACACTTTTAAACCATCAGATCTCATGAGAACTCACTCACTATCATGAAAACAGCAAGGGGGAAATCCGCCCCCATGATCCAATCACCTCCCACCAGGCGCCTCTTCTGACATTTGGGGATTCTAATTCAAGATGATTTGCATGGGGACAACCATATTAGAGCCAAACCATAGTAGCCACTATGGAAAATAGTATAGAGGTTCCTCAAAAAATTAAAAATAGAACTACCATGTGATTCGGCAATCCCACTGCTAGGTATATACCCAAAAGAAAGGAAATCAGTATACTGAGGAGATATTTGCACTCCCATGTTTATTGCAGCACTATTCACAATAGCCAAGATTTGGAAGCAACCTAAGTGTCTATCAATAGATGAATGGATAAAGAAATATGGTACACATACAAAATGAAGTACTATTCAGCCATAAAAATGAATGAGATTCTGTCATTTGCAACAATGTAAATGGAACTGGAGGAAATGTTAAGTAAAATAAGCCAGGTATAGAAAGGCAAACTTTTCACATGTTCTCACTCCTTTGTGGAAGCTGAGTATTAAAACAGTTGAACTCATAGAGAGTAGAATGATGGTTATCAGAGGCTAGGAAAGGTAGTGGTGAGGGACATGGGGATGGAAAATGGTACAAAAATATAGTTAGGATGAATAAGATCTAGTAGTTGATAGCATGACAGGGGGGTGACTACAGTCAATCATAATCTATTGTACATTTTAAACTAAAAGTATAATTGGATTGTTTGTAACACAAAGAAATGATAAATGCTGGAGGTGATGGATCCTCCATTTCCCCTGATGTGATTATTACACACTGTATGCCTGTATCAAAATATCTTATGTACCCCATAAATATATACAGCTACTATGTACACATAAAAAATTTAAAAAATTTAAAAAAGGAGACATATAAATGGGAAACAGGCATATGAAAACATGCTAAACATCACTAATCATCAGGGGAATGCAAATAAAAACCACGATGAGATATCATCTTATCCCAGTCAGAATAGCTATTACTAAAAAGACAAAAAATAACAGATGTTGGCGAGGATGGGGAGAGAAGGGAACTCTTATACACTTTTGGTGGAAATGTAAACTAGTAGAGCCACTATGGAAAATAGTATGGAGATTTCTCAAAACTCTCAAACGAGAAATTACCATTTGATCCAGCAATGCTACTACTGAGTATCTACTAAAAAAAATCAATATATCTGAGGGATACCTGCACTTGCATGTTTATTGCAGCACTATTCACAATAGCAAAGACATAGAATCAACCTAAGTGTTCATAAATTGACGAATGGAGAATGAAAATGTGATTGCTATTTAGCCAAAAACATTTGCAAACTATTCACACTATTGGAGTGTATACATTTCCTCTTTGTATCAAATCTACCATATCAGGTAGGTATTATTATTCCCATTTTACAGATAGGGAAACCGAGGCTTGAGAAAGTTTAGTCTCTCTCATCAGGCTCACCTAGGAGATAGGAGAGAGACCTGGGGTGGACTCAGGACCTCTGAATGTCCAGCCTCTGACCCAACCACATTATGCTTCCTTCTCCCTTTATGGGAATTTTCATTGAATTGGGTCTTGTCTTTTTAATTTCCATTCATTTCCTCCTAGAGAGTCCTGCTTCAGAGCTCACTTTGTTGGGGTGGCTTTTAAGAGGCACCATTCAAATAACATTGGGGTGAGCTTCTCTTGCCATAAGAGCTAGCCACACCCCCCTTCAGGAATGAAAGACTCATCACTCTGGCTGCTGGGAGCATGGCCCTCACTGCCCACACCTACAGGTCTGTTATCTGAAGAGAGCTGCCTCCCTAGGGTCACGCCTTCTTCTGGGGGTAGCTCAGGAATAAATCCAATGCCTCATTGCTTGGTGCACAGAGACTGGGTCCCCTCTCCCCAGCTCTGAGTGGCCACCCAATGTCCAGAGCTCCCAGCCGGGTCAACAGAGGCCCTTGTTGGGACTACCCCTCTTCTGCCCAGTCCTGTTTCCTTCCCAGGCTTTTGTTGGGAGATTGCAAGGACATATTCTAGATAATCCTCAGTCCTCATTTTTCTTGCTTCACATCCTTCTACCCCCTCTTTTTCCCTCCTAGACGTTACCTCCCCTCTACCATCCTACATTTCCAGTGGAGAATCACTTGAGATTCTCTGTTCCTCCCCTTCCCGTGGTCTTAGGGCCACCTCATACCTACATTGCTGGAGGTTGGCTCATCTCCATAAACGTGGGTTGGCTCCAAGGTCCTCAGTACTGGGAGCTCCCTGACCACAGGAAGGATCTCAAATAACACATTTCTGTCTTCTCAGAATGTGTCTGCTCACTCACTGAGGACCACACCCTCCTTACCAGGCTATGGAAACATTTCCAGGCTCCAGCTCAGCAGGGGTGGCCTCTGTAACTTGAAACAACCGGCAGTGATGGCTCTGGGCCATTACAATGTTTTTTGTCTTGGAAAGAATACTTGAAAATTACAAAAATTATGCCATTTCCATTGCATGCCAAAAGCACCCAAATTGCATTTTAATCACTGTACAAAGGAAGCCCTGATACTTGGCTTGTAGATTCAAATGTGTCTGGTTTTAATCAAGGCGTGTGCTGTTCTTCCAGTTCCCTCACATCGGGCTAACGCAAAAGACACCAGAATCCATCACCAGTGCTACGTCAAAAGAGCCCCAGAGTCCACACTTGCCTCGGCAAGCGGAGGGGAAGCTGCCGCCCATATACAAAGTCCGGGAGAAGGTGAGTCCTGAACACTGGCCACTGCCATGTGCTCCTGTGGACCTCCCAGGGGGCAGCGCCGCTGGCACGTTGGGCCAAACAATTCTTCTTTGTAAGAAACTGCGCATTTACTATCCTTGGACCCCTAAGGGTTGGTAGTATCCCCACCCCATACCCTGGTGCTCTGCGGCAGGAACTACTTCCTGCTATGGACAATCAAGTTAGGCTCCTCCACGAACAAGAAGCAACACCCCCTTCCAGCCCACAGCTCATTAACATGCACCTCCTGCCTCCCCGGCCAATTCCTGAGCAACTTCCAGGCCCTGCAGTGGCACAAAGGAGAAGCCAGGGTCCATTTCATACCTGCCAGGGTTCCCCCCAGGCCTTGGGCCAGGGCTCTCATCTCCTGGGACCCTTACTGGCCAGATGACAGAGTTGGTCTACACGGCCTCAAAAGTCCTTCCCAGTTTTTGGCTCCATGAGCCTGTACACTTTTCCATCCTTGCATCCAAATAAGGTGTTTTGAAAGATAATTTTTATGACTTTGGGGAAGCTGGAAATAAGGTGGGGTTTCAAAGCCCGGCGCTGATGAGCACGTGGATATCCTCCCCCTCCTGTGTCTGCTCCATCTCTGGGGCCAGGTTTCATTGTCTTTCTTAGAGGTCGCTTTGCCTCATCCATCTTCCTTCCACATCACCCGATCCCAGTTCTGAAAGCATGCAGGGTTCTAATGTGTGCTCTTTCCCTTCCATCCCACTTTTCCAGCAAGCAGTGAATAACCAGTTCCCCTTCTCCGTGCATGACAATCGGCACAGCTTGGAGAACTCTGGATGCTACCTTGACTCCGTGAGTATTTCTTTCCAAATTATTAATAAAACAGGGAACAACACAAGGGATCTTGATTTTCTGGGGTGTGTTGAAGATAGAGGATTGGCCTCAAAACTGGAACAAGGTCAAAACAAAGCGAGGTCTTAAACAAGACTCATAACAGATTAAAAAAAAAATGTTCAAAGCTCTCAGAATTCCACGCCGCTTTCAAGATCTACACCAGTGTTCTGCCTAGGTGTAAGTGCGCTTCATCCTTCTGCAAGTGCCTTCCCATAAATTGTCTCTTTTGCGAGCTTTCTTGTGAGGATCTGCCATGGGAAGGAGGGACTGCTATGCGTATCTCTGGATGGCAGAACCAGGATCCACGAGGAAAGGTCAGAAGGAGGAGGAGCTTACATAATATAAGGAAGGATTTCCTTGTAACTGGAGTTGCCTTTTCTCTACAGGTTGTGAGTTCCCCATCACTGGAGAACATGAAGTCTGATACAGTGGTGGTTCACACAGCACTGTGTGATAGAAATGTAGTGTAAACTGTATGCATAATTTTAAATGCTTTAGTGGTTACATTAAGTACAAAGAAACAGGTGAAATTTACTTTAATAATATATTCTATTGGCTGGGAGCAGTGGCTCAGCCCTGAAATCCCAGCAGTTTGGGAGGCTGAGGTGGGAGGATCACTTGAGGTCAGGAGCTTGAGACCAGCCTGGGCTACATAGTAAGACCCCGTGTCTACAAAACATTAAAAAATTAACCAGGTGTGGTGGTGCATGCCTGTTGTCCCAGCTACTCAAAAGATTGAGGTGGGAGGTTCACTTGAGCTCAGGAGTTCAAGGCTGCAGTGAGCTATGATCACGAACACTGCACTCCAGCCTGGGTGTCAGAGTGAGATCCTATCTCAAGCAAACAAAAATAATTTATTTAGCCCAATAATTCTCCAAATTGCCCATTCAACATGTAATCAATATAAAAAATTAATGAGATATTTTACATTCTTCCTTCCAAACCAAGTCTTTAAAATACAGTTTGTGTTTTACACTTATGTAACATCTCAACGTAGACAACTCACATATCAAGTGCCCAATGGCTACATGTGGCTAGGGGCTACCAGACTGCACAGCACAGGGAAACCTATTAGATAGAAAGCTGTATCAAGTGATACCTGCAAATCCTCATGGAACCTGAAAGTCCATGATAATGAAGGTGTTATTAATGGCCCACCATTTATAAAGCATCTGCCATATACCAACATCTCGTATTATTGTATTCAATCCTCACAACAATCCTACAGGCTAATTACACTTATCATCTCAATTTAGAGATGAGCAAATTGAGATCCAGTAAAGTTAAACAACTTGCCCCAAATCCCTCTTTCTTCTAGACTACAGTGTCTTAACTAAATAGAAGTGCCTTAACCCCAGAAATCTGGTTTTCTTCTGGCAGAATGTTGAAAACAGGACCAGAATACCCACTTTGCCTGCCTCTGTACATGGGGTGCTTAATATTGTTTTTTAAATAACCAAAGCAACATATGTCCTTTAAAAAACTGAAATCATACAGAATTGTATAAAATTAAAAATAAATTCACACCCTTATTTTCCTTCCTCACAATCTGACCTTGACGATTCACTGCTAGTAATGGTTTTGTGGGTAAAATTTGAGAGTTTTTCCAATTCACATGCAGATGTACACACATAAATGTATATTTGTTAATGATATAAACAGGATTCTACCACTTGTATTTTGCCAAGGTTATGATAGTCTTCTAGAAAGCCTTGGAAGCTTTCCAACTTTCTCTATGTTCTGGAATAGCTTATATAACATTTGGATTTTCAGTTTAATGGAAGTTTTCAGTTTAATGGAGGTTAGACAGAATTTGCCTATGAAATAACTTGGGTTTGGTATATTTTTTAGAGTAAGGTTTTTATGACTTTTTCTTTCTTTCTTGATTATTAATCTATTCAAACTTTCTATCTCTTCTTGGGTAGATTTTGCTGATACGTATTTGCCTAAAATTTATCTAATTCATTTCAAATGTACGGTATAACATCTCTCAAAATAGTCTTATTTTGTTGTTCCTTAAAATTTGTTTTCAGTTGAATGTTTAGTTCACATACTTGCAATTGTTTTTGTTAATAATTTATTAAAACTATAAGTAGTCTTTAGATTATTGGTTTGACTACATCCCAAAGGTTTTTCCAATTAAGGTCTCATTATTATTTGCTTTCAAATAGCCTATGATTTAATTTTTAATTTTTCCCTTTCCTAAAAAAATTGGAAGAATGTTTTGAATTATCTATATGGTTAAAAATTTTAGAAATAATCTATTCATTGCTAATATCTAGTTTTATGGGTTATGGTAAATTTCAGAGTATAATCTAAGATTCTCACTTTTTGAATTATGAGATTATCTTTGTTGTCTTGTGTGTGATTAACTTTAACAAGTGTGTCGTGGCTGTTTACAAATAATATATATTCCCCCCTGTTGGTTACAAAGTTCTTTATATTTATTAATTTAGGACTGTGAATTATTTAAATCTTTCATATCCTTGTCTTAATTTTTGTATTGATCTGTCAATTTCTGCTTCTAAGATTATTCTTGAGTTTCTAAAGTTTTTTTTGCCTGATATAGTTTAATACCTTATCTTTCTGCATCAAAAATTTTTGTTGTTTTATTTTCATGGTGGCTTTTGCCGTTTATCAATATGAAGTGTTTCTCTTTATATGCATTAATGCCTTTAGCCATAAATTCTATCTACATTATGATACTGGCATTGTCACTATTACTCTCTTTTTGCTAATGTTTGTTCTTTATGTTATGGGCCATTCCTTTGTCTCCATAATTTGTAGTCATTTTGCTTTGCATTTGTCTTCTATTATAAATATAATGCAGCAGAGTTTTAAAAAAAATCGAAGAATCTATTTCTTTATATGAGAATTTAGCCCATTCACATTATTATGACAATTTATGCTTTTGGTTTTATTTCTGCCATCTCATGTTTCCTATTTATTATGCTTATATTTTTCTTTTTTTCTTCTTCTCCTGACTTTGCTAGATTGATTGAATTTATTTGCTCACTCTGACTTCTACTGATATTCTACAAGTACTTGCCCTCAAGTACAAATATTTAATAATTATATTAACACTATATTACTGTATGTATAAAAATTAATAACTGTAGCTTTTCCCCAAGAATAAGGTAAGTCTTCCAGCATGCTTTATCTCACTCACTTCCTGTTCCAGGGCTGCTGTGTTGGTGGCCAGGTTGTATTCCCCCAAGCCCTGTAGGTGCCATTCCTGGACTTCAGCTGGGAGCTCAAAGATGTGGCCCTGATTTCCCTAATCAAGTTGAAATCCTGGGATTTCAGTTGCAGATTCTTTTCTTTCTGTTTCCCTCCCTCCTTTCCATTTTGTGAATTTGTACAATTCAGTACATTTCATAGTCACATTATTAGCAAGCATTTAGATTTCATCATAAATTTTACTTGCTGCTTTCCTTGAAGCTCTTTCCCCTATTTTCATCATGCCTTTCTTTTACTTGTTTTTCAATTTGCTGGAGTATCCTCAAGTCATTCTTTAGAAGCCGACTTGGACATTGTGCCCCGCGTCATACACTTGTCCCTCCAGTCCCACTCTCCTCTTCTCCCTACTCTGGTTCTGGGGGCTGATCTATGTGGAGTACATCCCTCCCCAGTCCCCTCAGTCCTGGAGCCATTGCACAGCCCCTTGGGGTGTCCTTACACACACCCACACGTATGTAGACAGTCCCTTTATAGACTGTCCTCAAATTACTCTAATTGGAATGTGGCTTGCATCTCCTGCTGCAAATCTGACACTGACCCTTCATCACAGAAACCTCACTTTACTGACGTGAAATCTATGTAACGTAATGTCCATTTCCTCTCAGTCACTCATGTCAGTATAGTGTTTTCTTTCTTAGTTTTCATCTAGTTGTGAACAAACAGAATGTACAATTTTGAGTACACAGTAATTATCAGGTTCGCACGTAAGGTGCTGAGAGTGAATGAGGAAGCCTGTGGGCCAGGACCTAAAGGTGCTGGGTCCTTCAGGGAGCCCTTAGGGTTGGGAAAGAATTCAGCCTCCTCAGACTTTTCAGAGAAAGAATCATCATTGGTCCCACTGAGTGCTGGGGGGCAGCTCAGTGCTGGGGAGCAGGGAAGGTCGGGGGTGTTGGGAGTGAAGGGAACCTACCTGGGTCCCTAGGGTTGAGGCTGGCTAACAGTCTGTTTCTGGCTGGATTGTCTCTGGTTCTGCTTTCCATGTCTCTAAAAGTGCAGGCCCCTTGGTGGCACCAGAAGACTGTGAGGACAATAACAGAACCCTGCCAGGGTTTTGTGAGTGTCAATTCATAACCTTCAACAGGTTGTTAAAGGAGACCTTGAGACAGTCGTCATAGTGTGCATTTGAACATATACATGTCAAGTAACTGATTTTAAGAAAGACCTCAGAACTATGTGACTGAGGCTGGGCACGGTGGCTCATGCCTGTAATCCTAGCGCTTTGGGAGGCTGAGGCGGGCAGATTGCCTGAGCTTAGGAGTTCAAAACCAACCTGGGCAACATGGCAAAACCCTGTCTCTACTAAAAATACAAAAACTTAGCCAGGCGTGGTGGGGTCCACCTGTAGTCCCAGCTACTCAGGAGGCTAAGGCATGAGAATTGCTTGAACCCGGGAGGCAGAGGCTGCAGTGAGCTGAGATCGTGCCACTGAACTCTGGCCTGGGTGACAGAGCAAGACTCTGTCTCAAAAAAAAAAAAAAAAAAAAAAAAAGAACTATGTGAACTTGAATATTTTCCTTCGAATCTTGTAATTCTTCTCTCCAGGGCCTGGGACGTAAGAAGATCTCTCCAGATAAGAGGCAACATGTTTCAAGAAATTTTAATCTCTGGGCATGTGACTATGTTCCATCTTGTCTTGATGGCTTTTCAAATAACCAAATATCATACGTATATAAAGAAGCCATGGTGGTCTCAAGCTTCAGACGCTTTCCACGATGCTATAAAGAGATATGGAACGCTTTTACATTTCTTCCTGAGAGAAGCTATACAGAGGTTTTGAAAAAGAAGCCCAAAGTAAGGTTCACTGTTGACAAAAAGGTTGTTTCTTCACTGGAGTCCTAATCCTCCCAGAAGATTTTTGATGAATTTTGTAATACTGGTATTTCATCAGACATCCTAAAAGTATATGTTTTCTGATCCAGCACCACTATTTAATTTTTAAAGTACTTTTATGATTTTTATAAGGTCAAAAAACATTCAAATCCTTGTGAAATGAATTTGTGATGACATACGCATGTGTAAATAAACTTTTCAGATGGCCACATTTACTTTTGGGGAGTTTTAAAAAGTACATCCTTAATATACGGTCACATTTTCATTTTGAAATTTCAAACCATACAGAGGAAACAAAAGTCCTCCTTGATTTCACCACATCTCCAATCCTGTATGTCCTCAGAAGTAAGTTAACTACTTGTTTTTAATCTGCATTTACAATCATATACATGTGCATAACACATAAACTTTTCAACATTACTATGTTACACAGTGCAAAATATTCTACAACTTTTTTTTAATTTTGTTTTGAGACAGTCTCTGTCACCCAGGCTGGAGTGCAGTGGCACCATCTCGACTCATTGCAACCTCTGCCTTCTGGGTTCAAGCGATTCTCCTGCCTCAGCCTTCCCGGTAGCTGGGATTACAGGTGTGCACCATCACGCTGGGCTAATTTTTGTATTTTTAGTAGAGATGAGGTCTCACCTTCTTGGCCAGGCTGGTCTTGAATTCCTGGCCCCAAGTGATCCTCCCACCTCGGCCTCCCAAAGTGCTGGGATTACAGGCATGAGCCACCGCGCCTGGCCTTCTACAGCTTTCTTTTGATACTTAATAATGTGTCTTGGAATTCTTGCAGTGTTATAAGAATAGACTGATTTTTTAAAAAATCGCTGCCTATATTCCCAAATACAAATTCACTCTGTTTTAAATAATTATCTTAATAGACATTTGAATCATTTCTAGCGTTTTTGCTGTTAGACACAGTGTTACATGAACATGCTTGATCAGCCTCTCTGGATACATGTTTCCCTGCACCTCTGGAGTAGATAGACTCTGAAAAGTTGCTTTGTTAGTGCTTGGTTGACAGTAATGCACAAAGTGTTGAGAAATAATGCATTGGCTTTGAAAAAGACTGGACCAATTGAACTCCTACCAACCGTACCTGTGAATTTCTGTTTTATCCCCTCTCACATTATCATTTAAATATTTAAGGATATTTAAGGGGAAAAAAGGTACCTTGTTATTTTCTTATTTTGCATTTCTCTATTTATTAGTGAAGTTGAGTATCTTTTCCCACACAGTGGCCTCCTCTATTTCCTTTCTATAGACTGACAATGTCCCCATCATTCCATGCCACCATTTTCTTGTTTATCTTGAATTTTTTTCTGTACATGAATTTTAGAATAAGCTTGTAAAGTAAACAAACAAACAACAACAAAAATAACACTGCCAATGTGATAGGCATTTCCCCAAATTTAGCTTTTAATTTATGGGAAAACCAACACCTTTATACTGTATCTTCCCCTTTGTTTGAATTTACTTTATGTCCTTCAGTAAGGTTTATAATTTTCCTCACATGGGTCTGATGTGTTTCTTTTCCATGTTTATTCCTGTATATTTTGATATTCTATTGGCTATTTTGATATTCTATGGCTATTTTGAATGTTTTAATTGCACTTTTAGATTGGTTTTGGCAGATGCATGAGAAAGCTATTGATTTCTACATATGAATCTTCTACTTGGCAAACCGGCTAAACTTCTAATAATAAATAAATAAATATTCTATAAAATAAAAAGAAAGTTCTAATAATGTTTCAGTTGATTCTCTTCTCGATTTTTCTAAATGGAAAATTATATCATTCATAAAAGTGATAATTCTTTTATGTCATTTCCAAAATTTATATTTTTCGCATCTTATTGCACTGGATAGGACCTCCAGTACAATTGGAATATTATTACAGAGAGTATATATCCTCATTTTCTTTTTCTTTTCTTTTTAAGAGACAGGATCTAGCTCTGTTGCCCAGGCTGGAGTGCAGTGGTGCCATCATAGCTCACTGCAGCCTCAAACTCTTAGTCTCAAGTGATTCTCCTATGTAGTGAGAACTACAGGAGCATGCCACCACACTCAACTAATTAAAAAATTGTTTTTTGTAGGGATGGGATCTAGCTATGTTGCCCAGGCTGGTCTTGAACTCCTGGCCTCAAGAGGTCCTCCTGTGCTGGGATTAGAGGCATAAGCTACCATGCTTGGTCCTGATTTCTTTTTATATTAAGATGTTAAGCTTTTGTGTCAAATATATTTCTTTTTTTAAAAATTTTTATTATTATTATTATACTTTAAGTTCTAGGGTACATGTGCACAACGTGCAGGTTTGTTACATATGTATGCATGTGCCATGTTGGTTTGCTGCACCTGTTAACTCGTCATTTATATTAGGTATATCTCCTAATGCTATCCCTCCCCCCTCCCCCCACCCCATGACAGGCTCTGGTGTGTGATGGTCCCCACCCTGTGTCCAGGTGTTCACATTGTTCAATTCCCACCTGTGAGTGAGAACATGCAGTGTTTGGTTTTCTGTCCTTGCAATAGTTTGCTCAGAATGATGTTTTCCGGCTTCATCCATGTCCCTACAAAGGACATGAACTCATCCTTTTTTATGGCTGCATAGTATTCCATGGTGTATATGTGCCACATTTTCTTAATCCAGTCTGTCATTGATGGACATTTGGGTTGGTTCCAAGTCTTTGCTATTGTGAATAGTGCCACAATAAACATACGTGTGCATGTGTCTTTATAGCAGCATGATTTATAATCCTTTGGGTATATGCCCAGTAATAGGATGGCTGGGTCAAATGGTATTTCTAGTTCTACATCCTTGAGGAATTGCCACACTGTTTTCCACAATGGTTGAACTAGTTTACAGTCCCACCAACAGTGTAAAAGTGTTCCTATTTCTCCACATCCTCTCCAGCACCTGTTGTTTCCTGACTTTTTAATGATCGCCATTTTAACTGGTGTGAGATGGTATCTCATTGTGGTTTGATTTGCATTTCTCTGATGGCCAGTGATGATGAGCATTTTTTCATGTGTCTGTTGGCTGCATAAATGTCTTCCTTTGAGAAGTGTCTGTTCACATCCTTTGCCTACTTTTTGATGGGGTTGTTTGATTTTTTTCTTGTAAATTTGTTTAAGCTCTTTGTAGAATCTGGATATTAGCCCTTTGTCAGATGGGTAGATTGTAAAAATTTTCTCCCATTCTGTAGGTTGCCTGTTCACTCTGATGGTAGTTTCTTTTGTTGTGCAGAAGCTCTTTAGTTTGATTAGATCCCATTTGTCAATTTTGGCTTTTGTTGCCATTGCTTTTGGTGTTTTAGTCATGAAGTCCTTGCCCATGCCTATGGCCTGAAGGGTATTGCCTAGGTTTTCTTCTGGGGTTTTTATGGTTTTAGGTCTAATATTTAAGTCTTTAATCCATCTTGAATTAATTTTTGTATAAGGTGTAAGGAAGAGATCCATTTCAGCTTTCTACATATGGCTAGCCAGTTTTCCTATCACCATTTATTAAATAGGGAATCCTTTTCCCATTTCTTGTTTTTGTCAGGTTTGTCAAAGATCAGATGGTTGTAGATGTGTGGTATTATTTCCGAGGGCTCTGTTCTGTTCCATTGGTCTATATCTCTGTTTTGGTACCAGTACCATGCTGTTTTGGTTACTTGTAGTATAGTTCAAAGTTAGGTAGCATGATGCCTCCAGTTTTCTTCTTTTGGCTTAGGATTGTCTTGGCAATATGGGCTCTTTTTTGGTTCCATATGAACTTTAAAGTAGTTTTTTTCCAATTCTGTGAAGAAAGTCATTGGTAGCTTGATGGGGATGGCATTGAATCTATAAATTACCTTGGGCAGTAAGGCCGTTTTCACAATATTGATTCTTCCTATCCATGAGCATGGAATGTTCTTCCATTTGTTTGTGTCCTCTTTTATTTCACTGAGCAGTGGTTTGTAGTTCTCCTTGAAGAGTTCCTTCACAAATACCTTGTAAGTTGGATTCCTAGGTATTCTCTTTGAAGCAATTGTGAATGGGAGTTCACTCATGATTTGGCTCACTGTTTGTGTTATTGATGTATAGGAATGCTTGTGATTTTTGCACATTGATTTTGTATCCTGAGATTTTGCTGAAGTTGCTTATCAGCTTAAGGAGATTTTGGGCTGAGATGATGGGGTTTTCTAAATATAAAATCATGTCATCTGCAAACAGGGACAATTTGACTTCCTCTTTTCCTAATTGAATACCCTTTATGTCTTTCTCCTGCCCGATTGCCCTGGCCAGAACTTCCAACACTATGTTGAATAGGAGTGGTGAGAGAGGGCATCCCTGTCTTGTGCCAGTTTTCAAAGGAAACGCTTCCAGTTTTTGCCCTTTCAGTATGATATTGGCTGTGGGTTTGTCATAAATAGCTCTTATTATTTTGAGATACGTCCCATCAATACCTAGTTTATTGAGCATTTTTAGCATGAAGGGCTGTTGAATTTTCTCGAAGGCCTTTTCTGCATCTATTGAGATAATCATGTGGTTTTTGTCTTTGGTTTTGTTTATATGATGGGTTACGTTTATTGATTTGTATATGTTGAACCAGCCTTGCATCCCAGGGATGAAGCCAACTTGATCATGGTGGATAAGCTTTTTGATGTGCTGCTGGTTTAGGTTTGCCAGCATTTTATTGAGGATTTTTGCATGAGTGTTCATCAGGGATATTGGTCTAAAATTCTCTTTTTTGTTGTGTCTCTGCCTGGCTTTGGTATTATGATGATGTTGGCCTCATAAAAAGATTTAGGGAGGATTCCCTCTTTTTCTATTGATTGGAATTGTTTCTGAAGGAATGGTACCAGCTACTCTTTGTACCTCTGGTAGAATTCGGCTGTGAATCCATCTGGTCCTGGACTTTTTTTGGTTGGTAAGCTATTAATTATTGCCTCAATTTCAGAACCTGTTATTGGTCTATTCAGGGATTCAACTTCTTCTTGGTTTAGTCTTGGGAGGGTGTATGTGTCCAGGAGTTTATCCATTTCTTCTAGATTTTCTAGTTTATTTGTGTAGATATGTTTATAGTATTCTCTGATGGCAGTTTGTATTCCTGTGGGATCGGTGGTGATATCCCCTTGATCATTTTTTATTGTATCTATTTGATTCTTCTTTTCTTCTTTATTAGTCTTGCTAGTGGTCTATCAATTTTGTTGATCTTTTCAAAAAGCCAGTTCCTGGATTCATTGATTTTTTTGAAGGGTTTTTTGTGTCTCTATCTCCTTCAGTTCTGCTCTGATCTTAGTTATTTCTTGCCCCTTCTGCTAGCTTTTTAATGTGTTTGCTCTTGCTTCTCTAGTTCTTTTAATTATGATGTTAGGGTATCGATTTTAGATCTTTCCTGCTTTCTCTTGTGGGCATTTAGTGCTATAAATTTCCCTCTACACACTGCTTTAAATGGGTCCCAGAGATTCTGGTATGATGTGTCTTTGTTCTCATTGGTTTCAAAGAACATCTTTATTTCTGCCTTCATTTCGTTATGTACCCAGTAGTCATTCAGGAGCAGGTTGTTCAGGTTCCATGTAGTTGAGCTGTTTTGAGTGAGTTTCTTAATCCTGAGTTCTAGTTTGATTGCACTGTGGTCTGAGAGACAGTTTGTTATAATTTCTATTCTTTTACATTTGCTGAGGAGTGCTTTACTTCCAACTATGTGGTCAATTTTGCAGTAAGTGTTATGTGGTGCTGAGAAGAATGTATATTCTGTTGATTTGAGGTGGAGAGTTCTGTAGATGTCTATTAGGTCTGCTTGGTGCAGAGCTGAGTTCAATTCCTGGGTATCCTTGTTAGCTTTCTGTCTCATGGATCTGTCTAATGTTGACAGTGGGGTGTTACAGTCTCCCATAATTATTGTGTGGGAATCTAAGTCTCTTTCTAGGTCTCTAAGGACTTGCTTTGTGAATCTGGGTGCTCCTGTATTGGGTGCATATATATTTAGGATAGTTAGCTCTTCTTGATAAATTGATCCCTTTATCATTACGTAATGGCCTTCTTTGTCTCTTTTGATCTTTGTTGGTTTAAAGTCTGTTTTGTCAGAGACTAGGATTGCAACCCCTGCTTTTTTTTGTTTTCCATTTGCTTCGTAGATCTTCCTTCATCCCTTTGTTTTGAGCCTATGCATGTTTCTGCACTTGAGATATGTCTCCTGAATACAGCACACTGATGGCTCTTGACTCTTTATCCAATTTGCCAGTCTGTGTCTTTTAATTGGAGCATTTAGCCCATTTACATTTAAAGTTAATATTGTTATGTGTGAATCTGATCCTGTCATTATGATGTTTGATGTTTGCTCATTAGTTGATGCAGTTTCTTCCTAGCATTGATGGTCTTTACAGTTTGACATGTTTTTGCAGTGGCTGGTGCCAGTTGTTCCTTTCCATGTTTAGCGCTTCCTTCAGGAGCTCTTGTAAGGCAGGCCTGGTGGTGAGAAAATCTCTCCGCATTTGTTTGTCTGTAAAGGATTTTATTTCTCCTTCACTTATGAAGCTTAGTTTGGCTGGATGTGAAATTATGTGTTGAAAATTCTTTAAGAATGTTGAATATTGGCCCCCCACTCTCTTCTGGCTTGTAGAGTTTCTGCCAAGAGATCTGCTGTTAGTCTGATGGGCTTCCCTTTGTGGGTAATCCAATATTTCTCTCTGGCTGCCCTTAACATTTTTTCCTTCATTTCAACTTTGGTGAATCTGACAATTATGTGTCTTGGAGTTGCACTTCTCGAGGAGTATCTTTGTGGCGTTCTCTGTATTTCCTGAATTTGAATGTTGGCCTGCCTCACTAGGTTGGGGAAGTTCTCATGGATAATATCCTGAAGAGGTTTTCCAAGTTGGTTCCATTCTCCCTGTCTCTTTCAGGTACACCAATCAGACGTAGATTTGTTCTTTTCACATAGTCCCATATTTCTTGGAGGCTTTGTTATTTCTTTTTACTCTTTTTTCTCTAAACTTCTATTATTGCTTCATTTCATTCATTTGATCTTCAATCACTGATACCCTTTCTTCCAGTTGATCGAATCGGCTACTGAAGCTTGTGCATGCGTCATGTAGTTCCCGTGCCATGGTTTTCAGCTCCATTATTTAAGGACTTCTCTACTCTGTTTATTAAATCTAGTTAGCCTTTCATCTAATCTTTTTTCAAGGTTTTTAGCTTCTTTGCGATGGGTTCGAACATTCTCCTTTAGCTCGGAGAAGTTTGTTATTACTGATCGTCTGAAGCCTTCTTCTCTCAACTTGTCAAAGTCATTCTCCATCCAGCTTTGTTCCATTGCTGCCGAGGAGCTGCGTTCCTTTGGAGAAGAGGCACTCTGATTTTTAGAATTTTCAGCTTTTCTGCTCTGGTTTCTCCCCATCTTTGTGGTTCTATCTACCTTTTGTCTTTGATGATGGTAACATACAGATGGGGTTTTGTTGTGGATGTCCTTTCTGTTTGTTAGTTTTCCTTCTAACAGTCAGGACCCTCAGCTGCAGGTCTGTTGGAGTTTGCTGGAGGTTCACTCCGGATGCTGTTTGCCTGGGTATCACCAGCGGAGGCTGCAGAACAGCAAATATTGCAGAACGGCAAATGTTGTTGCCTGATCCTTCCTCTGGAAGCTTCATCTCAGAGGGGCACCCAACTGTATGAGATGTTGGTCGGCCCCTACTGGTAGGTGTCTCCCAGTGAGGCTACTCAGGGGTCAGGGACCCACTTGAGGAGGCAGTCTGTGTGTTCTCAGATCTCAAACCCCATGCTGGGAGAACCACTACTCTCTTCAAAGCTGTCAGACAGGGACATTTAAGTCTGCAGAAGTTTCTGCTGCCTTTTGTTTGGCTATGCCCTGCCCCCAGAGGTGAAGTCTACAGAGGCAGGCCAGCCTCCTTGAGCTGTGGTGGGCTCCACTCAGTTTGAGCTTCCCGATGCTTTGTTTACCTACTCAAGCCTCAGCAATGGTGGATGCCCCTCCCCCAGCCTTGCTGCCGCCTTGCAGTTCGATCTCAGACTGCTGTGCTAGCAGTGACCAAGGCTCTGTGGGCGTGGGACCCTCTGAGCCAGGCGCGGGATATAATCTCCTGGTGTGCTGTTTGCTAAGGCCATTGGAAAAGCGCAGTATTATGGTGGGAGTGTCCCGATTTTCCAGGTAACATCTGTCACGGCTTCCCTTTGCTAGGAAAGGGAATTCCCTGACCCCTTGTGCTTCCTGGGTGAGGCAATGCCCCGCCCTGCTCTGTGGGCTGCACCCACTGTCTGACAAGCCCCAGTGAGATGAACCCAGTAACTCAGTTGGAAATGTAGAAATCACCCATCTTCTGTGTCACTCACATTGGGAGCTGCAGACTGGAGCTGTTCCTATTCGGCCATCTTGGAATCTTCTCTGTGTCAAATGTATTTCAAGTGTTTTATCTAATTTGTTGTTTTTTGTTCCTCTTTGCTTATAAACTTTATTTCTTAGAGCAGTTTTAGGTTTACAGAAAAATTGAATGGAAAGTTCAGAGTTCCTGTATACCCACTCTCCCGCTTATATCCACAATTTCCCCTACTGTTAACATCTTGCTTTGGTGTGGTACACATCATATAAAAGCCCTGCATATTTTAAGAGTAAAATGAATGAAATTTTTATTTAATGGCTTCAGGATTTCATGTCTTGCTGAGGACTTCCTTTGCTTGAGCTTATTAAATAATTCTGGGTTTGTGCTATGGTTGTACGTCTGGAGTGACATTATAGCAAATAATGTTCTGGTCTTTATTGAGATAATTTTATGTTTTTCTATATTAATATGTTAATATAATAAGGTATATCAATGGATTTTCTAAACTTCAGCCATTCTAGCATTCTTGGGACAAACTCTATTTGTTATGAGGTATTATGCTTTCGATACATTCAGAATTCGATATGCAATTATCTTACTTGCAGTCATTTAGTTTTTAAACTTCTGCAATTATTATTTTAGCTTTCAGTTGAAGGCAGCTTTCTCTCCTTTTCTATCTTCTGACACCACTTATATAAATTGCAAATACCTATAGAATTTGCCAGGAAAGCTCCTGGACCTGGGGCTGTTTTCGGGTGCAAATCTTGGCATGTCTTTTCCATTTATTTTTATGGAGATTGGTCTGTATGGTACTTCCATTTTTTTTTCCTTTTTCTAATTTTGATCATTTTTATTTTTAGAGGAAACCATTTGTTTTACATGGATTTGTAAAATGTTGGTGTTTTAATACAGTTCTCTTTTTTAAGGCTCTTCAAGTCACATCCTGTCCTTTGACATTTTGAATGTTTACATGCCTTTGCTCTGTTTACCAACTCTACATTTTTGTTGCTGTTGTTTGCTTTTGATCTCGTTAATGTATGCTTTCATGTTTACTAATTCCTTTCTTGAGCTTATTTTGATTTTCTTTTTCTGGCTTCTCAAGGTGAAAACATAACTCAATTATTTCCAGTCTTTCCTGTTTTCTTGTAAATGTAGTTAAGGCTACTCCCTCAGAATGCCACTGTACATAGACACATCATGGTGCTCTTGTTATTGTCCATTTTTAAATAGCTTGCAGTTGTTTTCTTTCTTTTTATTTTTTGTTTTATTTTGTTTTGTTGGTCTTGAGACAGGGTCTCACTCTGTTGCCCAGGCTGGTGTGCAGTTGCATAATCATGTCTCACTGCAACCTTGACCTCCGGGGTTCAAGTGATCCTCCCCGCTCAGCCTCCCAAGTAGCTGGAACTACAGGTGCACACCACCACGGCTGGCTATATTGTATTTTTAGTGGAGACAGGGTTTCACCATGTTGCCCAGATGGTCTCAAACTCCTGAGCTCAAGTGATCCTCCCACCTGGGCCTCCTCAAATACTGGGATTATCGGTGTGAGCCTCTGCTCCTGGTCTGTTTTCTTTCTTAATTCAATAGTTATTGAGAAGTGTATTTGATTTTTTCTTTTGTTGTTATTTTTCATTGTCAACATTTTATTAATTAATTTCTGCATTGTGGTCAGTGATTAAGATTTGTATGATTTCTGCTTACTGAAAATTTTAAAATGTTCTTGAGGCTTAACACATAGTCAATTTCTGTCACTGTTTCACATGTATTTGACAAGAATATACAATCTCCCTTTTACATATTTTTTTTTAGAGGGAATAATTATAGGGCCATAGAAAGTTGCAAAAAAATTCTACAGAAAGATTCTGCCTATTTTTTACCCACTTTTCTCCAATGCTAATATCTGGCATAACTCTGGTAAAATAGAATATTTATTTTCTATTGCTGTGCATATTAGTCCATTTTCTGTTGCTTAGGATAGGATATCTGGAATAATAATGTAAAATTATAAACTACAAGTGTAATTTATAAGGAAAAGAAATTTATTTCTTACAGTTATGGAGGCTGAGAAGTCCAGAGCCAAGGGGCTGCGTCTGGTGAGGGCCTTCTTGCTAGTGAGGACTCTCTGAAGAGTCCCCAGGGTGAATAGGATAGCCCATGGAGAGGGGGTTGGGCATGCCAATGTGCTCTCTCAGGTCTTTCTTTCTCTTATTATCAAGGCACCTGTCCCCCTTCCATGATAACCTATTAACCATGAATCCACGAATGGATTAATCCATTCATAAGAACAGAGCCCTTATAACCCAATCACCTCTAAAAGGTCCCATCTCTCAATGCTGTCACATTGGAGATTAAGTGTTAACATGAATTTTGGAGGGAAAATATTAAAACTATAGTACTGTGTAACAAGTGACTACAAATTTAGTGGCTTATAACAACACCATTTAACACACAGCCCCTGCAGGCCAGAAGTCTGGGTGCACGTGGTGAGGTCTTCTGCTCAAGGTCTTACAGGCTAAAATCGAGGTGCACTCTCATCAGATGCCAGGGGTTCTCTTTCATGTTTGTGTGGTTGTGGCACAATTCAGTTCCTTGTGGTTAGAGGACTGAGCTTTCCTGCTTCCTCATTTGCTGTTAGCCAGGTCCCTTCTCAGCTCCTTGCTACATGGCCCCTCCATCTCCAATCCCAGCAATGGAAAACCTTGAGTGGAATGCCTCTCTCAAGTTTTGCAATCTCTTTCACCAGAAAGAGTTCGGTGCCCTTTTTAAGGGGATCACCTGATTGAGCTTGACCCAACCAGGATAACCTTCATATTTTAAGGTTGAGTTGAGACTTTAATTCATGTAACATAACATGTAACATAACATAATCATGGGATTGACACAGCATCATATTCACAGGTTCTGCCACACTCAAGGGCAGGGGATTATACAAGAGTGAGATTCATTGAAGGTCATCTTAGAATTCTGTGTGCCACAAATATCATAACCAGGAAATTGATATTGGTACAATCCACAAGCCTTATTCAGATTTCACAGTTTTACGTGTGCGTGTATGTGTTTTTCTGGCTACAAAATTAGATTATATCTAGCTTCTTAATTAGCTAATCATGTCTGACATTTACATAATATGCACACTTGGGAATTAGGTAGGGTATTTCACTTTCAGTATTGTTTTTTTTTATTTTCAGTTTTCTTTTAGCTATAGAATTTTTTTTCAATTATATCTCTGATTATTTTCTCTCCTCCATGTTCTTCGAGAATGTGTCTTAGATGGCTACTTAAATACCTGGCTCTATCTTCCTCAGCTCTCAAGCATTCCTTTATATTTTTTGTCTACTTATCTATTTGCACTGGTTTCTGGGAGAATTCCCGAACTTCATCTTCCAGCTTACTAAGTGGCTCTTCAATGATCCATTCTGTTATTTAGCCAACCTGTAGAGGTTTTCTTGTAACCAAACAACATTTTAATTTCTAAGGTCTCTATTTGGCTTTTGTTTGTGGGTGTAATATTTGATTCTGCCTGATAACGATTTTACTTATTTCTATAGCTTGTTATTTTTCTCCACCCACTTGGCTTCCTTGGGTATTGTTGTGTCTATTTGCCTTTATTGCATGGTGCAAACATTTTGTGACTTGGTTTTATGCTCATGTTGTTTTTTTTGTTGTTGTTCTTTTGTTTTGTTTTGCTTTGTTTTGTTTTAGGTGAAGTCTCGCTCTGTCACCAAGGCTGGAGTGCGGTGGCACCATCTGGGCTCATTGCAATCTCTGCCTATTCAGGCAATTCTCTTGCCTCAGCCTCCTGAGTATCTGGGATTACAGGTGTGTGCCACCATGCCCAGCTAATTTTTGTATTTTTTTTTTTTTTGAGACAGAGTCTCACTCTGTTGCCCAGGCTGGAGTGCCACTAGTGGTGTGATCTCTGCTCACTGCAAGCTCCACCTCTGGAGTTCATGCCATTCTCCTGCCTCAGCCTCCCAAGTAGCTGGCATTACAGGCACCCGCCACCAAGCCTGGCTAATTTTTTGTATTTTTAGTAGAGACAGAGTTTCACTTTGTTAACCAGATGGTCTCAATCTCCTGACCTCGTGATCCGCCCTCCTCAGCCTCCCAAAGTGCGGGGATTACAGGCATGAGCCATCGTGCCCGGCCTAATTTTTGTATTTTTAGTAGAGATAGGGTTTCGCCATGTTCGCCAGGCTGGTCTCAAACTCCTGACCTCAAATGATCGGCCCACCTCAGCCTCCCAATGTGCTGGGATTACAGTTGCTTTTTGAAGATCCTTGATAGCTTACCTGTGAGCAGTATATACGTTCTTCTCACGCTGTCTGCATGAGGGCGGGTGAGAGGCAGCCCCAGGTGTGTCCACTAGCTCCTCTTCTGGGTAGGGGCTCCCAGCCTGTTTACTGCCACCTTTCTGGGACACTGCCCTGCCCTCCTGGCCCAAGTGATAACTCTCAATTCATCTGCTTTGTCACTGACAGGGATCTAGTTCATCACTTTGCACAGAGAATGTGCTGAGGACAGCCTTGGCAGAGAACCTCTATGAATAACCTCGTCAAATGCCCTGGACCCTGCCCCTTCTCAAATTCACTGCCTCCATGCCAGCACCCCTGGAACAGTGAATACATTTGTAGCCGACCTGACCTGTGCCCAATTTGATCCTGTCTAGCTTCCATTACTTAGAAAATTGAGATCACTTGTCATAGATAGAAGGCAATCTAAAAGTAAATACAGTGGAAAAACCAACCAACCAACCAACCAACCAATGCGATTAAATTCCAGCTGGACATTGTTGCCTCCTAAAGACCTCTTGTCTGAGGCCTGGTCTCCGTTTGTTGAAATAGGGAATTAGTAAGTATTAGAGAGGTGTTGGACATATTACCACCAAACCCAAGGTTTTCTGCTCAGCCTAAACAGAAGGTTTGAAATAGAAAACACAAAAAAACAAAAAAACCTTTCTTAAGATGTAAGTCAATATTATTTAATATCACACCTGGCAGCCACCTAAACTCCCTCCCACACTTTAGGAAATACATACAACTAAGGGATTTTATGTTCACTAAAATGAAATCTTAAAAAAATGACACAAATAAAGAGAATATCAAATGATGTTTCACGCATCTTAAATTAGTAAGCATCGTAGTTTCCATTTTTCATTCCTTTTTCTGAGGGAAACTTGGTAGCTTCTCTCCTGTCCTCTGTGTCAAAGAGATACTGTTTTTGTTGTGGTTGGTTTTAACAGAATGCCATTTAACAGGCAGGTTTGTGACATCAGAGGCTTGCAATGGGCATAACTCTCAAGCTCATATCTGACACACGGGTTACATGGCTTTATCTCTGCCTGTGCTAAGTTCTCTGCAAGGCCCTGTCTTTGCCTTCGACATGTAGGAGCTTTGTTCTCCACCAGGTGCATTTTCTTTTCTTCTCCCAGGGAGTCCTCACAAAATCCTCACTTGTGGAGCCTTCTGCCTCTTCTCTCCTTTCTCTGCCCAAACACCAACAGTCTCTAACAGGAGTGACACATAATTCCACTTATGGGAAGTGAAATTCAAAAAATTACCCAAAAGACATACAGAACCAAATCTGCAATTATGTGGAGGGACACAGAGATAAATGAGTGGGAAGGGTATATTTACCACCCATGGAAACGCAAATTAGATAACCTCCCCTTAAAACCAGTCTTTCTTAATAGTTTTCTACAAAAGAGATAACACTGTCCAACCACCTCACAATTCTCAATCCAGTGAGTCAAAAACAAAAGGATACTGCACAGGAATGGAGGGGTAGGTCCTGGGGACTCTAGCATAGATGTCCCCAATACAACAACCCACTTTACAAAAACAAAAGTCTTTAATAACTTGGCACAATGTCAGTGACTTGCTGTTGTTGGTTCTTGTTTTAATGTATTGTTCTGAACAGAGGAATAAACAGCCAGTTAAAGAAACCCCAACTTACTCATCAAATACATGAAGGTGTTTATAGATTTCTTCTGTTTTAATGCATTAGAGTTGGACTTGTGCCATCTGAGAGATGACTTAGACACTAAAATAACACCCGAGGGCAATAACGTTTCATAGCGAGGCTGTCTAGTACCCATTCTAGACCCATACTAGGAATCTTCAGTCACTTTTTGTGCATGTAGCAGGCATCTGCATAACTACTGAGTATTTAGTTTATATTTGCAAAAATCAGATGTAAAGGCCCTCAGACATGATGGTTAGAAGGGCAAAGTGATGATTTCCTATATGAAACCAACTTTTAAATGCCTGCCTCTTTTTAGAGACGTACATTCTCTTTTGGTCTGCTTTAGCATTTAGGACCATGACTTAAAAGTTGCCTTGTGCCTTCTTTTTGTTAGAGTATCTTGTGGCTGCCTTTGGCCAAAGCCATTTCTGTTTGGGTGGCCAGGCACGGGAATCAGATGTTGTGAGGGCACTTCTCCTGCCATGGCTAATTCTACAGCCTTTCTAGGAACAATTTCTACATTGCAGTTTAGTGGTCAATTGCAGCTCCAATCAAAGTTCAGGACATATCACAGCTGGTCTACAGTTCGGGAGAAGAGGACATTTCATCCCAATTAAATTTTTTTTTTCACCTACAGAAAAATTGGTCCCATATTGAAGATTCCCGGGGGAGGGGGGAGAGATGGGTGTGGGGGAGGAAGGGTTGAAATGATGAGCTAACTATAGGCTTCCCATATGTTCTGTTGAGTACAGGGAAGAATCCATGCTGTTATGGTAACACCCTAAGACCCACAAAACAAGCAAGAAGAATCAATTTTCTCCTTCAGGCTCTTTGCTGCCACCCACAGTCTTTGGTCCTAGCATGGCACTGGGACCCAGTGTTTTGGGAAGATCCCCTTCAGCCCAGCTCTGCCTTGAGAGTAACCCTGTCTTCTAGTCCTGCCTTTCCCTGGGTGAAACAAACCTGACACTTCCCAAACACACAGGGCAGTCAATTGCGCTAATCCTGGTGCCATGTTGAGGATGGGAAAATGCTAAGTGTGAAATGCTGTGTATTGCCTTTATAAGTACCCATCAAAACAAACCAAAACATCTCATTTAACACGCGGTATTTAAGTAAACATGTTATGGCTATACCAAAATAATCCCCCCAAATATTAAACAACAAATCAACCCCCTGTCAGAGCCTGACTCACTGAATAAATGGAATGAATAAAATTGTAACTCACGCGCTTGACTACGGCTCTATGAAATTGTTGAATCTGTTAGGTGTAGCGTGTGATTTCCGCAGAGAGTAACCAAAATAACCTCAAATGCTTTATTCTCTCTCCCAATAGAAATTAAACAGATCTGTAAGTTCCCAAATTGGGTAATACAGGCACAAGAACACAAATCCTATTTTCTTCCCTTCTTCCTCTCCTCCTGCCAAATAGGAGCTAGCATCAGAATGTTCAGTCCAAGAACAATGATTTCTACTCCACTTGGGCACTGATCTGGCTGTAACATCTGCAGGGGACAATCCCAGTTCTGAACGGAAAAAACAACTTTGCTCATTATCCACGTTCCATATAGCTACTGACGGGATAATAAGTGACCACAGCGGAATACTACGCCTTCTCTGCTGAGAACACATGGTTGTAATTCCTTTGGCCTGAAGGAGAATCACTGAAGCCATTTTAAACATTCTTCTGCTGTTTATAGCCTTTGTCTAAGATGCCATGACTGGTATCGGCCATGAGTGGCATATCCAATCCCTCTCTAACATCTGCCGTTATAGTTCCCAAAGAGGATTGAGAAGTCTCAACATAATCTCACAGGAGAAATCTTATTGTTCCTCCAAAGAATATTTTGTATTGAAAGCAATGCCTCATATTTATGACATTCTAGATGTTTAGAGAAAGGATTTGACTCTGTTGGATAACTTCAATCAACGAGGATAGTCTGGGTTAAAGCAATCATGTTTGCCAACTGAATCTGGGTTGTTTTACAGCTCATTCCTTAATATGGCCACAGCCCCTCCCACCCTCAGCTTCCCCCACCCCCCCACATTGCCCCATTCCCTTTGGGACAGGTGATGTAGCCACAGTATCATGTGTATTGGTATGAACACAATGTAAGACATGCCCAAAGACCTTATGTATTTACTCATCATTCGGTGACAATTTTTTTTTATCACAGCCCTAACTCTGTGTTAAGTACTATGCTGGCTTCTGGGGTACAAGCATGAGTGGTAACAGACCCCAATGCTGCCTGTAGTGCATCCAGCATAGACTGTCAGGCAGTGAGATGCAGCAGGCCCCTTGCAATAGCTGAGATTTGGAGCTAGGGATGCTGTGTCAATGTGGATCAGGCAATGGTACTTTGAAAGGTCATCATTATAATTTTATTAAGCTGTGATGAGAGTGAGAAGATAAATATAGAAATGTGTTTAGTATTGGATACATATTATCTCACAGAACAATTATGAATTGTGTTTCTTGTGTACATTAAAATTTGGATATATGTGTAAGAGCAAAAGCTGAATCTAATTTTTTATCTGCCAGATAAGGAATTCATTTGAATTCTTTCACTGCTAATTAAAGGAAAATTAGAAAACAAACTATTTACTAAAGCACTAAACACATTCTGATTACTTATGGATAAAGGTAATTATTTTGGCTTCATTTATTTATTTACTGAAAGCCTAATGATAGGTAAAACAAAGAATTAATAGTGTAATAGAAAGGGATGATGGGTTTATTCAGCAGACGGAAGGAGCATGATGCATTTCCACCTTAGATTTGGGAACATGAAGTCTCAGTGATGCTGATGTGTGACGTTAGGCTTCATGCAGCCCCTGCTGGAGTGCAGTGACCTGCACACGGGCCCAGGACAGGGAGCAGGTTGGGGTGGCAGGTGAGTGTGGCTGCAGACCAGCTCAGTTCAAGGTGCTAGGGGAGGCAGAGGGAAATCTCCAGGTGACAGCTGGGCACGGTGGCTTAGCTCAGGACTAGACACGTAGGGAGAAGATGTAGCGATAGCTTGATGGAGAAATCGAGTCAGCAAATTTTTTTTTGTTTGTTTGTTTACAACAACATAAACTTATTATCTGATAATTCTGGGGGTCAGAAGTCCACAGTGGGTCTCACTGGACAAAAATCAAGGTGTAGGGCTGGTTTTCCTTCTGGGGGTCCAGGGGGAATCCATTTCTTTTCCCTCTCCAGCTTCAGCGTTGAGCTGAGACCTTCTCTCACTGCCATCTCTCTGCTTCTGTCTTCTGAATTCTTCTCTCTTCTCTCTCTCTCTCTTTCTTTTTTAGGATTTTTTTTCTTTTTTAAACATAGGACTTAGTGGTGCTTATAGACCGAGGGAAAGAAGGAATGGAAATGCCCAGGCTGAGGCTGCCTGAGGATGGGGAAGGAGAGAAGGGGAGCAGGGGCAGCACGGGGAGGGGCCTGCACCTGGAAGGGAGACCCACTTCTGGCAGTGGGGGATGGGGGCTGGGGGAGGGGGTTGTCACATGGCTTAAGTGGATGGGAAGAGATGAAAGAAACTTGAGAGTGGGGAAGGAGGCAGTTGGGGAATTTCTCTGGAGTGAGTGAGGGAGGTGGAGAGAGGTCTTCAGCTGAGAATGAGGCACCTGAGATGAAACCCATAGGAAGATGAGCAGCCTGTGGCATGATCATTTCAAGGGAACGCCATCACCAAGGGGAAGTTGGAGGGGGCCCGGCAGCAGGGGGGTGGTCTGGACTTGCAGAGGGTTTATGTCCCACTGTGGGATTTTTCCAACAGAACTCAGCAGCTCAGGAGTGGGGGCAGGAGAAAATGAAGAATGCGAAGTGGAAATCGTTCTTATGGGGAAAAGCAAGGAGACTGTGCCATGAGATGGATGGGGGCAAGGTTCTTGAGGCCGCTGCCTGGCAAATCTCCTGGGGAGCTCACCACAGGGGTCCCACTGGACCGGCTGAGTCAGGTACCTGGGGGTGGGGCCAGCCTCAGCATTTTTGAAGAGCTCCCTAAGTGATTCTAGGGTCAGCCAGGGCTGACAACTGCTGGTAGGACTGGAGGAAATGTATATCTAAAAGACGTGAAATCAGGATCTCAAAGAGATGTGTGCACTCCTCTGTTCACTGCAGCACTGTTCACAATCGCTAAGATGTGAAACTGACCTGGACATCCGGTCAACAGGTGAATGGATAAAGAAAATGTGGTACATACATACAATGGGATCTCATCTAGTCTTAAAAAGGAAGGAAACTCTGCAATCTGTGATATGAACAGACTTTGAAGATCTTATGTTAAGTGAAATGTCAGACACATAAGAAGACACACTGCATAATTATACTTTTTTTTTTTTTTTGAGACAGGGTCTCACCCTGTCACTCAGGCTGGAGTGCAGTGGCAATATCATGGCTCGTTGCAGCCTCGACTTCTCAGGCTCAGGTGATCCTCCCACCTCAGCCACCCACGTAGTTGAGACCACAGGTGTCTACCACCACGCCAGACTAATTTTTATTTTTTAATTTTTTTGTAGAGATGGGGTCTTGCCATGTTGCCTAGGCTGGTCTCAAATTCCTGGGCTCAAGTGATTTGCTTGCCTCTGCCTCCCAAAATGCTGGGATTACCAGCATAAGCCACCGCACCAGGCCTATAATTCTACTTATCTGAGATGTTTAAAATAGTCAAATTCATAAAATCAAAGACTGGAATGGAGGTGACCTGGGGCCTGGGGGAGGGGAAAATTGGGAGTTATTAATCAATGGGTATAAGGGTTCATTTAAGTATAATGAATAAGCTTTAGAAATCTACTCTACCACATTGCACCTCCAGTCAACAGTAACGTATTATACACTTAACATCGAAAAGGACGCATCTCACGCTGAGTGTTCTTAGCTCACCCACACACAAGTACAGCGGCAGGGAACTGAGAGTGAGAGAGACGTGACTGGAGAAAGTGAGAACTGGCCTGAGTGGGTTCGGGGACCGGCCACTGATACGATGGTGGGTCACAGTGTGTGGGCAGATTTACAGAACTGGAACACGGGTTTAGAAAGTTCGTATTTGTGAACTCATTTGGAACTTTTATGAAGGTATCAAAATTGAATCTCATTTGGTTATTCATGTAATGAGTCAACCATATAAAATAGTTCAGCAAGGCTGGGCGTGGTGGCTCACGCCCGTAATCCTAGCACTTTGGGAGGCCGAGGCAGGTGGATCACGAGGTCAGGAGATCGAGACCATCCTGGCTAACACGGTGAAACCCCGCCTCTACTAAAAATATATAAAAAAAAAAAAATTAGCCGGGTGTGGTAGCGGGCGCCTGTAGTCCCAGCTACTCGGGAGGCTGAGGCAGGAGAATGGCGTGAACCCGGGAGGCGGAGCTTGCAGTGAGCCAAGACCACACCACTGCATTCCAGCCTGGGCGACAGAGCAAGACTCTGTCTCAAAAAAAAAAAAAAAAAAAATTCAGCAAACACAGTTGTAAACATTTGAAGGCCGCATGTGGTGACTCACGCCTATAATCCCAGCACTTTGGGAGGCCGGGACAGGTGGATCACTTGAGTCCAGGAGTTCCAGACCAGCCTGGGCAACATGGCGAGATCTCATCTCTACAATACATTTTAAAAATTAGCCAGGTGCGGTAGTGTGCACCTGTAATCCCAGCTACTCAGGAGGCTGAGGTGGGAGGATTGCTTGAGCCCAGGAAGTTGAGGCTGCAGTGAGCCATGATTGTGTCACTGCACTCGAGGCTGGGTGACAGAGCTTGACCTTGTCTCAAAAAACAAAAAATGAAGTGTCCTAGAAATTCAGGCTGCCCAATCACCAAGCAGAGAAGTTGAAAGAGCCGTGGATGGCTGGGTTCCAGTCTGGGCTGGAGGTGGAACCCACCATCCCAGAAGCTCATTTATACCATTAACTGGGCACTGGCTGGAGTGAGTGGAGAACAGGAGAAACTGTGAGAAAGCAGGCAGAGCCCCAAGGACATGAGTGGACACTGCGATGTTGCTGGGTTCTCAGGCCAGGAGGATGGCAGTGCTGGGGGACAAGAGAAAGACGGTGAACTTCCCCCATCCGCTGTACCTTCGCACCCCAGCACGAGATGCCCTGCCTTGTATGCAGAGCACTGTTGCAGGGGAGCTAGCAAAGAGCATTCTGAAATGCCTTTGCCATGGACAGTTGTCAAGGCTGGTCTTGGTCTACTGGTTGAAAGCAGAGCTTTGGTGCCCAACTCAGTTACTTGCTGTCTTTGTGACCTTGGGCAAGTTACTTCTAAGTCTTAGTTTTCATATCCTTATATTGGGGCTAATGATAGGACCTTCCTTGTATAATTAAGGATTGCATGAGAAAATGAATGCACAACGTTTTTCAAAGTGCTAGATGCAGGGTAAGAGTCTGGCTACCTAGAAGATTCCAATGGCTAATGGGTGAGGCATGCAGGATCCCTTTCTGGATCCCTTCTCCTAAATGCATGGAGCAATGTGGTGGAGCCTGCTTCTTGGCAAGACTCTTTGCTGTTAAATCTTCACAAAATCAAGCCCCTAGTTACACTTCTCATGCACTATTGGTAGATTCTGCTAGTTCCCAGAAAACCAAGGAATTTTAGGTTGGCAATGCGTCTGGTGTGGCCTTAATCCCTTTCCCTGCCTTGCTTAAGGGAAGACCTCATCATTCCATCCTGGCCCCAGCTGAGGAAATGTTACCTCCTTCTCTGAGCTCCCTCACAGCCCTGAGCACAGCCCACTTGTATGTTAGGCATCTTTGTACAGCTTCATCTTCCTCCCAAGCTACATGCCTTGGGGACAGGGGCTCACTATCCATCGTTTCACCTTTAGCTAGTCACAGTACTTCACTCTATCTACCCTCAATGATGACGTATTGCATTAATGAACTGGTGGATGTTTTCAGCACAGCCAACCGCTAAACCATTGTTTGCAGATCTGGGCATTTTTTAACCTTCTGATTTTTAACAAAATGGGCGCTATCCATTCTAGCAGGCAGCAACTATCATTTTCTTCTACAAAGTTGCAGCACGCAACCAAAGAT
Source organism: Homo sapiens (assembly GCF_000001405.40). Lineage (NCBI taxonomy): Eukaryota > Metazoa > Chordata > Mammalia > Primates > Hominidae > Homo > Homo sapiens. Next base: position 125,634,624 of record NC_000010.11, on the reverse strand, counting down.
GTGTCTGCAGAAAAGATAACCTTTTACCAAGGCAGAAAAGAATGCTTCAGTTTTTCTTCTGAGAAGATAGATTCCCTTTTGTTATTTATTTAATAGCTGTGATCACAGGGAGAGAAGATAAGAAGTTTGCTCTGGACTAAGCAGATGAAGAGATGCATTTCACAAGGAAAAGTGCCCAAAGCAAAAACTGCTCCCCCATCAGTACTCGGATCAAGACTAAAAACCCCAGTGGGCTCACAGAAGAACTTGTCATAACAACCTACCCTCTCCGGAATGACATCAAATGTGTGGAGGTAAATGAGGTCAGGTCACCTCCTCTGCTTGGCATCAAAGAGAGATGTTGCAAAGTTGGGACCTGGCTTCTGCTGGCTCTGCTGAAGGAATCACACTCTCTATATTTTAAGTCCCCAATCACTCAAGCACTATGCAAGATTAATAAGATTCAGACAACAGGATTTTTAAAAAATCATGTATGTAACAAACATCCTTTATCCCCTCCCTTAAATGAATATACAAAGGTCAGCTCATTGTTTTTAAACATCTGGGCAAAAACAAAACAAAGCCAGAAACAACCTCCCTGCTCCAAAAAAAGTAAGTTTTTTTTTGTTTTAATCCAAGAAAGTAAAGGTATCCAATGCTGAGGGGTAGACTTGAACCCTAGAGGCAGAGGGGTGGGTACTAAAGGGCCCCATAAAGTGCTCCCTGCCTCCCGCTTAATGCCTAATTACTCATCGGCATGCCTTTGTTCGCCAGGCGTCTGCTTTTACAATGCAGTCAAACAACGTAGAACCGTGTCCATTTATGGGAAAGTCAAAGACCAATAAATAAAAAGTTTAATTTCCTGATTCCCTGATGTCGATGGGGCTTAGAAAGTACTCACCAATCCTTCCAACAACGGTCTTTTCCAAACATCATGTGAGCAGCACCTCGTATCAAATTTCATTGCTCATAAAAAAGAATCAGATAATGTTCAGTGGGAAAAAAGCAGGATACGAGGTACATGGTGTTTGCAACTAAAAAGCCGTCTGCTTATGGGGAGGGACTGGAAGTGCACAATCGCTATCAGAACCTTTGTGTTGGGGCAGGATTTGGGGAAATCGTTTTCCCTCTGTTTTCTACATTTTCTCCTGCTATATAGGTTTTACAATGGAATGTTTTTAAAAAATCGATTGGTAAAACAATTAGCTAATTATTTAGCAGATGCCATTACCCAGAACTGAGAGCATTACAGGAGGTGTCCAATGTCAAGCAAATCAGCTGTAGCCCAAGAAATTCAACCAAATATCAGCAGACTGGGTTTCTTAGCTTTCATCTAGAGAGATGTTGATCCCTACGGATTTCCAAAGTTGCCACCATTAACAAAAAATCATCTCTCATCAGGTCTTTCCACCTATTGAATTCTTTCAGGTAATTAACCGTCTTTAGGGAATTTTCCCTCTGGAGAGACAAAGTGGAAAGATGAGGCAATGAAGTGAAGTATGCATATAATTTTTTTTTTTTTGAGACAGGGTCTCATTCTGTCACCCAGATTGGAGTGCAGTGGCACAATCTCGGCTGACCGCAACCTCTACCTTCCAAGCTAAAGCAATTCTCCTGCCTCAGACTCCGGAGTAGCTGGGATTACAGGCGTATGACACTACGGCCCAGCTAATTTTTGTATTTTCAGTAGAGACGGGGTTTCATATATTGGCCAGGCTGGTCTTGAATTCCTGACCTCAAATGATCCACCTGCCTTGGCCTCCCAAAATGCTGGGATTACAGGGGAACCACACCTGGCCAGTGTGCATGTAATTCTGATCTTTGGTAAGAAAATGGCTCAAGAGACATGAGCTGGCTTATTCACCTGGCTGTCCATTGGGAGGGGATCCTGCAGAAAAGCGGACGGAACTAGTTTTGGCCCACCCCAGCCCATACTGCCAGGTGGAACAGGGACTGTAGCTGAGCAGCTCGTGCAGCTGGTGACAGATACACCAGCTGGGCTTGTTCTCCCGCTCTTTCCTTTCTCTTATTTCCCATCACTTTTACCAGCTTCTCTTCTAGGCATTCCTCAAAAGGTGGTCCTCAGAGTTACACTCTGGGCCCTCTTCCCTCCCTTAGCTTCTCTTCCTGAACGCATTTTGTGGGCCAGTCCCTTATGTAGAGAGCCGTTTATCCAGCTAAGTCTACTGAACCTTCCAAGGTGCCAGGCCCTGTACTAGGCACAGGAGATGCGGGACAAAGAAGGAGAGTCTCTTCCCTTAGGACTGTGCATCTTAGTGGGTAGAAGACACACAGACAAGCCAAGAGGATTTCACCAGATAAATATCCCAAGGCAGAACCAGGGTTGGTTTCTGCTGGACTTGCTCCCTGGACGTCTCACGAGCACATCAACTCAGCCAGTCCAAATGTGAGTGCCACCTCTCCCCCAGACCACTCTTCTCCTCGTCAGAGTCCACATTCTGTCTGCTTGAAGACACTGCCATCTATGTAGTCACCAAAGCCCCAAGCCTGGGAGTCCTCATAGATGCCCCTTGCCCACACCCTGCCATTCAGCCTGAGGACAGTCTCTTTCGTCATTTCCTTCTTCCCACTCCCACACACACTGCCCCAGATCCCCCTCACTTCCAGCTTTCTGCTGCCATCTTCTGTCCTATCCTCTTGCTCCTCCACACGCCACCACACGGAGGGCTTCTCCTAAAATACACACCTGATTGCTTGGTGTTCCTGCTTAAAAGACCATGCCAGGCTCCCCACCAGTGGACCAAGTTCGTCCTCCCTGCATGGCCCCTGACCACTCTGTACCAGCCTCTGCAAGTGGCCTCACTTGCTTCCAAATACTCACTTTCTGTGTCAGCAACCAGGGCACCAGGCACCTGCCACTTCCCACACATATAGCACGCGTTGACATCGCTGGGCCTTGGCCATGCTGTTCTCTGTACCTAGAATGCTTCTCCCCCTACCCACCAGAAGGGAGGACCTAGAAAAAAATCCTGTTCACCTGTCATTCAAGACCCAGGTGCAATCCATCTTCTCTGGATCCTCACACATCCCAACGCTGCCCCTGGTCACTCCATTTTATTAAATCCCTCCAAACCCAAGGAGAATGAGTTGCATCCTCCTCTGGCTTCTATAGTTGATCATTCCTGCCTCTAAGAGAACACATTCAGAAAATGCGCTTTTCTCTCATTCCGGCGATGACACAGAATGTTCAAGATCAGGACAGGGCTCTCCTCCGTCATACAGCCGAGGCCCACCCCGAAGGTGTGTGGCTACACAGAGGGCTTCTGAAATAGCTCATGATTAGTGACCACAATGTCAGCAGCTGGTGTTCCTAAATACCCGCTATTTTTTAGGAGTCAAAATACTCATTTAAAAAAATCTGAATTAAGACTTGAGATGTACTCAGATAATTATAGGCAGCAGTCAATGTTCTGATCAAATGCAGTTGTAGTCATTGGAGAAAGCACTCTGACCATACCTTTCCTGCCTAATAAAATCCTTTCAGCATGCCTGATTTGCTGCTTCAGTGTCTGTTTCCAGGGTTACTGGTGAGATTGAAGATTTTTCAAAAATGTTTATTAGTCATTCGTATTTCTCCCAGAAGTCCTTGATGGGACTTTCTTAAAAAGCAGGCAGAAGTGGGGATGGGGAAGAGAACCTGAGACAGGAGCATAGGGAGAAGTCCCATTCCCACCCTTCCCTGGAGCCTGACCCCCTCCTGCCCATCTGTGCTACAGCCCCGCCTCTGGCCTCCCTTTTTAACTCCAGAGCTACATCCTGGAAGACTGGGTCTCTTCCCTTGGGTAATTTCCTCTCTCAGGACTTCTCCCCTTGATCATCTTCCTGGAGACATTCCAGTGGAAGTGGGAAGGGGAGGGGACGTCAACCCTCCACACTGGCTCGCAGTTGGATGGAGAGTGCATTAGGACCGGGTGCCATCCCCCTAACAGACACTAGTTTCCCATCGACATGCATGGCAGTCAGCCTTCCAGATGCCCGAATAACTCGCATTTCCCCGTATTCATGTCCTTAGGCAGTCCCCTCCCATACTAAATAAGAACTGGCCCTTTGTGTCCAGTAGAATATGGCAGAGGTGACCATGTCTAATTCCTGAGGCTGCATCATAAAAACGAATAGAGCTTTTGCCTAGTATTCTCTCTCTCAGAACATTCATCCTTGCAACACAGCCACTGTGCTCTAAAGAAGCCCAGACTAGCCCACATGAACAGCCCACACGCACTGAGAAAAACCGAGGCTCCCACCTATAGTCAGTCTCATCCACCACTGGAGTAAACAAGCCTTCAAGTGTATCCAGCCCCCAGACTTTGAGCCTCCTTCCTGAGACCCCAGATAATCCATCCCCTGTCTGAATTCCTGACTCGGAGAATGGACATTTTACACCATGAAGTTCTGGGGTAACTTGTTATGCACCCCTAGTAGCTGAAACAAAATAAATAATAAAATGCCAATAAAATAATTTCATTCCATTATAGCTGTCATTAAATATGAGCACATTGAGATTTTTAATGCCTAGCAGAGGAGGCGTCTAGAAAACACTTGTTGTAAAGAATCAGAACTATTTGAGGACTAGGCCCTATGGCTTGGCTTATAGACAGCCACTTGGAATATTGTATGTCTTCTGGTCTTAAAAATGCATAGTATGTGATCATACAGATGCATACCACAAGAGGGCAGGTGTACATACTGGAATAGGGCCTCTCAGACCTAACCCTGGTATCTCACAGTGACTTAAAAAAAATTTCATCCAAAGGGCAGGTGTACTTACTGGAATAGGGCCTTGCGGACCTAACCCTAGTCTCTCACAGTGACTTAAAAAAAAATTCACTGATGATTTTCTTTCATATTGATCATGGTGATGGATAGACTTCGGTTTTGAAGAAGTGAATCTACATTTCAAAACCCAGCCAGCTGGGAAGGCCTTCATCCCTAACAGTTAATTTAACAATGCCATATTTGTATTTATTATAAAATATATTCTTGTCATGAAAACACCTATAATTTAATTACTAAGAAAAATAGAGCTGCTATTTTTAAATGTCAGTGGGATAAACATTTCCTGACTTTATATCACCGAATGAATGCAGATGTGCTATTTACTCAATCTCATTTATTTCATAATTGGATTAAATAATGCTTCATTATTTTATAATGAACAAAGTAATATGTGATTTTGAAAAAAGAAGCAATTACACTGATTTTTCTTTCACCTCAGAACCTCCCCCCATGCATTCTGACATTAAAATGAAGTAATTCGTTGGGTAAATTTGAAGTCGCCTCAATTTCTTCAAGAAAGATGAGGAAACAGGTTTCTCAGAACATGGGTTTTTTCTGATTACAAATTGTTTTTTCAAAATATCTCATATGAACTTCAGATCGTCTCTATCACAGGGTGCTCCTTGCACACCACACAGTCAGTCCTTTTTTTGTGAGTGACCAGTGCTGGTCTCTGCAGCCCAGCTTAATTGCAGTTATGATGTAGATCAGGCTGAAATATCAGACTCTGACTGATGGCTTACTTGCAATTTGCCCTGCACAAATTCCGAACTACAGAGAGGCCATGGAGCTCCCAGGCTGGGTGTAAGTCATATGACTGGGCAATGAAATAGCTTTTCTTAACCTCAGCTTTCTCGCCTGTCAAATGGAGCTCACACTTCTATTTTCCTCAAGAGGATGTTGTGAGGAATAGATAAGGTAGTGGATATAAAGCATGAAACTCCATGCCCGGCACATGCGTCATCAGTCCTCAGTAACTCTTCTGTCCCCCCTACCACAGCCACAAGTCTCCCTGTGATCATGCATCACCTGGGATGTCTGTGACAATGTCTGGGATGCAGCAGGCACTCCCTAGACAGTTAACTACTCTTACTTTTTATCCCCCAGCTTTTCGCTCTATAAAAATCTTTAGAATAATGATTCTGAAAACAGAGATGGTAGATGAACACTGCATCTTCTTTACCAGCTGCATACTCATGCACGATCTCAAGAAGCACTTCTAAAAGATTCCTCCAAAACGATGCTCCATTCCACACTTCCTTCCTGTGTCCGGAAATCTAATTATCATCATCGGGAGAGAAAAATCAAGACAAAGGAAGCCTTTCCTGGTCAGTGTTATTAGAGACTGATATGCTCATCTATTCCAAAAGAAAGCAACTTCTAAAAAGCAGCTTCTTTTCTTTTCCATTCTCCTCTCTGAAGGTTCACTGCAATATGATTCCAGGAAGACTTTGCACAGCAGCCACAAACCCACACCAGAGGCCACAATAACAAATAAGATATAGTGGGACATTAACTATGCTTCCATATTCAGGGTGCTGAGGTGGAAATCATTTTCGACAGAACATGCGCTGCTTTGCAGCCTGTTAGCATTAAGTGGGCACAGCTAATGCAGTGACTCCAGATGGAATCCTTTAAAGCTTTGCTCCCTTCCACGACAAGCACACAAAGCCAGATGTTTTCATAGGACAGAATTCTACAACACCACACTTGCATTTTTTTCCTTCAGGTGCCAAATGCTTCTTATCATTACATGGTCTCAAATACATTTTATTAATAGTTTTTTTAAGGCACCAATAAATTGCATAATTTTTAACCAGTGAGTGTAGGCATACTAAATTTGGACAGGCAGTAAATTGTGACTCTGGTCTTACAGTCACTTCAGTTAGCCTGGACAAGTCTCTTAATCTCTCATTTGGATAATCTTTGAAGAGTCTCCTGTGGCTTTGATATTCTAGGTGTTACCGCCTGGCACCTTCTCAAATCCACCAGTGAGACTGACACCCTCCTCTGGGCTCTGCAGTGCCCTGTGCTGGCGTCTGCAGCTCCCAGAGCTCTGTTTTATCCCTTGGTGTCCCAAGGACTCACGCAGACCTGGATGTTTCTCAAGGATAAAACAGGAATGGTGTCCCCTGGAGTTGTACAATGCGATGGCATTATTTATTTGTATATTTGTTGAACAAAATATTAATTGAACAAAAGACAATACATTATGCCATAGTTCTGATTCAAAATATTTGTTTCACTCTTTTTATTAAAATTAAGATAAAAAAGATCAGGATTGTTTTAGAATAATGTAAAATGCAATGCTTAAATAGAAAATGACGTTTTAAATTAAAGACATGCTTTCAAGAACTTAAGTTAATAGATTTTTTTTTCTGAATGACTTTAAGCATGACTTAAATATTCTAACAGGCCAATGGTTTATTGATCAGAAAAACTTAGGCATTAAATTACTGGCTGAATACTGCCCTAGGAATCCCATTTGTCTTTAGATTATAGGGTGATTAATTTGATAAATAGCCAAGATATATTTTCATCTCTGTAACATCTAAAAGCATAATCTAATGCTCATTGTTCTTCTATCCAGATATGTTCTGAAGTAGTGTGTCTGACAGCACAATTAAGCATTTAAATATTTCACAAGTGTCAATATGCCCCAAAATCAGATTAGTGAAAACATCTCACTTACATGTATTTAAAAAATCTTTTTCTCTCAAGGTTCTTCTCCTACGGGAGATACAACACTTAGCAAATCCTGTTGACTCTGGAAAGTGGCAAAGAAGGATTTAAATTAATCCAGTGCTTGAGGTGGGACCTGGGGCAGCTTTCCAAGATCCTGTTATTCTTTCATTTGCAATCCCACCAGCCCCCTCCGGAAACTCCCTCCTTCCCTTTTCAGTCTCCTCTCTTCCATTTCCCAGGCCCCAGTGGGAAGGAGCCTCCAGGAGGTCGTGCTGGAGGGAAGTGCAAGGCCATTAGACGTCTCTGACTTCCTGCCATCCCGGGTTAGACCAATAGAAACCTCTGAGTAGCTTGGTTTGTGTGCAGGTTTCTTGCACTGCTGGGATGACTGTAGTGTTCGGTGTTGGATTTAGTGCTCTCCTGGATCCCATTGCTTCCAGCTGCTGGTTCCGAGTTCCCACCTCCCCAGAAAGCCCTCCCTGATTGCCCTCCTTCTCCCCACTTCATGGCCTCTGTGTCTGCTCCATCATGGCTTTAATGCCTGGGAGAATTCTCTGGTTTGACATCAGCCTTGTGCAGTTGACTGTGAGCTCTCCAGGGGAAGGAAAGGTCTTTTTCTTCATTATATCTTCACTTCTGTGTGGAGCAAGCATTCACGATGTCTGTTGGATGAGGAGTAAATGAATGAATGCACAGACAAAGAAAGGAAATGAGATAACATGCATGAAAGTGCTCTGTAAACAGCACAGCACCACAGCAGGCACATGAGCGTTAATGACTATTCTGTCAACATTGGCCAGTCCTGATGCCAGGCCCAGGATATAGGGGGCACTCAGCACCCTCTGTGGAAAGTGAAGGCAGGAAGGCTGAATGGGGAGCCGACTGTTGCAGGTTGGGTCCCCAGCAAGCCGAGTCTGAGGTGGAGTTCAGTGTGCAGGTTGTTTACCAGGGAGGGCTCGTGGGACCGAACTTGTAGAAGGGAGGAGGAGGGAGCAGGACTGGGCAGCGGCAGAAAAGTGGCTTCTTGGCTGACCCCAGGGGTGCTCTGAGCTAGAATGGCCCTTCAGAGTTGTCCTGAGTTGGGCTAAGATGGCCTGACCTTTATCACCTGCACTGGTCTGTAACCTTGGGTGAGGTCGTTCTCTGCAGCCGTGGTCCCTGAAGGTGTCTACGAGAGCAGGTGATGGGTAATGCCTCCTTCATGGCAGGGGGCGGTCTGGGCGGCACACCTCGGTGTCCACTATACCAACTCCGACAGAACCCATGACCAGAGGGAGCGTGCTCAGAGTTGAGGAAATCCTTCACCTGTAGCAGCGGTGGCATCGCTTGGAGAAACATAGCCCGGTAGATACACAGAAAGTATTTGCCACGAAAGTGGCTCTGCACTGGGTCAGGTGCCAAGACTGAAGAGTCCAGGGCTGCGCCTCTGGGGTGTTGGCAACGTTCTGTTCCTTGCTCTCTGTGAGAGGTTGCATCTAGTTGAACACGTATGACATATTTATGGTTCTATATCTATGTTATGTAAATTACATCTCAATAAAGTTGTTAAAATTAGTTTATTTATAACAACTGTGTCATGTTTCACCTTCCAGTCTGCCTCTTATTTCTCCTTTTGAAAGAGAACATGTCACTGAGGTTTTACTACACACAATTCTGCCAACCCCCAGATGGAAACTAACATTTTTAGACTAAACTATGAACTGATCCAGAACATCAAAATAACCTTTGGATCAAATCTGACTTTTACCTTCAATTTGGGCAACTCTCTGTCTTCTACTCAAACCCTTTAATGGCCTTCCATGTCACACTGCACACCCACAAAGTAAAATTTGTGGATTTGGTGGGGGGTGCTAAACTATTTTCAGTTCCTGTCACCAAAGTTTAATTGAACATTTACTTTGTGCTGGGCCTGGAATTGGGCTCTGGGCTTAGACCCAGGGCTGAATAAGGCAGTCCTGCCCAGGAGGGGCTCATGTCTGGTGGGAGATTAGGATGCACGCATATCGTCTGCGTGTCCTGAGAAAAGCTGAGTGATGGCTGAGCCAGGGGCCACCTGGAGTACTGGGGAGGTGCAAGAGTCAGCACGGACTTTCTGGAAGAGGTGTTGCCCTTGCCAGATCTGGAGAGATTGCCATCTCAATTGTCTGGCATGTCTCCTGGAAACTTTGTTTTGCTTGTATTTGTTCTCCAGAGGCCAAGGTCACCCTGGCCTCCTCTGCAGTTTTGGCTCCTGTGTTGACGGCTCTTGCCTTTGGACATCTGTGCCCGCCTTTGTGCCCCTTCCTTATCTCTTTATGCAAAAAGATGGCTTGTTCTTAGGTGGCTGTGCTTGCTTGCGGAAAGGACAGTCACTTTCCCTGGGATCTGCCCCCGAGCCCCCTCTCACAAAACCCTCTGTGCCATTTCCCCAAGTGCGCTGGACAACACTCCTTTAAAATTCATACAGTTTCTGTTTCTGCTGCTGCTTTCAGGCCTTTTTTTTTTTTTCTGTAGAATTATACATCTCATGAGTATTTGGTCATCTTGAGGAAGGGTCATTCCCCACCTCCAATGAAGATGAGCTCACCAGAACAAGCTTGGTGGGGAGTGTATGGAGACCTCTGGGGCTGTATGGCACCTCTGACTGGCTATGACCAGCCCCACCAGTCATGACCCATTGCAACTCTTCCTCAGGACCCTCTGATCTGTTTTGCAGGACAGGGTTGAGAATCAAATCCTTTGGTCTGATTCAGAGCCCAAACAGGCTCAGGACTGGAGGACATGAGGATGTCTGCCCCTGGGTTTCCCCACTTTCTTCTCTGGTCTCTGACTACCCCCAACACTCAACCTGTGTGGAGCCGCACCTGCCCCGAGCTCAGAGAAAGAATCCTGTCAAAATTCACATGAGCATCGGTGTCTCTCACTGTCATTTGGGAAGTTCTTAGGGGGATAGTGAATGGCAGGGAGGTCTTGGGAGAAGATCAAGAGATTCAACAGCCAGAATGTGTTTTGCTTCCACAAACACTAAGATTAACTTGCCTTTCTGAGCCTGTAACAATTCACAACTGGGAGAAGGGATTCAGGACTGCAGTTTGTCCAGCTTAGAATCAAAAAGTTACTGCAGATAAATCTGAAAGCAGAGACATAGAGAATTAATGATATCAAGAGGGAAAAATTATCAACATCTTAGAAAACCTCCCAACCTGTCCACACGGGTTAATCCCACTAACGCTCACACGTGTGTCCACTCTGAGGTGAGGATAAGATGATCCCTGTTACTATGTCCCATGCCCTCTTTCCAGAGCTAAAACAAAGAGGCGACTGATTATTTATAGATTCAAACTGCATAGACAGCCATTCAAAATAATTTATGTCCAATCCTTTCTTTAATGTGTTATTAAATCCCTGGGTACATATTTGCTGATACAACATTCACAGTGAGACTTCGAAGAGCCAGAATGCCTTCGAATAAAGTGCCTTTCTCACACTTACAGAGTCTCTTCAGACCTACCCATCAGTCCCGTACAGGGCCTCGCACCTTCCTGTCTTGGGGCTGTGCAGGGTTTGGTTGATCAGGGACTAACAGGAGACTTTTTTTTTTTTTTTTTCATTTGGAAACCAGTCAATCCTGGGGATATTTCCGAGTCAGTTTCATGTTACACATATTACTAAACAGTCATGAGCTAATGCAGAAAGACAAATCTCTCCCAGTGTTTCTGTGCTAAATGTGATGGTTATGAACACGAGGTATCAATTTGATTGGATTGAAGGATGCCTAGATGGCCAGTAAACGATTGTTTCTGGGTGTGTCTTGGAGGGTGTTGCCAGAGGAGATTGACATTTGAGTTGGTGGACTAGGAGAGGAGGACCTACCCTCAATGTGGGTGGGCAGTATCCCATCAGCTGCCAGAGCAGCAGTGAGCTCATGCTCATGGAATTCACTATTCTTACCATGTTCTCCACCATCCTGAAGCAGCTGGATTGATAGAACAGTGGAATGGCCTTACAACACCAACTAGGTGATGATACTTTGCAGGGTTGGGGCAAAGTTCTCCAGAAGGCTGTGTATACTCTGAATCAGCCTCCAATATATGGTACTCTTTCTCCCATAGCCAAGATTCACAGGTCCAGGAATCAAGGGATGAAAGTGGAAGTGGCACCACTCACCATCACCTCTAGTGATCCACTAGCAGAATTTTTGCTTCCTGTTACTGTGACACTATGTTCTGCAAGCCTAGAGGTCTTAGCTCCAGAGGGAGGAATGCTGTCACCAGGAGACGCAACAATGATTCCATTGAACTGGAAGTTAACACTGCCACCTGGCCACTCTGGGCTCCTCCTGCCTCTAAGTCAACAGGTTAAGAAGAGAGTTCCAGTGTTGGTTGGGGTGATTGACCTGGACTATCAAGATGAAATCGACTACTACTCCTCGATGAAGGTAAGGAAGAGTATGTGTGGAGCACATGAGATCCCTCTGGGCGTCTCTTAGTACTACCATGCCCTGGGATTAAGGTCAATGGCTCTACGACCATACCACACTGAATCCATCCCATCTCGTCTGATCTTGGAAGCTAAGGCCAATGGGAAACTACAGCCTAATCCAGGCAGGAACAAATGACCCAGACTTTCAGGAATGAAGGATCACAGTACCAGGTGAAAAATCATGATCAGCCAAGGTACTTGCTGAAGGCAAAGGGAGTACAGAATGCGTAGAAGAAGGTAGTCATCAATAACAGCTATGACCACGTGACCAGTTGTAGAAATGAAGACTGTAATTGTCATGAGTATTTACTCCTTATTTTGTTAAAAATATGTTTGTGCATGTATACACCTGTACTAAGGAAATATCTTCATTTTATTTCTTTTCTTTTTCCTTTATCATGTAACATAAAATTTATTGACTTCATATCAGCATTTAAGCGTTGTTTGTCTTAGCATTTAGGTTAAGGATTAGTGTGCTTCTTGTTGTACGAAGGATAGCTGTATTATGTTAGGCATAATTACGACCTTATTATTGTCTTTATGTGGAGATTAAGTATGATTTCAGGACATGTGTATGGGTGCCCAGTTGACAATGGGTAGACTTGTGATGGTTAATATTAGGTGTCAACTTGATTGGATTGAAGAATGGCTACATGGGTGGTAGAGTATTGTTTCTTGGTGTGTTTGTGAGGGTGTTGCCAGAGGAGATTGGCATTTGAGTCAGTGGACTGGGAGAGGAAGACCCGCCCTCAATGTGGGTGACAGCATCCCATCTGCTGCCAGTGCGGCTAGAACGAAGCAGGTGGAGGGAGTTGGGATGATCTGGCTTCCTGGGTCTTCTGGCTTCCTTCTTTTTCCATGATGGGTGCTTCCTCCCACTCCTCCTGTCCTTGGACATCATACTCCAGATTCTTCAGCCTTTGGACTCTGGGACTTGAACCAGTGGCTTCTGGGGGGCTCTTGGGCCTTTGGCCACAGATGGAAGGCTACACTGTTGGCTTCCCTGGGTTTGAGGCTTTCAGACTTGAACTGAGCTACTGCTGGCTTTTCTCTTTCCCAGTTTGCAGATGGCCTATCGTGGGACTTCTCTTTGTGATCATGTGAGTCAATTCTCCCTAAAAAACTCCATTTTATACATACATATATCCTATTAGTTCTGTCTCTCTGGAGAGCCCTGACTAATATAAGTGGAAAAGGCAATATCAAAAATTACACACTGGGAAGATACACACCACACCAGCACATGAAAACATGTCACTAATCATTAGGGACATGCACATCAAAAGCAAAATGAGATATCAGCTCTCATCTGTCAGGATGACTACTATTAAAAAAAAAACAGAAAATGCCAAGTGTTGGTGAGGATGTGGAGAAATTGGAGCCCCTGTGCTCTGCTGGTGGGAATGTAAAATGGTGTGACTGCTTAACACACGATGGCTCCTCAAAGAACGAAAAATCGAATTACCACATGACTCAGCAATTCCGCTCCTGGGTATATATCCAAAATATTCTTTGGATAGCTATTCTATATACTCAGAGTGTATATATCCCCAAATAATATTTTGAATATATACCCAGAAGATACTTGCAGGTATTTGGGGATACTGTATCTGTATACCCATTTTTATAGCAACACAATTCACTACAGCCAAAACATAGAAATAAGTGTCCATTGATGGATGAATGAACACACAAAATGTGGTCTATCCATACAATGGAATATTATTTAGCTTTAAAAAAGGAAGGAAATTCTGACACATGCTACAACATGGATAAATCTTGAGGATATTATATTAAATAAAATAAACCAGCCACAAAAACACACATGCTATATGATTCTACTTAATTGAGGTTCCCAGAGTAGTCAAATTCACAGAGATGGAAACTGGAATGGTGGTTGCCAGGTTCTGGGGGAGGGAGGTCTGAGGAGTTACGGTTTAATGGGTACAGATTTTCAATTTTGCAAGATGAAAATGTTCTGGAGATGGGTTGCATAGCAATGTAAATAAGCTTAACACTACTGAAGTATATATTTAAAAATAGTTAAGCTGACACATTTTATCTTATGTGCATTTTACCACAATTAAAAAAAATTGACTTGTGATTGCCTTCTGGCAGCAACTGTCACTGGCTCCAGCTAGTGTTCTGGCCTGGGGTGTGTTGTGAGTCCTTGACTGTATCTTCCTGATCCCTGTTTGCCATGGTCTGACAAATCAATGCTCAACACATCTTCACTGAATGTCAGAGGGAAAGAGGGAGACAGAGAGAAAGGGAAGAAGGAATGAACAGAAAACTCACAAAAGATAAATTACAAATGGACAGTAGCCAAATGAGGAAATGTTCAGCTTCACTAGTAATCAAAGAAAAGGCCATTAAAGCAACAATGAGTTTCCATTTCTCTTGACAAAATGAGCGAAGATTTTTATTATTATAATTTAAAACCTAGTGCTCGCAAGGATTTGTTGAGATGGGTAACTTCAGACAGTGCTTGTACATTTCTGGAAGGAATGTAGTAGTATATCTCAGCAGCCCTGTAAATGTTCATAGCTTTTGACCCAAGTAGGACAAATCCTAGGGGACTGACAAGATACTCAGACAAAGATTTAGGGGCAAAGATGCATGTTACAGAGTTACTTAAAACAGCTCAAAGAGCAAAGCTAAATACCTGGCAAAATAGAGAATGCTTAGGTACAAGATGCAACATTATGTAGCTACTAATAAATCATATTTTACAAGAATATTTAATGATGTGAAAAATTTTTACAATGATACATGCACCTAGGTGATATATAGATGTATATATATATATGCACACATATATATATATATTTATAAATAAATAGTAAAAAATGGTCGGGCGAGGTGGCTCACGCCTGTAATCCCAGCACTTTGGGAGGCGGAGGCAGGTGGATCATGAGGTAAGGAGTTCAAGACCAGCCTGGCCAATATGGTGAAACCCCGTCTCTACTAAAAGTACAAAAATTAGCTGGGCATGGTGGTGTGCGCCTGTAATCCCAGATACTCGGGAGGCTGAGGCAGGAGAATTGCTTGAACCTGGACCCGGGAGGCGGAGGTTGCAGCGAGCCAAGACAGCGCCACTGCACTCCAGCGTGGGCTACAGAGCGAGACTCCGTCTCAAAAACAAACAAACAAACAAAAAACAAATTACTTCACCATCTGAGCTTTCAAAAAGTGCTTGGAGACACAAAATGATGAGGCATAGTCCGTGTTCTCAAGGAGCAGACGGCATGGTGGTGGAGACCTCTACTATGAGGAGAGGGGAATGTGGGTGGTGGTGTTGGGGCAGGGACCAGGGATGGAGCCCTGCAGAGGTGGTGCCTGCACGGCTTTGAAGGATTTGCACCCTTGCCTCTGCTTCCCCTGAACTTGGTGGTGGTGCCTCCTGTTGATTTTGTTCTTTCCCGCCATTGCTTGCCTTCAGTGCTCTGTTTCTGTGATAGGTTTACAGTGCTTTAGGGTTTATTTTCTCCACGATCTGTCTTGGTGCAACTCAACCAATAACGGATATTCTCCAAGGCTTTATTTTTATTTTTATTTTTTTATTTTTATTTTTTTGAGATGGAGTCTCGCACTTTCACCCAGGCTGGAGTGCAGTGACGCGATCTCGGCTCACTGCAAGCTCCACCTCCCGGGTTCATGCCATTCTCCTGCCTCAGCCTCCCAAGTAGCTGAGACTACAGGCACCCGACACCACTCTGGGCTAATTTTTTGTATTTTTTTTTTTTTTTTTTTTTTTTTTTTTAGTAGAGACGGGGTTTCACCGTGTTAGCCAGGATGGTCTCGATCTCCTGACCTAGTGATCCACCTGCCTCGGCCTCCCAAAGTGCTAGGATTACAGGCGTGAGCCACCGCGCCTGGCCAAGGCTTATCTCTTTAACACCGTCACTGCAGCAGGCTTGGGAGTCAGTGTTTAAGTATCCCTTGGCTTGCATCTATTCTGACAAAGATAACCTTTCTTGGAGATCAAGGTCTGGAGGGTGGGCAGGACCTGCACTAGCTGAAGGCCATGGTATCAGGAACCTAGGCTGTGGAGCTGGGAGGCAGGCACCTCCATTAGGAAGTGGGAAAATGTGACCCCTGACCCCCGAGCAGCCTAACTGAGAGGCACCCCCCAGCAGGGGCAGACTGACACCTCACACAGCCGGGTACTCCAACAGACCTGCAGCTGAGGGTCCTGTCTGTTAGAAGGAAAACTAACAAACAGAAAGGACATCCACACCAAAAACCCATCTGAACATCACCATCATCAAAGACCAAAAGTAGATAAAACCACACAGATGGGGAAAAAACAGAGCAGAAAAACTGGAAACTCTAAAAAGCAGAGCGCCTCTCCTCCTCCAAAGGAACGCAGTTCCTCACCAGCAACGGAACAAAGCTGGATGGAGAATGACTTTGATGAGCTGAGAGAAGAAGGCTTCAGACGATCAAATTACTCCGAGCTACGGGAGGAAATTCAAACCAAAGGCAAAGAAGTTGAAAACTTTGAAAAAAATTTAGAAGAATGTATAACTAGAATAACCAATACAGAGAAGTGCTTAAAGGAGCTGATGGAGCTGAAAACCAAGGTTCGAGAACTACGTGAAGAATGCAGAAGCCTCAGGAGCCGATGCGATCAACTGGAAGAAAGGGTATCAGCGATGGAAGATGAAATGAATGAAATGAAGTGAGAAGGGAAGTTTAGAGAAAAAAGAATAAAAAGAAACGAGCAAAGCCTCCAAGAAATATGGGACTATGTGAAAAGACCAAATCTACATCTGATTGGTGTACCTGAAAGTGACAGGGAGAATGGAACCAAGTTGGAAAACACTCTGCAGGATATTATCCAGGAGAACTTCCCCAATCTAGCAAGGCAGGCCAACATTCAGATTCAGGAAATACAGAGAACGCCACAAAGATAATCCTCGAGAAGAGCAACTCCAAGACACATAATTGTCAGATTCACCAAAGTTGAAATGAAGGAAAAAATGTTAAGGGCAGCCAGAGAGAAAGGTCAGGTTACCCTCAAAGGGAAGCCCATCAGACTAACAGCAGATCTCTGGGCAGAAACTCTACAAGCCAGAAGAGAGTTGGGGCCAATATTCAACATTCTTAAAGAAAAGAATTTTCAACCCAGAATTTCATATCCAGCCAAACTAAGCTTCATAAGTGAAAGAGAAATAAAATACTTTACAGACAAGCAAATGCTGAGAGATTTTGTCACCACCAGGCCTGCCCTAAAAGAGCTCCTGAAGGAAGCGCTAAGCATGGAAAGGAACAACTGGTACCAGCCACTGCAAAATCATGCCAAAATGTAAAGACCATCAAGACCACGAAGAAACTGCATCAACAGACGAGCAAAATAACCAGCTAACATCATAATGACAGGATCAAATTCATACATAACAATATTAACTTTAAATGTAAATGGACTAAATGCTCCAATTAAAAGACACAGACTGGCAAATTGGATAAAGAGTCAAGACCCATCAGTGTGCTGTATTCAGGAAACCCATCTCACGTGCAGAGACACACATAGGCTCAAAATAAAAGGATGGAGGAAGATCTACCAAGCAAATGGAAAACAAAAAAAAGGCAGGGGTTGCAATCCTAGTCTCTGATAAAACAGACTTTAAACCAACAAAGATCAAAAGAGACAAAGAAGGCCATTACTTAATGGCAAAGGGATCAATTCAACAAGAAGAGCTAACTATCCTAAATACATATGCACCCAATACAAGAGCACCCAGATTCATAAAGCAAGTCCTTAGAGACCTACAAAGAGACTTAGACTCCCACACATTAATAATGGGAGACTTTAACACCCCACTGTCAACATTAGACAGATCAACGAGACAGAAAGTCAACAAGGATACCCAGGAATTGAACTCAGCTCTGCACCAAGTGGACCTAATAGACATCTACAGAACTCTCCACCCCAAATCAACAGAATATACATTTTTTTCAGCACCACACCACACCTATTCCAAAATTGACCACATACTTGGAAGTAAAGCTCTCCTCAGCAAATGTAAAAGAACAGAAATTATAACAAACTGTCTCTCAGACCACAGTGCAATCAAACTAGAACTCAGGATTAAGAATCTCACTCAAAACCGCTCAACTACATGGAAACTGAACAACCTGCTCCTGAATGACTACTGGGTACATAACGAAATGAAGGCAGAAATAAAGATGTTCTTTGAAACCAACGAGAACAAAGACACAACATACCAGAATCTCTGGGATGCATTCAAAGCAGTGTGTAGAGGGAAATTTATAGCACTAAATGCCCACAAGAGAAAGCAGGAAAGATCCAAAATTGACACCCTAACATCACAATTAAAAGAACTAGAAAAGCAAGAGCAAACACATTCAAAAGCTAGCAGAAGGCAAGAAATAACTAAAATCAGAGCAGAACTGAAGGAAATAGAGACACAAAAAAACCATTCAAAAAATTAATGAATCCAGGAGCTGGTTTTTTGAAAGGATCAACAAAATTGATAGACCACTAGCAAGACTAAAAAAGAAAAAAAGAGAGAAGAATCAAATAGACTCAATAAAAAATGGTAAAGGGGATATCATCACCGATCCTACAGAAATACAAACTACCATCAGAGAATACTACAAACACCTCTACGCAAATAAACTAGAAAATCTAGAAGAAATGGATAAATTCCTCAACACATACACTTTCCCAAGACTAAACCAGGAAGAAGTTGAATCTCTGAATAGACCAATAACAGGAGCTGAAATTGTGGCAATAATCAATAGCTTACCAAGCAAAAAGAGTGCAGGACCAGATGGATTCACAGCCGAATTCTAGCAGAGGTACCAGGGGGAACTGGTACCTTTCCTTCTGAAACTATTCCAATCAATAGAAAAAGAGGGAATCCTCCCTAACTCATTTTATGAAGCCAGCATCATCCTGATACCAAAGCCAGGCAGAGACACAACCAAAAAAGAGAATTTTAGACCAATATCCTTGATGAACATTGATGCAAAAATCCTCAATAAAATACTGGCAAAACGAATCCAGCAGCACATCAAAAAGCTTATCCACCATGATCAAGTGGGCTTCATCCCTGGGATGCAAGGCTGGTTCAATATACGCAAATCAATAAATGTAATCCAGCATATAAACAGAACCAAAGACAAAAACCACATGATTATCTCAATAGATGCAGAAAAGGCCTTTGATAAAATTCAACAACCCTTCATGCTAAAAACTCTCAATAAATTAGGTATTGATGGGATGTATCTCAAAATAATAAGAGCTATCTATGACAAACCCACAGCCAATATCATACTGAATGGGCAAAAACTGGAAGTATTCCCTTTGAAAACTGGCACAAGACAGGGATGCACTCTCTCACCACTCCTATTCAACATAGTGTTGGAAGTTCTGGCCAGGGCAATTAGGCAGGAGAAGGAAATAAAGGGTATTCAATTAGGAAAAGAGGAAGTCAAATTGTCCCTGTTTGCAGATGACATGATTGTATATCTAGAAAACCCCGTTGTCTCAGCCCAAAATCTCCTTAAGCTGATAAGCAACTTCAGCAAAGTCTCAGGATACAAAATCAATGTACAAAAATCACAAGCATTCTTATACACCAACAACAGACAAACGGAGAGCCAAATCATGAGTGAACTCCCATTCACAATTGCTTCAAAGAGAATAAAACACCTAGGAATCCAACTTACAAGGGATGTGAAAGACCTCTTCAAGGAGAACTACAAACCACTGCTCAAGGAAATAAAAGAGGATACAAACAAATGGAAGAACATTCCATGCTCATGGGTAGGAAGAATCAATACCGTGAAAATGGCCATACTGCCCAAGGTAATTTACAGATTCAATGCCATCCCCATCAAGCTACCAATGACTTTCTTCACAGAATTGGAAAAAACTACTTTGAAGTTCATATGGAACCAAAAAAGAGCCTGCATCGCCAAGTCAATCCTAAGCCAAAAGAACAAAGCTGGAGGCATCACACTACCTGACTTCAAACTATGCTACAAGGCTACAGTAACCAAAACAGCATGGTACTGGTACCAAAACAGAGATATAGATCAATGGAACAGAACAGAGCCCTCAGAAATAACGCTGCATATCTACAACTATCTGATCTTTGACAAACCTGAGAAGAACAAGCAATGGGGAAAGGATTCCCTATTTAATAAATGGTGCTGGGAAAACTGGCTAGCCATATGTAGAAAGCTGAAACTGGATCCCTTCCTTACACCTTATACAAAAATCAATTCAAGATGGATTAAAGACTTAAACGTTAGACCTAAAACCATAAAAACCCTAGAAGAAAACCTACGCATTACCATTCAGGACATAGGCATGGGCAAGGACTTCATGTCTAAAACACCAAAAGCAATGGCAACAAAAGCCAAAATTGACAAATGGGATCTAATTAAGCTAAAGAGCTTCTGCACAGCAAAAGAAACTACCATCAGAGGGAACAGGCAACCTACAAAATGGGAGAAAATTTTCGCAACCTACTCATCTGACAAAGGGCTAATATCCAGAATCTGCAATGAACTCAAACAAATTTACAAGAAAAAAACAAACAACCCCATCAAAAAGTGGGCAAAGGACATGAACAAACACTTCTCAAAAGAAGACATTTATGCAGCCAAAAGACACGTGAAAAAATGCTCACCATCACTGGCCATCAGAGAAATGCAAATCAAAACCACAATGAGATACCATCTCACACCAGTTAGAATGGCAATCATTAAAAAGTCAGGAGACAACAGGTGTTGGAGAGGATGTGGAGAAACTGGAACACTTTTACACTGTTGGTGGGACAGTAAACTAGTTCAACCAGTGTGGAAGTCAGTGTGGCAATTCCTCAGGGATCTAGAACTAGAAATACCATTTGACCCAGCCATCCCATTACTGGGTATATACCCAAAGGACTATAAATCATGCTGCTATAAAGACACATGCACACGTATGTTTATTGCGGCACTATTCGCAATAGCAAAGACTTGGAACCAACCCAAATGTCCAACAATGATAGACTGGATTAAGAAAACGTGGCACATATACACCATGGAATACTATGCAGCCATAAAAAGTGATGAGTTCATGTCCTTTGTAGGGACATGGATGAAATTGGAAATCATCATTCTCAGTAAACTATCGCAAGAACAAAAAACCAAACACCGCATATTCTAACTCATAGGTGAGAATTGAACAATGAGAACACATGGACACAGGAAGGGGAACATCACACTCTGAGGACTGTTGTGGGGTGGGGGGAGGGGGGAGGGATAGCATTAGGAGATATACCTAATGCTAGATGACGAGTTAGTGGGTGCAGCGCCCCAGCATGGCACATGTATACGTATGTAACTAACCTGCACATGGTGCACATGTACCCTAAAACTTAAAGTATAATAATAATAAAAATAAATAAATAAATAAATAAATAAATAAATAAATAAATAAAAGATGTCAAAAAAAAAAAAAAAAAGGAAGTGGGGAAATGAGACCTAGAGAAAGACAGTCTTGTCCAAGACAGGATTCCAGCCGAGCGGCAGAGCTGGGACTGACCCTAGCTTTCCTGACAGTCGGGCGGGGCACCTCAACACGACACTCTGCTACTGTTCTGCTCTCAGTCTCTCAGCTGGAGGTGGCAGGACTTTTCTTTCAGCTGGAACACTGGACTTCTGCAGTGGTGCAAAGAGACCAGAGCAGGCTTTTGGTGGGGGTGGCTGGTGGCTGCCTTTAGTATTGATATAAGAATGATGGAAATTATCTTTGTGTGCACATCAGGAGACCATCCAGATATCTTTTAAAATTTGTAATTGAAAAAAAAATTACAACCCAAATGAAATCTAGCCATTTTCTTCTATTTTGGTTTTATATAGTTTTTTTTTTTCCTGTTTGTAAAATCCCCACATGTTCTGGAAGTTTTAGCGGATGTGATAAACAAATCAAAGATGCACTTTGTAACTAGTAAAAGTAAGATATACTCGATTACTTTTAGGTATGATGTTTGCCTGCTTATAAAGCCCGGGGGATTACTAAGGGAGCTACTGCAGGTAAGAAGAGGACAGTTGCCCAATGAACCAAGGCAGACTTCTGGCTGCAAACTCACAAAAAGACTGGATAGGATATAAATGTGTAGCCATAAAGCTATATACATAGTAATGTGTGTATATATACATACATATGTAAATATGTATATATGTATATTAGCTGAGCTAAATAGAACAGGTGGGGGCTGATAGAAAGAAACAGAAAGCCTCAGTTTCCCTGAGTGGTAACACAAGAGCAGATACAGGTGCTTGGCACTTTGATGGGTGCTGGGGTTCGATGGCTCACACCTGTAATCCCAGCACTTTGGGAGGCCAAGGTGGGTGGATCACCTGAGATCAGGAATTCAAGACCAGCCTGACCAATACGGTGAAATCCTATCTCTACTAAAAATACAAAAATTAGCTGGGTGTGGTGGCGCACACCTGTAGTCCCAGCTACTCCGGAGGCTGAGGCAGTGGGATTGCTTGGACCCAGGTGGTGGAGGTTGCAGTGAGCCAAGATTGCCACCTCACTCCAGCCTGGGTGACAGAGCAAGACTCTGTCTGAAAAAAAAAAAAAAGAAAAAGAAAAAGAAAAAGAAAAGAAAAGAAAAGGGAGTGGAAAAGAGACAGTGCTGCCCTCTTCATGAGGCTCGCATGCTACAGTAGGCCACAAACATTAATCAAAGAATCACACAAGCAGAAAATACTGCCATTGTGCAAAGTGCTATGACAGCAGGTATCTGGCATTCAGGAGGCATTTTACCTGACTGGGGAAATCAGAAAAAACACAAGCAGAGACCTGAGGGACAATTTCCTTTTAACAGTAAAACATTTAAAACAAAATCTAAAAGAACAGAAAGAAAACATAGAGGGATAATTTGGAGGTAGGGCTTATATTTTTCTTTTAGCATAATACTAAGGAAAAACATTGCAAAATTTGACCCTGTCAACATTTAAAGCTTCTGCTCATTGAAAAAAAAACACCATATGCAAAAGTAAAAGGCAAAGTGCAAATTGCAAAAAAAGTTTGCAATAAGCCTAGGCAAGAGTTAAATTTTTCATATATAAATAGCTTTATCCATCAATAAGAAAAAGATACCTGCACCTACTGAAAAAATAAAAAACGGGCTTAGAACTGGACAGTCTCACACACACATTAAAACAAGTAAATACAGAAGGCCAATAAACATCTAAAAAATATTTGCCTTCTGTTGTCATCAAAGACACATGGATTACAACAATAGCATGTCTTTTTATTTATTCAGGTTATGAAATTGGCAGGGATTTGAATGCTGAGGTATTAAAATGTTGAGGAAAGTGGCAGGAAACGGGTGGGAATATAAATTGGTACAATTTTTCTGGAGGGCAATTTGGCAGTATCTATCAACTACTTTAAAAATATGCCTATTTGGTAATTTCACTCAAAGAATTTATCATAAGGAAATCAATATGCATGTGTACAAAGATTGCGTGAAGGATATTAACCCCAGTGTTATTTACAATAGAGTAAAACTGAAAACAACATAACTGTCTAACAAAATAAAGTATGGCAGAATACTAGGCAGCCATTAAAATTTGCATTGTACAGGAACTGCTAATGTTGCCAAAAAATGTTCACAATATACGATTAAATGAAAAAAAGGCAGGTTACACAACTGAAAAATTCATAGGGAGGCCAGAACCACACATCCACGGAAACGTAAGATAGCACCTATGACTCGAGTGACACTACCAGTCAGGAGGCAATGGGTGGATAATTCAATGAACCACACTGGGATAATTGATTATCAATATGAAAAAATAAAATGAGAGCATTATAGCACACTAGAGACAAATGTAAATTCCAGATGAAAGAACAATCGTGAAAAGAAAAACTAAAAACTTTTAGAAGAAAATATAGCATCATATCTGTGTGATCTCAGGAAGAGAAGGATTTAAGTGACAAAGAGGGCAAACAAACCATAACATAAAATATTGGCAAATACTACAAGGTTAAAATTTAAAAAAAATCTGTACATGAAAAGATAGATCCCCAAAATGCAAAAGTTGCTACAAATTGGCAGAAAATGAATTCAACGCATAGAAAAGAGGAAGAATTATTTCAGAACATTTGAAACCGAGCTTCTTCAACTTCAATATGCATGGGCATCGCCAGGAGATCTTTTGAAACACAAGTTCCGATTCAGCAGGTTTGGGTGGGGCCTGAGAGTCTGCATTTCTAACAAGACTTCAGGTGCAGTTTATGCCCTGCTCCAAAGATCACACTTTGAAAACGGCAGGATATACAGAACCCCCAAATTGGGGTTCAGCCTGGGAGGCCATCTGGGTTCTTGGCTTCATGCAGGAAGGAATTGAAGAGTTAGCCACCAGAGTAAAGTGAAAGCAAGTTTATTAAGAAAGTAAAGGAATGAAAGGGTGGCTACTCCATAGGCAGAGCAGCCCTGAGGGCTGCTGGTTGGCTATTTTTATGGTTATTTCTTGATCATATGCTAAATGAGGGGTGGATTATTCATGAGTTTTCCGGGAAGGGGCAGGGAATTCTCTGAGGGTTCCCCAGTCTTTCAGACTATTTAGGATAACTTCCAGCTATTGCCATGGCATTTGTAAGCTGTCATGGCAGTGGTGGGAGTGTCCTTTAGTATGCTCATGTATTATAATAAACGCATAATGAGCAGTAAGGCAACCAGGGGTTGCTTTCATCACCATCTTGGTTTTGGCAGGTTTTGTCCAGCCTCTTGACTGCGTCCTGTTTTATCAGCAGGGTCTTCGTGACCTGTATCTTGTGAAACCAGTCCTGCCAAACTCATATCTCACTACAGACAAATGAAAGAATATAACCCCATACTAAATTTGGTGAAGAGTCTGAGCAGGTAATTCTCAGGAGAAACCAAATGATCAATAAACATGTGGTGTGAGTTAGGATGGGGTTGCTGCTGCAACGTGTGTCCCCACAACAGACGTTTCTTTCTTGCTCATATAAACAGGGCAAATGTTCCAGGCTGGTGAAGGGAGGGGCAAAGTTCTCTCTTCACAGCTCACAGGGTTCCTGGCTGTTGGAGGCTCTGCCATCTTCAATATGGTAGTTCCAAAGTTGCCGTAGGAATTAAGCAGCTGGAAAAAGAAAAGAAGGAGAAGGATCCCGCATGGGAGGTTTTCCTGGGCTGGACCTGGGGATGGTAGCAGGTTGCTACTCACATTCTGTTGGTTAGATCACCATTCAAGGCCACAGCTGAATGCAGTTGAGCTTGGGAAATATAGTTTAACTGTGCCCAAGAAAAAGAGGAACCGTGCTGGGTGACTAGCTAGCAGTGTCTGCCACACATCTGAAGACACTGAACTCAGGCAATTAAAACCATAATGTGATTCCATTTCACACCATTGAATTGTCAAAACAAAACATAGGGCCACCAACCAACCACACAACTCCACACAGAGAATGTTCCCTCTCCCACCTCTCCAACCCCTTCCCCTGTTTAGTTTAAAAGTTTTTTTTTTTTTGTTTTGTTTTTTCCTGAGATGGAGTCTCCCTCTGTTGCCCATGCTGGAGTGCAGTGGCACCATCTCGGCTCACTGCAACTTCCGCCTCCCAGGTTCAAGCCTCCTGAGTAGATGGGATTACAGGTGCACGCCACCACATCCAGCTCATTTTTTTCCTTTTTTTCTTTTCTTTTCTTTCTTTTTTTTTTTTTTTTTTTAGTAGAGGTGGGGTTTCACCATGTTGGCCAGGCTGGTCTCAAACTCCTGGCCTCAAGTGATCCGCCTTCCTCGGCCTCCCAAAGTGCTGGGATTACAGGTGTTAGCCACCGCGCCCGGCCTCCCTTTTTAAAATTTTTATTCCATGCATGTATTACCTCTAACATACCGTTAATATCCTTATGTATAATGTTGTTTCCTGTCTGCCTTCCCTCTCTAGACTGTCAACTCCAAAAGGAAAGGGGCTATTTGTCTATGGCGCTAACTTCTGCATCCCTAGTGCTGGCACACAGTAGGCCCTCAACAAGATGTGCTGAGCGGGGAGGCTGAAATAGGGGTGCTCCAGGGGGCAGTCTAGTTTTCCAGTCACACCAGCCCGTAGCCCAGACACTAGACATGTAGGGAGTTCCTGGTCCCTCTAGCCCTCAGCCACTTGGTCATTTCCAGCTTATGGGTCTTCCCAGCTGAGGTCCCAGGCTTCGTGGAGGACAGACAAGTTTTTCCATGTCAGATTCCCAACCCATAGTATTTGTGAGCATAATCAATGACTGTTGTTTTCATTCTTTAAAGTTTTTTGTTTAATTGTAACAGTCAGTTTACTAAGTTACAATTTATATTTAGTAAAACGCATCCCTTTTCAGTAGTTCAATGAGTTTTCCCGACAAATGTATAGTCATGAAACCATCATCACCATCATCACAATCTATAGGACATTTCCACCACCCACAAACTCCCCTCTAAGACCCAAGCTTTGGGGTGGTTTCACATACAGCAACACTCACAGGACCCACATCCTCCTTTCTCTTTATTGTGAACAGTGTCCTTGTTTAGTGACTGTTTTCCCCGCTCTGGAATATCCTTTCCTGTGAGCTGTTGCTAAACCTGTTTCCTCATCAGTCTCCAAGCTCTGTGAGAGCCAGATCTGTGTGACTCGTTGACCGTAGCTGCTCCTATGACTGGCACAGCTTTGGGTTCATAGTAGGTACTCATTAAACCATCATTTCATGCATGGAAGAAGGTGATGGCACCTGCTGGCTCTGGAGACTCGAATTCTCACTCTGGCTTCAATCTTCTGTGGGAAAGTCATGTGACTCAGCCTCAGACAGTCCAAACTCGAGACAGGGTTATAGTTCCCCATGAAAAGGCTTACGGCATGGAGGCGGTTCAGCTCATTGCCTCAGTCATTTGCTTACCCAGTAAATATTTATTGAGCACTGACTATGTGCTGGGCACTATACTAGATGCTAGGGATGCAAAGGTGGACATGAGCAGATAGAGGTCTTATGCTCCCAGGGCCTACCAGCTAGTCGGGGAGTCACATGTAAACCCAGTGAGCACACATGTGTTCTGAGACGCTATGGCAAATGAGGATGTGTCTCTGTCATGAGCTCAGTGGTTCAACAATATTCTTTGGCACCTGAATGAATCCCCATGTTCTCTTGGGATCATTGCTCAGGAGGGAGAATTGTTCTTATTTGCTGTCAAGGTTAGAGATGTTCTGAGAATCACCGTGTTTACACTAACAATAGCTTCTGAAATAAATGCGGGGAGGGCAGAAATGGGCAAAACCACCAGGCAGTCTGTTCTCTTTCATAATCCCTGACTTTAAAATGACAAAATAGACCTTTTGGATAAACCAACCAGCCTCATAAATATTGTCCAGGATTCAACCTGGGGGCACTTGCTTGACAGCACTGGAAATTACAAATGCCTTGCACTTATCCTGCAATGACTTTATGCTTTGGAAGGAAGTGTGCTGTCTTATAAATATTTCCCATTATGGAACTTTTTGGTAAGCTCCTAAAGTAATTTTAGATCTCAGCTAGGTTTGCTCTCCCTGCTGCCCAATACAATATCTTCCAGGACTGCAGCACCCAAGTGATCTAGAGAAAAGAGAAATTAAGACTATTTTCCAGCTTTCTGTAAGCATTTGCATGTGAATGAAGGCATCCTGCTGTTTGATAAATATGATACCTAGGAAAACCATGAGAATCAAAGTTCGCATCCAGTTGGGCGCTTTATGTGTACGTTGTCAAGGTTGCTACAGAAAAATGTGATACTATCCTTGCAAGTATATGACTAATGAGAATACGTATAGCACATCTGAGACGGCTCAAATGTGTAATTATTGTGAGGATTTCACAGACACATAAATATAATGATCTTCAGCTAAGTAAATTGCTAGCTACCAATGAAATAAATAGAGTCCCTTCAGAATTTGAAATAATTTGGAATGGTAGGTGGTAGGAAATGATTCACCTTAGCTGTTATCTCCGGAACAGTAATATAGAAATATATCTGCCAACTCTGGTGCATTTACATTGTTCTTCATATCCTGTAGAGTTTGTCAGAAGAGCTCTGGTCCCTGCTGACTTCCACCCCCTGATCTGATAAGCTACAGCACAGCACGGCTCAGCACTGGGTAGAGCAGCTAATATTGTTTACCGTGGTAGCCATCCCAGCCATAATATTTTTCCAAGAAACACTGATGTGTTTAAAGGTCAGGTTGATACTGATTTGACGGAATAACATAAATTCAACTTTCTAGGAGTAAAATGGTGTACATGACTTGGTTTAAAGGTTAAACTGTTTTTTGTGCACTGGATAGGTCAAAGATATAAGGCTTTAATACACAAAGTATAATTACCTGTTTGGACAGAAAGGAAGATGTGGTCTACGGTTTGGATTTTCGGAGAGATGTTTGAAAACATAGGAATCTATTGATGTCTTGTCGTTCTTGAATACATTTCACTATAGGGAAAAAATAAATCCTACAAGGGTGCTTAATTGGAAGGACTGTCAATTTCTCTTTTTCTACTTATATGACTGCTGGGATTCCAGGAATTGATTTTTTAGAACACGGCCCAACAGTCTAAGAATGTCTTCAGATACAAAGTTCCCTCTGGGCTGGTAAACTCCTGCATAAAAAAAGTACAGAGTAGGTGCTAAATAAAAGCTCGGTAGATGAATGACTTAAATGCATCATTGATTTTAGTCCACAAAGTTGGTTTTAATAAATAAGATGAAAGGTGAATAGATTCCCTGTAACTAGAATCTAAAAATAGATAGATCTGGCTGGGCGTGGTGGCTCATGCCTGTAAGCCCAGCCCTTTGGGAGGCTGAGGAAGGCAGATCACCTGAGGTCAGGAGTTCGAGACCAGCCTGGCCAACATGGTGAAACCCCGTCTCTACTAAAAATATAAAAATTAGCCAGGTGTGTTGGTGGGCACCTGTAATCCCAGCTACTCGGTAGGCTGAGGCAGGAGAATCGCTTGAACCCAGAAGGTGGAGGTTGCAGTGAGCGGAGATGGCACCACTGTGCTCCAGCCTGGGTGACAGAGCGAGACTCCATCTCAAAAATAAATAAATAAATAAATAAATAAATAAACATCTTGGACCCAGAAAGTTTCTTCATTCATTCCTTCACTCTTTTTTGTTTTCACTAACAAAAGAATTCTAAAGCACTTACCACATTGCTGTGCTATGCTGTGTATGGAGATTAACTGACCACATTGCTGCACTATGCTGTGTATGGAGATTAACTGACCACATTGCTGCACTACGCTGCGTGTGGAGATTAACTGACCACATTGCTGCACTATGCTGTGTATGGAGATTAACTGACCACATTGCTGCACTATGC
Organism: Homo sapiens; assembly: GCF_000001405.40. Taxonomy (NCBI): domain Eukaryota; kingdom Metazoa; phylum Chordata; class Mammalia; order Primates; family Hominidae; genus Homo; species Homo sapiens. Next base: position 125,605,331 of record NC_000010.11, on the reverse strand, counting down.
TGCGTGTGGAGAATAACTGACCACATTGCTGCACTATGCTGTGTGTGGAGATTAACTGGCAGGACATGGTCCTGACCTCATAGACTTTATGGGCTGTCTAGGAAGGAAAATAAAATGAGTCGAAGGCATAACAGGAGAATAAGAGGGATAAGGTGGGCCCAGCTGCCCTGCGTGCTGTGCCTGGGGACAGGCCCCACTAGCATCCTTCTCCCCTGTACCAGAGAGCAGCCATCCCCAACCTTTTGGGCACCAGGGACCAGTTTTGTGGAAGACAATTTTCCCACACACCAAGGCTGGAGGGGATTGTTTCCAGATGATTCAAGCACGTTCCATTTATTGTGCACTTTATTTCTGTTATGATTACAGTGTAATGTGTAATGAAATAATTATGCAACTCACCATCATGTAGAATCGGTGGGAGCCCTGAGGTTATTTTCCTGCAACTAGATAGTCCCTTCTGGGGGTAATAGGAGACAGTGACAGATCATCAGGCATTAGATTCTCTCTCTATTTCTTTTTTTGAGAGAGAGTCTCGCTCTGTCTCCAGGCTGGAGTGCAGTGGCACAATCTTGGCTCACTGCAACCTCTGCCTCCTGGGTTCAAGCAATTCTTCTGCCTCAGCCTCCTGAGTAGCTGGGACTACAGGCACATGTCACCACACCTGGCTAATTTTTGTATTTTTAGTAGAGATGGGGTTTCACCTTGTTGACCAGGATGGTCTCAATCTCTTGACCTTGTGATCTGCCCGCCTCGGCCTCCCAAAGTGCTGGGATTGCAGGCATGAGCCACTGCCCTTGGCTCTCTTTTTTTCTTTATGTGTAGAGACAGGGGTCTCATGATGTTGCCTAGGCTGGTCTTGAACTCCTAGACTTAAGTGATCCTCCCACTTCAGCCTCCCAAAGTGCTGGGATTACAGGCATGAGCCACCGTGCCCAGGCTAGATTCTCATAAGGAGCGTGCAAATTAGTCCCTTGCATGCACAGTTCACAATAGGGTTTGTGCCCCTATGAGAATCTAATGCCACTCCAGATCTGACAGGGGGCAGGGAGCTCAGGCGGTAATGCAAGTGATGGGGAGGGGCTGTCAATACGAATGAAGCTTCACTTGCTCATCTGGGCTCCTGCTGTGTGGCCTGGTTCCTAACAGGCCACCAACTGGTACTGGTCGGGGAACCCTGCCATTGAGAGTTCTTTCTCCTGGCTCTGGTCACATTTTATGGGAAACATGTTTCTTTTCCTGAGGACTCCTCCCCGACTTATCAACTCTGACATACAGACCCTCATCCTAGGCTCATTGCTCACCAGCAAGCACTTTCTGAGCTTCTCGGGTCCCGGGGGAGGCTGGACTGAACCGGAATGGGCCCCTTATACCCTAGGGCCCAAGTTCTTACAGTGCAGTACAAGAGCCAGACATTTGGAGTTTGCCTAACCTGCCCACTGGGCCCAGCCAGTGCCTCCTTTCCCTCTTTGCTTGGTGACATGGGGCACTTTGCACTCTAGAGGGTCCTGTGTTCCGGTGGAGGGGGGTGTATCATCTCAGACTGCAGGAGTTGGGTGGGGAGGGGAGGTTGTGGCTCTGATTTTCAATATTAGGACTGCATAAGGGAACTGTGGATACGTTGTCCTTTTGACGCCTGGCACTGTGGACGTGAGGTTTGTGCAGGTGGCTGCATGCCCTGCCACAGAAACCAGCCTCCAGGGCTGCCATGCTTCAGCAACAGCTTAGCCTGCCCCCAGATTTTGCCATCATTTGCATGCCAGCATTTTAGAGGTGAGAATGATGGCACAGCCTTATCTGTGACCACTGTGCAGTATAAGGTTCGTCAACAAGTTCTCCTGGGGGCTGGGTTAGAGAAGAGAAGCACTGGGTGGCGGGGGCAAGGACCAGTGGGGGAAATGGGCTCAGGCAACGGGCGGAGCAGATGGGGGACCACTAAGAGGTGCAGAGGGGAGCTCAAGGGCTTTACTGTGACCTCTGCCCTGCCCACCCCACCCCTGGACCCCCGCCAGGTTTCTGGTGCAGGGATGGGGGCACAGGCACAGGTACTTGGAAGTCGGAGAAATCAAAGTGGAAACCATCTGGTAAGGGAACCATCCCTTCCTGTAGTTTCTGGCGGGGGGCCATGGAGAGGGGTGGTGCTTTTATTTAAGTAGTTTTATTGGACAAATGGGACTCTTAGGACAGGAAGGCTGGTTGGCCTTGTCCGCAGATGGTCATCGCTCCTGAAAAATGGTCCGAGTCTCTTTCTGCCCAGTTCTGTCATGCTTGGCCTTGGGAGCCGTGTTCACCTCTCCATGCATGGCACCAGGTGGGCCCGTGGGCGGGGTCCAGCTGGGTGGAACCTTCCCAAGCCCCGGAGAGGACAGAACTGGAACGGCAAGCCACACAGGTCCCCATGGAAATCTCCAGGTGTCATGTAATCATCAGGCTGTCCTCGAAGTATTCATTTGTACCGCATGCGTTTGATGTATTCTTAACGAGTATTCCATGGAAAGGATACAAATGTTAATTCCTAAAAAAGAGAACAGAATTCTATATGGCATAGAAATATAAACACATAGAATTTTAAAAGTCTGGATGGAGAGAGTTTGGAAATGTGTCTAGACTTATTCTGTACCTTCACCTTTGCTTTCTCCACTTCATCCATTTCTTCTCTGTCCCATCTTTGATTTGTGTCTTTAGGACACAGAGCCGGCACTCACAGTGTGTTTGTTGAATGAATGAATGAATGATGAATGAATGAATGAATCAAGCACAAGTCAGAGTAATACAGCTGCCGGGGAGCATGAGGAGGAGAGACGAATCCCAGTGGAGGGAATCAGATGGGGCTTGCCTGACCCCTGAAGGAAGGATAGAGGGGAACAGCACGAGACGGGGCGGAAGGTGCCCAGTGGGGCTTGAGGAGTAATGAAATCCTCCCTGGTTTGAATACAGAGTGGTAGAGGGATGTGATGAGAGCTGAGAATTTTTTTAATAGATGAAAAGCGCTTTCCCATCTATGGCTTTAAGCACAAGAATGACAATATTCACTTCAAATTTCATAGTGAAAATGAAGGCCCTGTGTATCCTGAGATGTACCTGCCAGGAGATGGGTGCTAGGCCAGCCTCATACCCCGCATAAACCAGGCAGCGTTTCTGCCTCACTAAGTCACAGTTGAGCCCCCTCCTTCTCCCCAGGATACTCTTGCCCCTTCTTTTTGACAGGCAAGGAAGCTGAGGCACAGAGAGGGGCGGTGGCTTGCTCAGCAGATAGAGGCAGAGCCCAGGCTGGCCTCCCCTTTCCCCCTGCAACACCTCCCTGGATCTTGCTATAAATCTGTTCGCCTCCCTGCTGGGGGTATGGGGATGGTCCTTGGATGTGCATCTTTGGCAGAGCAGCAAGAGCAGGGACAAGGAAGACACCCCGCATGCAGGTGCTGCCTCTGGACCTTGTCCAGGGCGAGGACCCCAGTGCACAATGTGTGGAGGCTTGCCAAGTGTCTACCACTCCCTCCAACTGGTTAGCAGGTCGGTGTTCCCAGAGGATGTCTGAAGAGTTCATGGGCTGTGATACATCAACATCCCCCAAATCGTCCCAGGGTCACAACTCAGATATAAAACTGAAGCCAGGGACTGCCTGCTAACAATTGAGGGTAGGTGGGGGCCCTGGATCCCCAGTTGAGCCATCAGCAGTGGGAAGCAACTGGAAGCAGTGTGCACCATCTTCTCCCCAAACTTTCTAAACCAAGCTGGCAAGCTGGTGAGCACCATTGTGCATAGGTAATAACTCAGCCAGAAACAAGTGTCATGATTCACATGCTACAGCTAATGTCTAGCTAATATCCCCCAGCAGGGATGAGCAATTACAAATTCTTGAATTATCTTCACTGTCTGTAACTCAAACAAACAAGCAATCATCTGTTTCCTTAGCTAACCACCTTTGGGGCTATATGGCTAAAAGGTTGGGAGAGAATGGGCCTCTGAGATGGGAACCTGGCATTGCCACTTCCTGGCTATGCCTCTTGGGCAAGTTACAGGGAGGTCCCCTTCCATATAGTAATTATTATAGTTTCTTTAATACTATACGTGTCTTATAGAATTATTGTGAAGATTAAATGTGATTATTAATTAAAAGTTCCTCAAACATTGTAAACATACCATAAATATTAGCTGTTATGATTAACTGAAAATTAAACCAAAAATATTAGGATGTGGGCATTTATAGATAAAGTATGCTTAGATTTCACAAACATGTTTAATTTTCCTGAGTCTTCTATTTCAACCAGAGAGCAAAATTGAATCAACACTTATGCATGCCAACTCCTCTGGCCAAATGAGAAAGCTAAAACAAAATTGCTTTTGGACTCAGCAAATACACTGTATTCTTTAGCAATTGCTCTTGCTTGCTAAGGTCATCAGTGAGGCTATTGGGATTAGTGCAGTTCCAGGTAGGATCCAGATAGAAATGGGCCGCGGTATTCAGTGTCTCACAGTTGCAAAATCAGATCTTTGTGCTTTCTCACAGACAGGGCTCCATGTACCCTTGAAACACTAATGAGATGCCAAGAGGCTTTCAGGTCATTCCGTGGGGGTCATATTTAGAAACAGAATGATTTGTGTTTAGCTTAAAGATGGGACAGTTGTCCTCCTGAGCTCTGTAACTCAAAGGCCATTGCATAGAGGGTTGTGATTGGGACCCTGGGGTATCACTGGGGGTCCTCAGCAAGTGACTTGACTGCGGTGGTCCTCACTTTCCACAAATGTAGCATGTAGGGCTAGATCCAAGGGCTTTCTTTTTTCTGATTTTAAGTAATTCAAATAGAAACAGAAACTCACCCACATTAGCTGAAGTAAAGGAAGGTCCACCAGAAGTACAACAGGCTCAGGAGTCCAGGATTCCAGCAGCAGGGATCTCACAGATATGGTGGTAAAGGTTGGAGACCCCCCTGATCACTCCCATCTAGTGACATCTTTCCACCTCTCTTTGAGTCTGCCCACCCAGATCTCTTCCCTCCCTAGCTCCCCAGTCTCTACTCCCTCCTCAGCCTACACGTGAGCCAGCACAACCTCCCTGGGCCCCTCTACATCAACTTGTGATTCATCCCCGCAGCCAACTCTTCCAAAATTTTAGTTTTCTCATGCAGACTTTCTGAGAAAGTAATTGGATTGGCCCAGCTCATCTTATTAAGAAGATGACACAGGTCATAAGTTACCTGCCATCCTGTAGACTAGCTCCTCTGCTCTGGGCAGGGACCCATTTGTGTTTGCTGCCTAAATAAATTGGATCCAGGCCCAGTTTCCTGAACTGGGCTAGAGACGTTAGGGCTGAATCAGACAGCCAATCCTGAAATGAGGGACTGAAGCTTTCCAATTCCCACCTGTCTCAGGACAGCATGGATCCCGAAGTCTAGAGCAGGGCTGAGCCTGGGATTGGGGGTCTCACAGGCACAGCTTCCATTGAGGAGAGCTGGGGTGGCCTGGAAGCCAGGGAAGGTCCACCTGAAGGGCCTCACATTTACGGATGGGTAAACTGAGACTCAGAAAGGGATTTACACTTTTGAAGCCTCTGACCATTGCGCATTCAGAAATATTGGGCCACAAAGTAGTATTTGCACAAATACAATACAAAGGGTATTATATTAAGGGAGAGATATCATCACAGATTTTTTTGCCAGTTGTTTGAGGCAGTGAAAATGTTACTAATTCCAGCAAGGTGTGTGTTCCTGGCATTGGGTAAACCTTGGTGCTCATATGCGCCATCTTTCCCTAAGCAGATGGGCAATTTCCATTTGCTATTCATCCAGGTCCTCCAGCATGCATGGAATCTAAGAACATGATACTGAAAGACACCTGTTACAAAGGAAGGAAATGCAGAAAAACAAAACCAAAAGTAAAGTGGAAAATGAAAGGAATGAACGTCAATAAAGAGAGTGAAGTAAAGAGGAAACACACACACATATGCACACACAGAACAGGACACTGCCCCCAGGGCAGGTGTGGTGGCCTGGCACTGGTGTCAGCTGGTCCTCAGCGGGTTCCAAGAGCCCAGGACATGCGTCTCCCTGGTTACACACTGAGACAGGTTTCAGTTTTAACATCTTAAGGGCAACAATGTGGACTTCTTCCACAAACCGTTAGTGGATGCAGTTTGCTAGGATTATAGGTGTTTTTCTTTTTCTTCTTCCATTTTCCAAATCTTCCTTAATGTGGTTATATTTTATAATAAAAAAAGTTTTTTCCGATTATTTTAAGAAGAAAAATCCAAGATAAGTACCTTTTCATCTTTCAGTGAGTGACTCTTCAGGTAGCAGAAGGCAGGGGGTACGGAGTGGGGCAGGCAAGGTCATGGTTAAGAAAGATGAGATTCCAGAGGAAATTTCCAATTTATGGAAAAATAGGGTTGATATGGTCAACTTCACATTTAGCTGATTTGTTAGTGGTTAACCAGCAGGACCAATTATAAATTTTTGGATTGGGAGTTCCAACAATGGTATGGAATTTTCAAGACAGCTCAATGTTAGGAATTTCTTTTCCAGAAAAGGTGCAATTTAACTCAGGTAAAGTGAGTTACTGTTGAGATGATTTTGAGCCTGGCCAATGATTAAACAGGACTTGCCTGTTTGCTGAATGAATTTGATTTCCTAGAGTGAATCTGCTGGGTCTCTAAAAATCTCCAAGCAAAAATCAGTAAAATCTACTGATTAGCAAAATATAGAGTCAGAAGAGATGTTGAGAATGCTAGGAATGGACTTTCTGGATTCATTTTCTTTGCATGAAAATTAGGCCGGCTTGGCAATGGATGATTGGCACTGGGCTCTGTTGGTTTGGGGAGAGGTGGCCTTGTCAAGGTCCTAAAGGACAATTTTTCCAAGGATCCTCTTCCTAGAGATTAGAGTGAGCTGGCTGCTGAGCTGCCTGTAGGCCTAGACAAGCTCAGAGGCAAAGGCAGGAGGAGTGCTAGCCTCAGCATCACCCAGACAGGGTTACCATCACCGCCAAAAAACTAACCCAGTTTTTGTAATCCTGTTTCCTCCACTGTTGCTACCCTGAAGCGTTGTGGTGAGCTTACACATAACAGCTGGGCAGGGTCCAGCCTAGACTACGACCTCAACAAATGTGCATTATATCAGCAGCGTCTTCAAAGACAGGCCAGAGAACGTGACAAACAACCATACACTGGAGACTTAGGAAACCTGTGTGTCCTGCTGACATGAGGCTAGAATCATATTTGCAGGTGGCCCACAGACCCTAGCAGGGACCCCTCTTAGGGGCCTGCCACTCCCACCCTCCTTAACCCTGGCATGGAGATAAAGGACAAATTTCGAGTCTCTTCAAGGGAAATTCCAGGCACCTAGCTAGCTCTATAATCAGCAATTAAGAAAGTAAATAAATAACCCGCTAAATAAGAAGGAAATAATAACTTCAACAATAGCCACCCAAGTGAACCAGAGTCACAAAGTGTTTGGGATCCCTATAGAAACTAAAAGATAACACCTAGCATATGTCCTTGAGTTGTTTTTGGAAACCCAGGCCCCCCGCCAAATGGAAAATGCCAACCATTGTCATTTGGACCTAGATAAGGGGGAACTAAGGACTAAACCCTGACTGCCATTCTTTCTTCTAAATTTCTTCCTGTGGGGCCTGGAGCAAGTCCTCCAGGCCACAGGTGAAGGCTCCTTTACTCTGACCCTCAGTTTTTAGGAAAGCCTTGCTTCCTTGACCAATTGCAAATCAAAGAATCTCTGAATCCACCTATGACCTTTAAGTGCCCACTTCAAGATATCCTGCCTTTTTGGGCCAAAACAACATAAAACCTCCATGTATTGATTTACAGCTTTTCCCATAACTTCTGCTTTCCTGAAATGTAACCCTACCATTAGAAACTCTTGCTTGTAAGCTATTGGGCAGTTTGGGTATTAAGCATTAGTTGCAAGGTTCTCTTTGCTCAGCACCCTGTAATAAATGCCTCACTTTCTCTTGCTGCAAATGCCCATGTGAGTGTTTTTTTTTCTGTGCACTGGGTGAGCAGACCCAAGTACAGCTTGGTAACAGTGGTTGGGCTCTGGAGGAACCCCAATGGGTGGAACAAAGAATGGACTTCACATGGTGGACACAGTAGAGTTTGATGTGAAGTCCAAGCCTCAGGTGCAAACATGCACCTGCAGTGGATAGAGAAGACAGATGGACTACAACATTGGGTAGTGTAAGCACTTTGCAGCTCTAAGCGATGGTGAAGTCAACAGTCACTCCCCTAAAATTGCATGTGGTCACCTGCAGGGCTCAGCCAGGTTTGGGTCACTCTTTTTGGGGCAGGCAGTTCATAGGTGCCAGCTGTTCTAGCAATGTTGCAAAGGGCATCTCATGTCATCCCATAATGGCTTTTTGAAGTAGGTAATATTTTTAACCCATTTTACAGATGAGGCGAGTTAACAGGAGAGATTACAAATTTACACAACTGCTTTTTAAGTCCAGATTCCCAGCCAGGAATTTCTGAATCCAGAGTCCCAGGTTATCTGTTATATTGAGCTGTGCTTGAAACAGCACTCCATAAAGAACAGCTGGCTTGATCCTTGCCAGTGGGACTATAGGGCCTATCTGCTGATTTCTCATGCAGGTGGTTGAATGCTCTCTCAGCATCTACTGAGATTTCCTTTTCTTTAATCTGTTAATGTGGTAAATTGCTGTGTTAATTTCCAATTGCGGCTGTAAAAAATTGCCACAAATGTAATGGCTTAAAACAACAATAAGGTAATAAACAACACATATTTATTATCTTATAGTTCTGTAGGTCAAAAGTCTTAAAATCAAGGTATCAACCAGGCTGTGCTTCCTCTGGAGGCTCTAGGAGAGAATCCATTTTCTCATCTTTTCCAGCCTCTACGTGCCACTGGTATTCCTTAATTCATGGTCTCTTCCTCCATTTTCAAAGCCAACAGTTTTGCTTTATCTTTGAATCTCTTTCTCTCCCTCCCTCTTCCTCCTCTTCCCTTTCCTTCTAACTTCCTCACCTCTATTTCTAGCCTTACATCTCCTTCTCTGACTCTGACCTTCTTCTCTCCTCTTATAAGGATCTTTGTGATTTTATGGGCCCATCTTGATAATCCAGAATAACATCCAGATGTCAACATATGTAACAATCACATTGGCAAAGTCCCTTTTGCTGTATAAGGCAACATATTCACAGACATGTTGAAGGGCCATTGTTCAGCCCACCACAGTTACATCAGCACATTTCTCATGTTAAACCATCCTTGCATTCCTGAGGTTAAATACTTACCTAGTCATGTTGCTGCTTTATTAGTATTTTGAAATAATTTCTGGATTCAGATTGCTAATATCTTCATAAGATTCCTGACATCTAACTTTATAAGTGAGATTTCTTTCTTTGTTTAAGAAACACTTTGGAGCATCAGCAATGTGTCAGGCACAGTTCCAGGACTTTGGGATTCATCAGGGAATAAAATAGAAAAAATCCCTGCCTTGTAGGGTTTACATTCTAGACAGGGAGACAATAACTAGGTAATGCTATGTACTAGGCAGAGAAGTAAACAGGGGAAGGAGGTGGAGAGTGACTGCCATCCTAGACAAAGTGGTAAGGGCAGGATGCTCTGAGGAGGTGGCATTTGAGCAGAGGCTCAAGAAAGGCGGGAGTGAGCCATGTGAGTATCAGCAGAACAGCCAGTGCAAAGGCCCTGAGGCAGGAGTGCTCAGCCTGCTTGGGGAGCTGGAAGGGGGGCATACAGTCAGCAGTAGAGGGCAGGACAGAAAGGTGGCTGGGGAGGAGCACAGAGGGAAGGCAGCACATATTGAGCAGGAGGGGCTACTGAGCAGGTCGGTGATGTATCTGACTTATACTTTAAATAGATCCCCTGGGCCCCAAAGAGGAGAAAAACTAATTGGGCAAAAATGGCAACAGAGAGATTAGCTAGGCGGATGCTGTGAAGATTGGCCAAGGATTTTCCTTTTTCTGAATGTTCTTGTCTGATTTTGATATCAATGTGATGCTAGCTTCAGACAAGTTGGGGAACTTTTCATTTATTAATATTTATTTATTTTGGTGGGGGGGTGATTTTTATGAGGGAGGGACAACCTATTTATTATTTGCAGGCCTGGTAAAGCTCACCTGTCAAGATGACTGGGTCAGGGCCTTTGGTGTGAGAAAATCTTTGATTCAGATTTATTTAAGAGATCCATTCTGATTTCCTAAATTTACCATTTGTAATGTGTATTTCTATAAAATTATTCATTTTCACTTACATTTTCAAACCCTGTGACATAAAGAACACTGTTTTACATCAACGCTTTCTTCTAATTTTTAAAATCTTAATTGTGACTATAGTTATATTACCCCTTTATATGCTTAATAGTTTTTATTGTGACTTCTCTTTTTCTCCTTCTAGAGCTTCTTCAATCAATCTTGCCAGATGTTTGTCTATTTAAGTTTACAAAACAAATGTTGGTTCTGTGGATTCTGTATATTCTTTTATTCTGTTTATTCCTTGCTAGTTTTATACTTTTCTTCATTCAGCTTTCTTTGTAATTATGCTGCTATTCTTTTTCTAACTTGTGCAGACAGTTTTTATCAATTTTAACCTTTTTTTCCCAAACATATGTTGTGACTTTCCCTCTAAGTAATAGTTTAGCAAAAACATAGATTTTGATATTTTGAACTTTGTCATTCACTCTTTAATATTTCAAAAATGTCAGCACAATTTCTTCTTTGACCCATATTTATGTAGAATCGTGTGTTTACATTTCTAAAAATGTAGGTTTGAGAGCTTTTTTGAAGGAAACATTTTTTAAATATACTTGATTAATTTCTGAGAGAGATGTGCTAAACTCTAATGTGGGCTTCTCAATCCCATCTGATCTTTCAGCTGCTTCCACTATCTTGAAGCTGTGTTGCTGAGTATATGAGAGCTCAAGCATACACTTTTCATCAGTATGAAAGATCCCAGTTGTCTCTTTTAATGATTTTCACTATGAATTCAGTTTTTTTCTGTTATTAATTTTACTACATCTGCTCTCTTTTTGTTTTCACTTAGCTGGGACATTTAAAAAATGCTTTTACTTTTAACCTTTGCTTATTTAAATATATATCTAGCAAATTGTCCATTGCTCTACTTATTCGAGAAGACAGTTGGCTACTATACTGTAGAAACCAGAAGTTTAAAATTTAAGTTCTTCTGGGCTAAAGTAAGGTGGGGTCCCTCTTCCCCAAAATATAATCCAGATGGCAGCTGGGTCCTTCTACGTCTTGGGAGAGAGGTTGCTTGTGACTCTAGCCTCAGACAGCTCCTTAGAGCTCCAGAGAGGCCAGCGTGCTCGCCTGTCTCCTGTGCTACTCCGTGTTCCTCTGCCAAAACATCCCCTGTGTCACCTCCACTAGGAAGACTCACATCTGTTCTTTTCTCTTTTAAAATTCAGGTGAAATTTGCATAACATAAAATCAACCATTTTTAAGTGTATAATCCAGTGGCCTTAAGTATATTCACATTATTGTGCAATCATCACCGCCATCCATCTCCAGAAACTTTCTATCATCCTCAACAGAAACTCTGTGCCCATCAAACACGAATTCCCTGTTCTCTCTTCCCCTCATCCCCAGGTAACCTCTCTTCTACTTTCTGTCTGTATGAATTTGCCTATTTGTAGTGGAAGCATACAAGAGTTGCCCTTTTGCATATCTGTTCATTTTTAAAATTGTATTTTGTTTCCTCATTGAACATTTAATAAGAGCTAACCTCACATGCCTCTGTAAGGGATAATGCCTTACACTGTGTGATGCTTTGCACCATCCACGAATTTTCTAATGTATTAGCCTGTTTGAATTTCATAACAATCCTTTAAGGCAAGCACCGAAGACTTTATTACCCTAATGGGACTCTGAGGTCTAGAGAAGCTACTCATGTTGTCTAAAGTCACATAGCAAGTGGCAGAAGCAGGATGAGAAGTCTAGGTCTACAAATTCCATTATTCTTTCTAGAGTATGGCAACTTCTCAGGAGTTGGGGATGATTTCTTTCCTCCTGAATCTTGTGATGTTATAATATAATTAGAAATATACATTTGGTTTTTGCCCCTGGTTCCTGGCACACAGCTCCTAAAATCCTTGGAATCCCCAAAGTAGCAAGTGTCATGCTAATGAGATGACTGGTGGCTGGGGCCCTTGGGCAGCCCCAGGATGGGGGATGGTTGCCAGAAGAATCAACTCTGTGATTGGAAGGTTGAAATTTTAGCCCCACCTCCCACCCTCAGTGGAGCATGGAGAGGATGAAGGTTGATTTCATCACCAGTGGCCAGTGATGTAATCCATCACGCCTACATAATGAAACCTTCATAAAAACCCAAACGGGCAGGGTTTGGAGAGCTTCCAGGTTGCTGAACCCATGGAGGTTCCTGGAGGGTGTTGCCCCTGAGAGGACATGGAAGCTCTGTGCCCCTTCCTCCATACCTCATCCTAGGCATCTCTTCCATCTAGCTGTTGTTCTCTATCCTTTGTAGCATTCTTTATAAGAAATGGGTGAGCCTAAGTAAAGTGCTCCCTGAATTCTGTGAGCTGCTCTAACAAAGTAATCAAATGTGAGGAAGGGGGTTGTGGGACTCCTGACTTATAGCCAGGTGGTTGGAAGTATGGGTCACAAGTTGGGGCTTGGGACTGGTCTCTCATATGGGAGTGCTGTAGGACTGAGCCCTTGCCCTGAGGGATCTGATGCCATCTCTAGGTGGATAGTGTCAAAACTGAATGAAATGACAGGATTTTTTATTCAGTTGGTGTCTGCTAGAGAATTGCTGGATGTGCAGGGAGGAAACCCAGCATATCTGGTGTCAGAAGCATTGTGTTGAGTGACTGTGTAAGAAAGTAGGAAAAACACTGCCTTCTCCTCTATCTTCTACAGAAATCTCAACATAAAATTCAAGTAGCTACATTCTATACAAGCAGAGAAAAAATATGTTGTATTTGTGAGCATGTAGTTAGAGAGGAGTCGTTACACGGAGGTCAGAACTCACAGGAAGCTCATCAAAGACAGACTGTGGCTGGTGGCCCTGGTGGCCTAACGCACGTCTGGCTTCATGGGGATGGTCTCCACTTGCCACCCCCAGCCTCGCTTTCCTCATGCCTGCTGTCTTTACCGAAGGTTTTCTCCCAGCGGGAGGGTTTAGGATGCACAAGATACGCTCTTCCAAAAAAGTTGGGCATTTCTCCAGGAGCCAGAAAAATAAACCAGTGCTCAAACAGACTGGAAGACAATTTTGTTTTTCCAAGCTCTGAAATAATCAAGATCTCACTGTGTACATGTTTGCAAACAAGGAGGAACAATAAGCACATTCAACATGTAGAGTTTTATTTGCAGTTCTATCGTGCAGGACAATCATTTGTTAGGACTTGATTACGACTGTCACTCTGTGAAAATATTGTTGAGCCTGGGCCCTACTCAGAAATGAACGCTCACAGACTTGTGAAATGGAAAGCCCTGTCTTTCCTGTTGGGCACTAATGATTCTCATACAAGCAGGGAAGGTCAGTTTCAACAAAGAAAAGTTGACGAGAGCAGAGTAAACAAGTTCGTCATGAACGCATCTGCTAATTGATCCTCTGAGTCTGAGGGATATTTTCCTTTAATGTGGCAGCTTCATGAACATGCATGTGTATTATAGCTACACTTTCAAGGCTAAGACTAAGATCTGCTCTAATACAGAAACACTAATTTCCTATTGATTCAAGTAAATTCAGTGTAGAGAGAACCATGGCAGACACGAGGGTATTGATCAGTGCGGTTTCCCAGCATGTGTACACACACATAGTGAAGCTGGGACAGTTCTAGAGTACTACAGGACACTCCAGGAGGATAGTGTGTGGATCCTGCCAGCTGTTGGCTTCCCACTGCGGGAAGATCTTCAAGACAAATCCACACAGCCTGGGGGCCCTCACTTCTGGGCCTTGGTGGCTCCCAGTTACTAAGGGCAGAGCCAAATTGCAAGGGTTTGGGGGGATTTGGGGACTACATTGAATTTAAACTTTCACCATCCACCAACTGATCTTCCCTCCTGTTGATAGTTGAGAGGAGAGTCCAGTAATTAAAATAATATAGATGACATCAAACGCTCATTGAATGCTTCCCAGATAGGCCAGGCACTATTTTAAATGTTTTACCTTTAGTAACTCACTTTTTCGTTCTCAAATTCCAAATGAAATGGATTTCTGTCATTATCATTCTAAGACACAGAGAAAGATAATCACTTGTGCATGGCCTCACAGCTTGGTGGAAGGGAGGGAGCTCAGATCCACCCTCATCACTGGGCTGTGCTCTCTCCAGGTATAGTACAGTGCAGGCAGGGCCCGTTGTGAGACGATTCACCTTTGGGCCACATGTGGGGAAAAAAATATATCCCACGAACATTACTCATGTGAACATAACCGAAGAGGAACATTTAAACTGTGCAACAGAACAACTTTTGGAGCCCTTTTGTAACTCCTGCTTGCATAATATGTATATATATCAATATATCTATATCTATATATAGAATCTCTCTATTGTGTCATCATGTTTGTGTAAACCACACCAATCCAAAAGATCAACACAAAGTAAATCATATTTCTTCATCAGACAATATTATTCTCATTATAGCTAACTTCTATATAGTGCTTTTTTCCAATGCGTTTTCATAAACATCATCTTATCTGAGCACTGAGCAGCACTCACTAAGTCAGTACATTATTGACATGGACTTCCACTGGATGGGACTGGTTTTCAGGAAACACTTTTAGCCTAGTAATAATAGTAATAATAATATCTGCCGCATTTTGAGCTCTTACCCTATAATGTTGTGCTAAAGGCTTTTGTAAAATTTTATTAATCTTTACAAAGTATTGCCACCATGAAGATAGTACTATTATTAGCTGCCCCCCACCTTTTTTTAAAATAAAAGAGAAGGAGGGCCAGGCGTGGTGGTTCACATCTGTTATCCCAGCACTTTGGGAGGCCGAGGTGGGAGGATCACCTGGGCCAGGAATTTGAGATCAGCCTGGGCAACACAGTGAAACCTTCTCTCTACAAAAATTTTTTTTTTAAAAAATTAGCTGGGTGTGGTGCCACTCACCTGTAGTCCTGGCTACAGGAGAAAGTGGGAGAATTGCTTGAGCCCAGGAGGTGGAGACTGCAGTGATCCGAGATGGTGCCACTACACTCCAGCCTGTGCGACAGAGCAAGAGCCTGTCTCAAATTAAAACAAAAAAAAAGTGAGAGAGAGAATGAGGCTGAGAGACATTAACAGACTTGTCCAAGGTCGTGTAATGTTAATAAGTGGATTTCCTGCAGACACCTTGCAGACACATGATTGTAGTTGTGAAAAAGGAGACCTGCAACTTAATTATGCAGATTTGGAAAAGCAAAATGATGCTCAAAGATGAAGATTGCCCAAGAACAATCTAACCAATTGTGATACCGAGACTTTACAAACCACATCACTTGAGAAGATGAGCGTACACTGAATCATATTTCTTCATCAGACAATATTATTCTGATAATAGCTCAATGTCATATGGTGAATTCTGACCAAATGAAAATTATACTGTAATTTTTCATATGACTATACATAAGAGATGCAGAAATCCTAAATACAATAGTAGATAATTGAGTCTTGCACTATCCCAGGAATGCAAAGATAGTTTAGGGTTAGGAAATCTATTGACATAATTTATCATATTATAAGACAAATAAATAATATATGATTCTTTCAATGTATTCTGGAAATATTTTAATAAAACTCAATATCCAATACTGATCAAATTTACAAAACACTAATGGTATCTCAGTAAACTGGGAATAGAAAGACACTCCTTTAAAATAGTAGAGTATCCATCTCAGTGTATCAACCAATATCACACTTGTTACTGAAATGCTAGGAGCCTTCCCCTTAAAGTCAGGTATAAGACAAGGGTGGCCACTATCACCCCTATTTTTTAATGCTTTTCTGGAAATTCTAAGTTGGTGTAAAAATACACAGAAAAAAGATAAGAATATTAGAAAGGAGATACGGGTGGTAATTATTTGCAGATGTTTTAGCTATTCATCCGAAAAATCCAACAGGGTCAACTGACAAACTATTAGAATGAAAAGGAGAAGTCAGTGAGTTTGCTGTTTTTAACAAATCTATACAATAAACAATCTCATGAAAATAGGCAAAGAACATAAACGGGTAGTTCTCAGAAAAAAGAAATAGAGATGGTTTTTAAACATATGGGAAGATGCTGAAAATCATTCTGATATTGTTTGATGTTTTCCTCTCCATATCTCATGTTGAAAGGTACCCCCAGCGTTGGAGGTGGGGCCAAGTGGGAGGTGTTTCAATCACGGGGCGGACCCCTCATGAATGGCTTAGTGCCAGCCATTGGTGATGAGGGATCTCTTGTTCTGTGAGTTCACCTGAGATTTGGTTGTTGGGTGCCGTGGCTCACGCCTGCAATCCCAGCACTTTGGGAGGCCAAGGCATGTGGGTCACTTGAGGTCAGGAGTTTGAGACCATCCTGGCCAACATGGTGAAACTCCATCTCTACTAAAAATACAAAAAATTAGCTGGGCGTGGTGGCACACGCCTATAGTCCCAGCTACTCGGGAGGCTGAGGCAGGAGAATCGCTTGAACCCGGGAGGCGGAGTTTGCAGTGAGCCGAGATTGGGCCACAGCACTCCAGCATGGGCGACAGCTCGAGATTCCATCTCAAACAAACAAACAAACAAACAAACAAACAAACAAACAAACCAAGAGCCTGGGGCCTCCCGCTTCTCTCCCTCTTTCTCCCACTCACATCACATGCTGCATTGCTTCCCCTTTCACCTTTCACCATGAGTGGAAGCTTCCTGAGGTCTTCACTAGAAGCAGACGCCAGCACTCTGCTTCCTGTAGAGCCTGCAGAACTGTGAGCCAATTCAACCTCTTGACTTTATAAATTACCTAGCCTCAGGTATTTCTCTAAAGCAATGCAAAAATGGACTAACGCATATTCACAGTAAGTGAAATCAAATGACAACTACACTAAGATACTACTTTTAACCAATCACACTTGCAAATATAGAGAAAGTCAATACCACACTGAGATGAAGGTGAGGGACTCTCTTGGATACAATCCTTTTGGAATGTAAATTGGTACAACCTCTATGGAGAGTTCTATCCAAATTACAAATGTCTGTACCCTTTGACTCATTAACCCATCAACTAAGAGTTTATCCTAGAGATATACTCACATGTGCATGAAGTGATATATTTACAAAGTTACCGCTGTTTTTGAAATAGCAAAAGATTAGAAACATTCTAAATGCCAGTCACCAGTGCAATGATTAAATAGATTATGGTATCCACACCAGATGGAGAATCTAGTTAAAAAACAAAAAAAGGAATCCTTAGCGGCTAATATGGGATGATCTCCAAGATACATTGCAAAATGAACAAAAGCAAGGCACAGAAGAACTATTACTTGTTATAGTTATAATGAGAAGGATACGTGTGTATATGTGTGTGTGTGTCTGCTTCATGTGTATAAAGTGTCTTTTTTTTTTTTTTTTTTTTTTAATTTTGAGACAGAGCTTCGCTCGCCCTTGTAGCCCAGGCTGGTGAGATCTTGGCTCACTGCAACCTCTACCTCCCAGTTCAAGCAATTCTCCTGCCTCAGCCTCCTGAGTAGCTGGGATTACAGGTGCATGCCACCGTGCCTGGCTAATTTTCGTATTTTTAGTAGAGATGTGCTTTCACCACATTGGCCAGATTGGTCTTGATCTCCTGACTTCAGGTGCTCTGCCAACCTCGGCCTCCAAAGTGTTGGGATTACAGGTGTGAGCCACTGGTCTGGCCTGTATAAAGTGTCTCTAAGGTAAGAAACTGATAGCATTGATTGTTTCCAGGAGTGAGAATATTGGTGGGAGGCTTTTTACTCTGTAACTTTTTTAAACTTTGAAAGTTTCAACTGTGTAAGTTTAATAACCTTTAAAAATTAAATTAAAACATGATAATACAAAACATAAAACGCTTTTTTCCCCAGATGGGGTCTCAGTAAGTTGCCCAGGCTGGCCCCGAACTCCTGGGCTTAAGCAACTCACCTGCCTGAGCCTCTGAGTAGCTGGGACTACAGGAGCACACCACCACACCCAGTGAATTTGTTCTTGTACTGCTGTAAAGAAATACCTGAAATTGGGTAATTTATGAAGAAAAGAGGTTTAATTGGCTCACAGTTCTGTGAACTGTACAGGCTTCTGCTTCTGGGGAGGCCTCAGGAAACTTACAATCGTGATGGAAGGCAAAGAGGAAGTAGGCACGTCTACATGGCAGGCACAGGAAAATAGAGAGAGGAGGGAGACACTACACACTTTTAAACAACTGGATCTTAAGAGGACTCTATCACAAAACAGCACTAGGGGGATGGTGCTAGTCCATTAGAAACCACCTTTCCAATCACCTCCCACCAGGCCCCACCTCCAACACCGGGGATTACAATTCAACATGAGATTTGGGTGGGGACACAGATCCAAGCCATATCGCCTGGCAAATCTTTTTTTTTTCTTCTTTTTTTTTAGACAGGGTCTCATTTTGGAGCCCAGACTGGAGTGCAGTGCTGCGACCTCTGCCTCCTGGACTCAAGCAATCCTCCCCCTTCAGCCTCCTGAGTAGCTGGGACTACAAGTGTGTGACACCATGCCTGGCTAATTTTTTTTTTTTTTTTTTTTTTGGATTTTTAGTAGAGACGGAGTTTCACAATGTTGTTCAGGCTGGTCTCGAACTCCCGGGCTCAAGCGATCTGCCCACCTTGACCTCTCACACTGCTGGAAGTACGGGCAAGAGCCACCCTGGCAAATCTTTTTGATAGACTATTATACACACTAACCCATTAAGGAATATATTATTGGAATAAGATCCTATTCACAAGAGTCAAAAAGATAAAATAAAATACCAAGGTATAAATTTAACAAGAAATGTACAAGACCTGAAAACTACAAGATATATGAAGATACATAATAGTGTCTATCTAGGTTGTTCATTACCTTTGACCCAATGATTTTACTTCTAGGCATTTACACTAAAGAAATAGCATAGATGAGAGTAAGGGTTAACTTATAAAAATGCCTATCCCAACCTTATTTATAAAGATAATACATTGGAAACCAACTAAGTATACAATAATAGGACTGAAACATTTGACTAAATTATGCTATCTACATGTGTATAGGACACAAACTTGTGTGCTTTGTCAGATGCCCCAGACGGCCTCTGTCTCACTGTCATTTGAGCTCTGTGTCCCACCTGCACACAGTTGCCGTCTATTACTGAACTTAGATAAAATACCACAAGTCAGGGCTTCTGTGCAAACCCAAAGGACTGGACCACACAACCCAGTCCTATGGGACAGTTAGCTCCTGTAGGGCAGGGAAGTTTCCAAACCTTCCTAGGGTTCCATGCTAGGGCTGAAAGTAAAACTGACAAAGACAGCTTAACAGCAGAAATGAATCCAAATCATTAAATGAAAGTTTTATGTGACATGGGAGCCTTCCCAAGGAAATGAAGTCCCAAAAGCCTGGAGAAAACTATGGATTTTGATGCGAAGTCTGATGAAAGAAGTGGATAGTTGTGGAGAAACATGACTGTACACAAAAGGGGTAACAAACTGGGTGAGTTTTGTGGGGGAACCCAGAAAGCCCTGTTTGTTAGGATTCTTTTCTCTGTCTCTGTAAGACTTTCCTTCCCTTCTACACATAGGGTAGGACACCTGTCCCATGAGGGCTTTCAGGGGAAAGAGAGATCAGAGTGACCTTCCCATATTTTATGGCTAGCTTTGGGGTAGAGGAGTTCTAGTTTCTTTGATCCACCTTGGGGGAGAGGATTTTTGTTTTCTATGACAGGCCTTGGGGGAGAAAGGGGAGAAGGTTGAAGAGACCTTGCTTCTGAGGCCTCCCCAAGCTTCCTCAGCTCAAAGTACTCAGCACACCAACGTGCCATACTTTGGGGTATTGTCTTCTAAGCCCAAGACACTCCCTCTGGGGGTGACTCTTGACCTGCTGGAAGTGGGAGGCAGGAGGGAATTGGGCAGGTACATCCTCTCCACTTTCTCCCTCTGGGAACTCGTCCATGGTATAGCTCCTCCTCGCAGCCCCTCGGGACACACCTTAAGCCAGGGGATGACTGACCTGCTATGTCTTTGTGCAGTTTGTCATGAGATCTCAGTCAACACAGTGACTCATCACACAGCATTTGTGTTTTTCCTGGTGTTTTTCTTTCCATTCTTCTCAAGGTCTCTTCCCGGAGCTTGCACCTCCCTAAGAAAGTATCAGCAGGTTAATCCTTGCCTAAGGCTGGATTTTCTAAGGGACCCATGTTGAGACATTCATCTGAGCTATTGTTTAAAATGATGTTGAAGACTATCTATGACATGAAGAAACATTTGTATTGGGTCCATGAAACAGCAGATGTTCAAAATGTTAATATGTGTAGTAGTCCTCTCAGGCTGCTGTAACAAAATACTACAGGATGGATGAACTACGTGACAGAAATGTATTTTCTCACATTTCTGCCCTTTGGAAGTCACAGTTGGTTTCTGGTGAGGTCTCTCCCCTTGGCTTGTAGACAGCTATCTTCTTGCTGCTGCATTCTTACAGAGGCTTTCCTCTGCACATGAGAGGAGGAGGAGAGAGAGAGAAATCTCTGGTGTCTCTGCCTCTTTTTACAAGTACACTATTCCATTGGATTAGGGCCCCACACTTATGATGTCATTTAACCTTAATTAGCTCCCTAAAGCTTCTATCTCCAAATACAGTCACCTTGGTGGTAAGGGCGTCAACAGATGAACTGGAGGTAGAAGATGCATTTCAGATCAATGTTTTCATCCTTGTAAAAAACATAAAGAAAAACTTTGGAAGGAAAATACCAACATATTAATGGCTGTTAAAATTAGGGGTAGGATTACGAGGATTATTTTTATACTCTTATTTCTGAATTATCTACATTTATTAAAAACCCATTTGTATCAGTGATCTGTTGCTGCATTACAAGCCACCCCAAAACTTAGTGCGTTCAAACAACATCCATTTTATTTGTGGACAGTTTTGTGTGTCAGCAGCTTTGGCTGGGCTCTGCTGGGCAGTGATTCTGCTGGTCTTGCCTGGAGTCTTTCAGGTGGCCCTAGTCTGGTAGCTGTCCTGGGGCTGTTGGGTCCAAGATAGACTCATAACATGGCAGGCATGCCTCTCTCTCGAGGTGGTCTTTCATGTCCACAGTGCCAGGTGGGACCTTTTTTGCATAGTGGCAGCAGCTCGAAGAGGACAGGAGTGGAAGATTTGATGTCTCTGAGGCCTGCTCTAAGCTCCCACAGTGTCACTCCCTCCACAACCTGTTGTTCAAAGCAAGTCACAGGCCTGACAGATTTGGGGGTGGTGGGGAGAGATATCTTTTCTGCCTCTCTGGGTGGGAGAAGCGGTAAAGTCACAGGATGAAAAGGCTGGAGTACACGGATGGGAAGAATGATCAGACTCTTTGCAAATGATCTACCATACTGTTTCAAAGAATTTTTTAGTTTCTTCCAGGCTATGTATCTATATTGAGGCAATAATAATGGCTAACACTTATATAATTATTTTGTTCCAGACTCAAGATTCTATTTGGACTTGAAGGAAAACATTTTAAAAGTATTACATAAGTCCTACAGCTGATATTTTTAACCAAAATAGATGGGCTTTTTGCTAGAGTCTGAGTGTGTCCTCTACAATTTACATGCTGAAATTCAATTGCCAGTATGATAGTATTGAGAAGTTCTGCCTTTAGGAGGTGATTAAGTCATGAAGACTTTGCCCTCATGAATGAGATTAATACCTTACAAAAGAGGATCCATGCAGCATTCAAAACAAAAAGAACCTTTTGTTCTTCCACCCTTTCTGCTATGCAAAAACACAGCGTTCATTCCCTCTGGAGGAGGACACAGCAAGAGGCACCATCTTGAAAACACAGACCATGCCCTTACCAGACATTGAACTTGCAGGCACCTTAATTTTGGACTTCCAGCCTCCAGAACTGTGAGAAATAAATTTCTGTTGCTTTTAAGTTACCCAGTCTCGGGGATTTTGTTATGGCAGCACAAATGAACTAAGACAGCCTTCCTCTCCACCCGTTCAAATTAGTGAAATTTACAACATATGTATCAGGGAAAGTAAACTTCAATTTAGTTCCTGGCTGCTGGACAGATTGTCAGATTTGTGCTAGTGATTAGAAGAATAAATTTCCCACAATTCTGCAATTAAAATCCTACCAGTTTTCCATTTCTGATTGTGTGGTAGGATAGGACCATCTCCTAGTTTCTTAATATTATTAGATTAGCAAGAAGATGTCTAACATGACTCAGTGTTGTTCTTGAGAAATAATTAGCTACCTAAGTGGAATAGATCTCCATGGAATACAACTATATCTCTTTTATAACATTTAAATTTGGAGGCTTAATTATCTAGTGAAAAATTGTCACTTTAGCACTTTAGTCCATTTGGCTATATATTGACATTATTAAAATGCTTTCCTGGTCTTTATGCAAATTGCTTTTTTAAAAAAACCAATTTATCTCCTAGCAACCCAAAGTGAAATAAGTGCTGAAAAATACCACTTCAAGAAGACTTTGAGCTCTTAATCCATGTAAATTCCCGAGGTTTATTTATTGATTGTCTGAATGAACAAATGATGAATTGGTGCCTTTAGGTGTATGCCGCTGAATCACTCTCAACTAAACTTTTAAGCAGCTAAGTAAGCAGTCAAGTTCACTCAAATAAATGATAAAATCCAGTGCACTTGGCCACCACTTTGGATCTGTAGGCACGCACGCAGCAGAATGGAAGAACCAAACTTAAAGTTAGGTATGTGCATTTATTTGAAAGACATGACCATGCTCTTGAGACTGGGGAAGTTATCTGTTTTTAGGGATGCACCCTGGCCCTGTGGAGCTGGCAGCCACCTCACCTTCCAGAGCCTGAACTTCCTCCTCTGTGAAATGTGCAGAAAATTTGTGGTCTAGAATTTGAGGTTAAGAAGATACAGTTAAATTATGGGAGTGAAAGTGCTTTACAGCTAGACATCACTGAAGTGAAACTCATGATTCTTCTTAGGGATGATGCATCAGTTAGGATACAGGCTGCCAGCCCTCCCTGAGGGCACCACTCCACCCCACCCCTGCGGGATGCTGCTGGCCATCTCTCTGAGCATGTTCCTTGGCTTTCTCACTCCCTTGGCCTTGCCATGGGAAGGCACTCAGATTCGCTTCCTCCAGCTGGCTGAGTAGGGAAAACCACCCCATCCCTGAGGTCTGGTGAGAGCCCCTGCTTACCCCCTAAGACCATGCGTCACTGTGGCCTTGTATGAGTGGAGCTCAGCCTCCTCCTCTCACTGCTGCCTCTGTGGCTGAAGCCAAACTCTGCTCAATGCAGGCTTCTTTGGGTGGGAGGACAGACAGTTACTTACCCTCTACAGGGATATGCCCAGTTCATGGCATCTGGGCCTCAATTATTTCCATGGGTTGGGAGGTGTGAGCTCAGATAAGGTTGAGAGACCACCACCCTACATCCCCCAGTGACCACTTCTCTCAAAATCCCAGGGTTGAGTGACTTACCCACCTTCTCTGTTTCATGATTCTTTGTTTGAGAATGACAGGATTTAATTCAATTACTCAACCTTAGGGGGGAAAAAGGCAGAGACTGAACTGGCTTTAGGGATAATCCACAGACAGGCCATTCCTGATTAGTTTGGGTTCCCTAAAAGCTGACTCTGAGAGAAGTAGGTGAGTGCAGGTAGTTTACTTAAAAGGTGTTTCCAGAAAGTCCTTGTAAGGACCTGGGGGAAAAGTGGGACAGGAAATTGAGAATACCCAGGAGGATATGCCCGAGTGGGGAGTTACCCAGGAGGATGTGCCCGAGGGGCGAGTTACGCAGGAGGATGCGCCTGGGAGGATGAATTACCCAGGAAGATGTGCCTGAGTGGTGAGTTATGCTAGGGGCAACAGGGCCTTTCTGGTAGGGACCCTCTGAGAAGCCATCGCATCAGCATCAGCATCTTCTCGGTACTAGAATGGGAGGCTGGGGGTGTTTGTCAATCAACTCCCGTCCCCGACTGAGGGTTGCCCCTGGGAACCTAATCTCCCTGTTTAGGGTGTGCCTGGTTGCATCAGAGACAGAACAAGGTGGAGAAAGGCCTCAGGAAGAGGGGAAACATGTGGGGACTTGAGATGGGAGGGAAGCTGTCCCTAGGCTGCTGCTGCTAGAGAACTCAGGTGGGCCGGGGCTATGGAGTGGGCACCAACACCTTCTACTCTGAGCACAAATGTCCTTGGGACTCCTTTGTCTGTGTCTGCTGGTTTTTTCACTCTCTCTGACAGCAAGTGGGCTTTCTTCAGGTTGCTCCATCTCAGGCCACTCTGGGTTGAGGTCCTTAGAGATTATAGAGGACTCTTCCCTTCCAGCTCCAGGCAGGAAAGTCCCAGGAAAGGACTCTGATGGGCCTGGTTGTGTCATGTGACCATCCCTATGCCAATCATGGTAGTCAGGGTGATGGAAGATTATGATTGGGCCGGGATGGGTCATTTCCCTACCCCTGGTCAGAGGGATGGGGCCTGTAACTGGAAGCGGGAGGCTGAGGTCAGTAGAAGCTTGCACCCTTTCTGGTCATTGGACTTTGACCAGGACCAGCCAGCCCACCTAGCGGGCTTCAGTAATGTGGGCCCTTGGTGACAAGGGTTGGGGTCTGATCCCTTCCATCTCAGAAGCTTCTGGGACCTAAGTTTATGTTTTCTCTTTTCTTCCCTCCAGCAGTCTTCAAGCTCAAAAGTTTCTTTCCTCCCCTTTACCCCTCCAGGCACTGGGACAGGCAGGAAGCCACTTAAATCTCATAGCCCTGTCTAGCTGGTGTATTTTATGGTATTCTGGGAAAACTCTCCTCTTCCATTTATCAGGCATGAATAAAGTTGGAGAAAACCTTTTGACAAAGGGTACTACCACAAAAGAGCAAATGGAAAGTTTTTAAATATTTTTCACACCTTAGGGCACTTGACATTTTAGTTAGAGTCACGCTTTTGCTTTCCTGTACTAGAAATAAGACTTTCACTTGCCTGACTTTAATGAGTGTTAAAGGGATCCTTTCATGGTTTAAAGACAAGTCCAATGTGCAAGAAACTAGTGGTAAAAACCAAGCAGCCATTGGTTGGAGAGAAGCTGACACTCCAAAATATCCTCCTCCATGTCTAATAATACAGACCATGCCTTTTCAGAGCTGCATGTTCATTTATTCTTTTATTCAACTAATATTTATTAAGTACCCAACAGGTACTTTCTAAATCATGTTGACCAACATCTAACAACATTCTTGTTTTCAAGAAGCTTACTTCAAACTGGGGAGACTGTATTAGTCCATTCTCACATTGTGCTAAAGTACTACCTGAGACTAGGTAATTTATAAAGAAGGGAGGTTTAATTTCCTCACAGTTCCACAGGCTGTACAGGAAGCATGGCTGGGGAGGCCTCAGGAAACTTACAATCATGGTGGAATGTCAAGGGGAAGCAGGCATGTCTTACATGGCCAGAGAAGGAGGAAGAGAACAAAAGGGAAGGCGCCACACACTTTTAAACAACCAGGTCTCACGAGAATTCACTCACTATCATGAGAAAAGCAAGGAGGAAATCCACCCCCATGATCCAATCACCTCCCATCATGACCCTCCTCGAACAATGGAAATTACAATTCAACATGAAATTTGGGCAGGGACACAAATCCAAACCAAATCAGAGCAAGAAGATGGGCTTGAAGGAATGAGAAAGCAAGTGACATGATTTGACTGTGTCCCCACCCAAAATCTCATCTTGAATTGTAATCCAAATTGTAATCCCCACGTGTTGGGTGAGGGGCTTCATGGGAGGTGATTAGACCATGGAGGCAGTTCCCCCATGCTGTTCTCATGATAGTGAGTGAATTCTCATGAGACCTGGTGGTTTTATAAGGGGCTTTGCCCCCCTTCCCACTGCATTTTTCCTTCCTGCTGCCTTGTGAAGAAGGACGTGTTTGCTTCCTCTTTCACCATGATTGTAAGTTTCCTGAGGCCTTCTCAGCCATAAGGAACAGTGAATCAAGCCTCTTTTCTTTATAAAGTACCCAGTCTCAGGCAGTTTTTTATAGCAGCATGAGAACGGACTAATACGGCAAGCTTCTTTCCAAGAATGAGTGTGCCAGAAATGAAGTAAAGCAGAAGTTATTCAGGGAAGCCTCACCAAGGAAGGCATTTTTGAGTCAATATCTGACTAATCAGGAGTCCTTTCTGTAACGAGTTGGGGAGGAGACAGATAGAGGCATGAGCATGTGCCAAGGCCCTGAGGCAGGAACGAGTTTGGGGGCTTCAAGAACTAGGAAGGAGGCATGGGCGACCAGGGCACAGCATGTGGGGAAAGGTAGAGGTGGGTCGGAAAGGGAGTCCATCAGCAGGGCTGCAAATGAGGGTTTTGGTGTCAGGGCAACAAGAAGCCATTGAGGGCTGTGAGCAGGGGATTGGCACAGGTGGGTTTGGTTTTTGAGAGGTTGCTCTCACTCCTGTGGGGATAATGGCTGAAGGGACCACAGTAGTCTAGGCATGAGATGGGGTGGTCTGGCCATGGGTGTAGCAGAGGAGATTCTAGAGGTAGAGCCACAGAATGTTTATAGACCGGACAGACAGGATGGAAAATGAGAGGAGGAGGGACGACAAGGTACCCCACCTTCCCTTGGCTCTGTTCTTCAGGGACAGCAGAGCCCGTTTAAAGCTGGGTAAGCCCATAGCCAAATGAACTCTTTTCTGAGTCATTGAAAATACCTGGGTCCTGTCCATGTTATCTTGGGAAAAAAGAAAATTCAAGTCAAAGAATGACTGAAAATTCAGTTCTGTTAACTGACGACAATTTAATTCCAGTTGAAATGTCATTCCTGTGCCAGCAAACAAGCTCTACTCAATCACTATCCTTGTGTGACCCAGGGATTTATTTTCATCATCCATAGTAGTCAAGTTGAGCTAAACCAGAATTTCATTTTGACGTGAATTTCAATTAAGCAGCTCAAGCCTGTGGGTTTGGATCCACGTATTATCAGCAGCTCTCAGAACAGCATCTTCTCCTCACCTGAAGCAGAAAGTGCTTTTAGAAAACCCTGTTATCGCCCACATCCCACAGTAAATCCATAGGTTCTCTGGGAAATTACTGTTTTCCCTGCAGTGGGCTGTGGCAGGAGAGCACCACCCTCCACTAGCATTCAAGGCTGTCCAGTGGACTCAGTTATTTAAAAAATGGGGAAAAATAAATTTAGTGATTAATGACTATAATGCTGATAAATATAGCCATTTCAAGGCATGCTCTCATAGAATATGACATTTGTTTATTTCAGCAGCCCTGTGAGAGTCACCAAGACCTGCCCTTTTTAATCTTTCTTTCTCCTCTCTTTGCTCACATTCCCCCGGAAACCAAAAAAAGTCAGTACTCCTTCCAGTTATTTGTGCAGTCTACAAACTTTTTCTGCCAAAGAGCTGAGTAGGAAAGGAAGTGGATTGTGCAGGGAACAGAGTCAAAGGAAATAACATGAGAAAATCCTTCTGTTATAATTTTAAGTAAAAAGAGCAGGATGCAAAATTGTCTATACAATATGGCAGGACTATATTAAACACGTACACGTGCCTGGAGAAAAAAGACTTGGAGGAAATACTCTATCGTGTTAATTACAGTTGTTTGGAGATGACAGGATTATGGGTGATGTTTTCACTCCACATTTTAAATTATTTTTTATGATTTAAAATAATGAATACTTATATTCAATTTTTTTGTGTGTGTTCTTTTCTTTGAGACACAGTCTCACTCTGTACCCCAGGCTGGAGTGCACTGGTGCAATCTCAGCTCAATGCAACCTCTGCCTCCCAGGCTAAAGTGATGCTCCCACCTCAAGCCTTCTGAGCAGCTGGGATTACAGGCGTGCGCCAACATGCCTGGCTAATTTTTTGTATTTTTAGTAGAGACAGGGTTTCGCCATGTTTCCCAGGCTGGTCTCCAACTCCTGGGCTCAAGCAATCCTCCTGCCTCCACCACCCAAAGTGCTGGAATTACAGGCATAAGCCACTGCACCCAGCCTGATATTTACTGTTTTGTCCATGCAGAAGAGCACCTGAGACCTCCTGGAAAACTTCCTTCCTGGTTTCAACCCTGTGCTTCTGCTGAGGGCTGCCCCTCATTGTACCCCATCCTTCCAGTCAGAGAGATAGACCCAACTGAGCCAGTAATGATATCCCATTCCCTTGCCCCAGTTCATGGATGGGCCTAGGGCTCAGGCTAAGTCTCACTAAATCCTTCTCTGGGGTGTTTTTAAAGCTTGGGCAGGGAGAATAAGGCCCCCTTTCCTCTCTGATTGCTGAACTACAAGGATTTAAGCACACAACTACTCATGGTTCTACATCTTCCCTCTTCCTCACAGGAAAGAATGACAGCAACGGACCCACAGGGAGAACCAGACAAGAGACAAGAGTTCTATGAGCCGGTGAGGACCCAGTCCATTCCTCATCCAGGCCTGAGAACTAATGCACCCCTCCTTGCAGTGTGAGCTCTTTGGGAGCAAGTTTCTGTCACCCATTCCCCAGAGTCCTGACTAATAGAATGTGTATTAGTTGGGAAGAAAAGGACCTTTTGTCTTAGCCTAGCTAGTTAGTAACCACCAGGATTTATTCAGCATTCTTGGAAAAATAAATTTCCAGCTATGGAGAAATCCTCTTATTCTGCTTGCCTGTGTGGGCGCAGGTATTAATAGGGCTATCTCCCTGGCAGGAAGAATGATCTGTCTAATGGTCTTTTTTGTCTGCCCTCTTAAGCCAGTGAGATGATGTTTGTCCTGTTGTTTCACTCTCAGAGTAAATGTATAAACCCTAAAAATCAGATAGGACCACTCTGCCCCTGACAGAGCATCTTTTGGAGTTGTATGAGAGCATCTCAAAAGGAGTACCTTCATCAGTAATCCCAAAGGGTAACTTCCCCGATGGATGTGAAGTTTACTCAACGTCGTGCAAACAGAAACTGTCCGGTGTAGACACTGTGAGTCCTCTACAGAAAAACACACAGCTTTTTACACATGCAGGGCCCATCCCATGCAGCAAGAGCACGTCTGAACTGTGCATTGTCCTGACTGTCCTTCAGGCAGAGCCATCCAGGAGTTAGGGGAGCAGGAAGGACCCAGAGGGACTCAAGAACTGGGAACACTGGTGTGGCTGGCCCAGGGAGGAGGTGGGCAGGCCCCGGCTCCATGAAAGATGGGTGTGCCATGGCTCCTTCACAGTTACCACGTGGAGGTACTCACGTGTTCATCCAAGACTCAGGGACTGTCTCAGCATTATGGCTCTGAAAGATAGGTCCAGGCTGGGGCTGGAGCTACAGAGAGCAGGAGTTGCTCATGTTGAAGGCTGTGCTGCAGGGCTGGCTCTGATGTAGCAGTGGATTAACAGGTTAAGGCAGGAAAATTGAGGCACCAGTCAGTCCATTCATTCACCCATCCATTTATCCATCTAGCCACCCACAAAAATATTCTGAGCATCATAAGCCAGGCACCATGTCAGGCACTGGCGGTACAACACCAGATTAGACGGGTAGCCCCTGACCTCAAGGAACTTGCATCTGGTCACGAACAAAGATGAGGAAGTGGCAAGTGTGCAATAGGAAAATGGAGTCTCTAGTGGGCTGCCGCCCATTGAAGGAGTTAGGTGGGAATGGCTCTGAGCCAAGTCCTGTTGGGGAGTAGGAGGTAGGGGAGGAGATGGCAAAGGCAGTGAGAGGTGGGGGAAGCAGGAAAGGCAGGCTTGGTTGAGGAAACAGCATGTTCAAAGGCCTAGAGGCAAGACGTGGAAGAAAGGGGTTTCAGGCTGTCTGGGGCATAGATTGTGGGCGGAGGAGTCTTGAAAGATGAGGGAATGGGTTGGGGAGGTGGGGAGGCCCCATGTTTAAAGATTTATAAGCTAGGTTTAAGAGGATTTTGTTTTGTTTTGTTTTTGTTTTTTTACACAAGATCTCACTCAGTTGCCCAGGCTGGAGTGCGGTGGTGCCATCAGAGCTTACTGCAGCCTCAAACTTCTGAGCTCAACCAATCCTCCCACATAGTTAGGACTACAAGCATGCACCACCTTGCCTGGCTAATTTTTTTAAAAAGTTTTGAGATGAGATCTCACTGTGTTGCCCAGGGTGGTCTTGAACTTCTGAGCTCAAGCAATCCTCTTGCCTCCACCTCCCAAAGCGCTGGGATTTCAGGCGGGAACCACAGTGCTTGGCCTGAGTGTGGTCTTTCTGGTGAGAGCAGTGGAGTGACATGAAAGGTTTTTCAGCAGAGAATTGTCAGGTCTGGGTTTAAGAACAACCCTGGCTGCTACATACAAAACGAAATGGAGGAGGGGAGACTGCAGGGTGGGAGAAGCTTGCCTGTCCCCGCTCCTTCCTTTCAGCCCACCATCACCTTCGCCCCTATCCAATTCTAGAGCCGAGTTCTCCGTGTGGGAGAAGTCCTCCCTACAGAGAAGCAGAGGTCATAACGGTGCTGTTCCCTGTTCTGTGTCCCCAGCTGGGCACTACGCCTGGCACTAGGAGGTGGGCAATAAACATCCGTTCCCCGATGAACGGCCACCCGAATCAATCTGTAGGAATCCATGTTCTGCCTTAAATCTCAGCATTGTCCATTTCTAGCTATGGGGCCTTGGTCTCGCTACCAAGTCCTTCCATGTCTCCGTTTCCTCACCTGTACAATGGTGGGAATTATTTTACTTACCTCATACTTTTGTTGGGAGGATTGAATTACATAAAACACATGAGGCCCATGCCCGGCACCTGATAAATGTTAATATTCTTGGGCTGTGGAGGTTCCCTTGCCAGGTGACGGAAGTGGAAACCCCCTCCTCTCAGTCAGGGCCAGCACAGCCAGGGTTGGGAAGGTGTGGGAGGTGGAATAATGGCCCCTTGAAGATGTCACAACCTAGTCCCTAGAGCCTGTGAATATGCTATGACACAGGACAATGAAGGTTGCAGTTGGAATTACGGTTGCCAACCATTCCCTCAGATGGGGAGAGTTTCCTGGATCATCCAGGTGCTCCCAAAGTCATCACAGGGGTCCCCGTGAGTAGAAGACGGAAGCAGGAAAGAGTCACCATCAGGTGACATGGGAATGACTCAACCTGCCATTGCTGGTTTTGAAGATCCAGGGAGGGGCCACTGCCAAGGAATGAAGCAGTTTCTAGAAGCCTGAAAAGCCAAGAGCACAGATTCACCCTCGAGGCCCCAGAAGGAAGCAGTCCTGCCAACACCTTGACCCTCGCTCAGGGAGACCCGGTTTGGACTTCCACCCTCTGGAACTGTGAGATGATACATTTGTGTTGTTTTAAGCCACTAAGTCTGTGGGAATCTGTTATTGCAGTGACAGGAAATCAATAAGAAGAGAAGGCCCCAAATCCGTAGATGTGGGGAGCCAGGGCAACACGCCAAGGCTGAACGGGGGCTGCAGGGCCCACCTTGGGGAAACTTGGGGGAGCTACTCCTCCCTCACGGCAGCCATGGCATTAGGGGGAGCTGTCAGTCACTGGGCTTGGAGAACACAGCTGCACTTCTGGAGGTACGCATGGGGTCCCTGGGTTTACTGAACCGAGGTTGGGGAGAGAGGGAGGCCCTCTTGGGTGGCACAAGTGGTCCACATGGGAGGTAGGTGGTGGTGGTGGCCATACTCCCAACAACATCCTGCTACAACAGGGCATCTGGCAGGAGCCATCAGCAGCCAGGAGGGCAGCAGAGGGGTCGGGACAGGTGCTGAGCAGCCCCTCAGCAGCCCCAGCCCCTGGGGGTCTGCAGGGAAGTACAATGCTCGGTGCCCCCCTAACCCCCACTTCCTCCCAGCTGCTGAGTTAAAAAACAAAGGGTGAAGAGAAATGAAAGTGTTGCTAAAGTTCCAGGAGCGACAGTGGATGAGCCTGGGGTGAAATGTCTGTCTCTGGGTACAAGAAGGTCAACTCCTGACATTGGTGGGGCCCAGCACATGAGTGCATGCTAAAAACAAATGTGTTAAATATGGTAAAAATATGTTTGTAGTTTGTACATGACAGAAAGTTGGCAAAATTTCAAAGAAAACTAAATTTAATTATTATTGTGTATGTTTAAGCATTTTACTGATGGCTCGGTGATGGATTGGTAATAAAATTGGGATGCATAACTCATAAATTATATACTTATTCCATAAAATTTATATTTCTCATTTTTATTTCAGTAAAATCACTAATTATCTTGTTATAATAAAGATTTCCATATAATTTACATGTCACATGGAATAATGCCAAATTAGACAACATTTCTTGAGTTATCATAGTTCTTAGTTTTTTATTAACTTCAAATTGAAGCAGTAGCTGCTGAAGTCATCAATAAACTTCTTCCAGTAATACTTAGATGCCAAAATAGACCATGAATTTTACATATCATGTATGTAATATGATAAATTATTGCAGAAAATGTTATAAATTATTATAATTTTGTCATATATACAATAACCATGTATTTAGCAATTTTAGCCATCTCTTAAAGCAGTGTCTAGATTGATTTAATATTTCTCAATTTCTTCTTTCAAATTTTTCAATGCTGGGATATTATGAAGAAAGCTGAAAATGTCAGTAAATTGCTCAATTTTTTCATATCCCTACTCAACTAAGACTCTTCTCTGATCCACAGTACCCCCAAAATATTATCTAAGGAAAATTCATTTGGGAATTATTTTTATGTAGCTCTTCTTCCCAGTGACACAATTATTTTTGTTTCCTTGTTCTAATTTCTTTACATTTTATTGGAATGTCACACATTTTACGTGTATTTTCTTTTGATTTAGAAAACTCTTCCTTTAAGATTTCAAAAAATTCGTTTTAATATTTAAAAGATGAGGTAGCCACACTTAAATTATTTTTTCTTTTGAAAGCTTCTGATAATATAATTGAGAGCAAGCAACAATGTATACCAAAAGATTATGGATAGTGCAAATTCAAAGTAAATTTAATTTTCTATTCATGCACTTTTTTTGTAGATCTTCTGTTACTTTGCCTAACTCTTCTCCTGTCTTGTTTAAATGAAATCTAATTCCTTGAACAGCATTTAGTTGGCATTCCCACCATATGCTGAGAGAGCTTGTAAGGTCAAACTGGATATATGTTTCACGAAGATGTTCCCTCTTTGGGTGGGTCCAG
Organism: Homo sapiens; assembly: GCF_000001405.40. Classification (NCBI taxonomy): domain Eukaryota; kingdom Metazoa; phylum Chordata; class Mammalia; order Primates; family Hominidae; genus Homo; species Homo sapiens. The sequence continues at coordinate 125,572,106 of NC_000010.11, read as the reverse complement.
AAACTACCCTTCAGACTTGCTTAATTGTTCTGAAAGTTGCATTACCACAGGTCAAGTTGAGACCACGTGTCCTAGCAACAGATTTATACTATGGGCTTTACAGTGGATGCTGCTGAATTTTCGGCCAAAATTCTGACCTATACACCTTTTCCTTTACCAAGTATGTTCCTGCCATTTTCATAGACTTAGCTTCACAATCTTTTAACTTAATTCCTAAAATTGTAAGTTATCTTTCCAGTTCCTCATTTAAATCAAAACCTGTACTTCTAGGTGTGGAGACAATGTAATTAATATGTTCTTGTTTCATTCTTCAACAATACATATCACATATGTTAGTTGTTCAACATGATCTTTGTCCCTGTTACCATCATCTAATTGCATTGAGTAATATTTACCTACTTTTGTGTGTTACGTATGATTTATTCTCTCACTCTATTACCTACTAAATTAGTAATCTCATTTTGAATTATTCATCCTAGATAGTGATTGTTTTATTACTTTTATTCATATTACATTTTTGGCCCTTCTAGCATAAAAATTGGAGTTATTTCTATTAAACCTAGAATTCTTTTATTGCTTCTATGAATATGGTGCTTGTTAATACGTGAAAAGCATCATTTCTCTTGGTTACATATTGGACCCCTAATATTTTTTTTCAGAACATCACAACAATGTTCTAATCTGGTGTGCGCTTATCATTGTTGAATATTATTGGGGGTTTGGCCTATTTTTAAATGTCTAGTATTTGCATGCGTATTTTTTTATGGTGTGAATGACATTTTGTGTTATTTTAATTAAAAATCCAAATGTTTCTGGTCAAAAATAACTTATTTGGCTAAAACTCATCTGGAAAATTGGTGTGAATCACGTAACCCATATAATCAAAAAGTTCAAGTTTTCACTTTGAAATATGAAAAACTGTCTCTAGATATTCTTTTTCCATTTGAAAGAATGTTGGTCTAAAATGAAATACTAAGTTTCCTGCCATGCTCACCCAGTGAAACATCGTATTTGCTAATTTGAATCAGATTGTGTTTTGCTAGAAACATTCTCATGCTGTGAGGGGGATGAGTGCCATTTTTAGGATCGACCTTTAATGAGGGGTGCTCTGGAGACTTGCTCTTTCTCATCCAGGTTGCTGCCTTCAAGGCGGATATTTCTTCCCCTTCTAAAGGGCAAGCCGGAGTTGCACTCCTGAGTTGTGAATTGGTTATGAACAATCCTCTTTTTCATTCTCATTGCTCTGAGCACTAATTAAATCTTCATGTACTGAAGAATGTGAAGTTCCAGGGATTTCATCGACCTCTTGAAGTTGTGAATTTGATGAGAATCATTTTCTTGCTCATTTATCTTGTTTTGATTCATAATTAAAACTTTATTAAATGTAGCAGTTGTAATGTCTTACTAGCAAACTTTATGTGTCTCATGCTTTTGTATAAGACTTTTCACTTTTATTATTTCAGTTTTACAAAATTTAAGCAAACCATTTCTTTGAAGGTATTATAGGTTTTTTTTCTTTTTAGTTTTTTTCTTTTTGCGTTCTACTATTTTTATTCCTGTCATGATCTTGCCTTATATTTATTCTCGGTCATTTAAACACTAAAAATAGAATGTAATTGTCTTTTAAGAAAAAACAATTTAAATATATTTGTATTAAAAAGCAAACGTGAAAAAAATAAAATAAAATAAAAAGCAAATGTGACAAAAAAATTATCTTTATATTTTTAAATATTACTTTTAAGAGATGTTAAATTTTAAAATTAAATAAAAAATAGCATCATTAACAAATATAAAAATGAAACATTTTTAAGAAATAAAATTTTTAATTTAATTTTGAAAATTTAGCTCTATCTTATTGAATAGTTTACAATAACAGGATTACTTCCAATTCTAGTGTTCAATGGCCATCTAGTTGTGCATGTAGGAGTTGGTACCAGGCTTCATGCATGCCATAGCTAGATCCACATACATGCAAATTTAAGAGCAATATGAATTATTTAACTATTGAAAAATATTCTTCAGATATTAGATGCAACAGTTGCAAATTATGCACTAATTCTTCAGGACTTCTGGGCCACAAATTAGAATATGAAGAGACAGAAGAAAATAGACTCTCAGTACCACAGAGAAAAAATGCTTCTTTATGTGAGAATCCATTTTGTTTGCCTGATCTCAGAAGATGGAGTTGATAAGGTAATTAATTAGTGATTTATCTTACCTAAGCACTTCTACTGCTCAGGTCCTCCCTGATTTTGAAGCAGTGTCTGTTTTTGACACATGCAGGTACAACCCACAAACCTTTGTGGCATTCAGGCTCAGTTACTTTTTGTTTCAAGGAATAGGGCAAGAGATGTAGAGAAGTGTTTCCCTGGGACCTGAGCTATGTTAGTCACCTGAGTAAATGTTTAAGGTGGCAGGTGGCACTATGCCAGCATTACTTGTCAGATCCCATGGGACAGAGGCACCTGTGTATTTTTTTTTTTTTTTTTGAGACAGAGTCTTGCTCTGTCACGCAGGCTGGAGTGCAGTGGCATGATCTTAGCTCACTGCAATCTCTGCCTCCCAAGTTCAAGCAATTCTTCTGCCTCAGCCTCCCGAGTAGCTGGGACTACAGGCGCGCGCCACCACACCAGGCTATTTTTTGTATTTTTAGTAGAGATGGGGTTTCCCCATATTGGCCAGGTTGGTCTTGAACTCCTGACCTTGTGATTCGCCCACCTCGGCATCCCAAAGTGCTGGGATTACAGGTGTGAGCCACCGTGCCCGGCTCACCTGTGTATTTTTTTTTGAGATGGAGTCTCGCTCTGTCGCCCAGGCTGGAGTGCAGTGGTGCGGTCTCAGCTCACTGCAAGCTCCGCCTCCTGGGTTCATGCCATTCTCCTGCCTCAGCCTCCCGAGTAGCTGGGACTACAGGCGCACGCCAGCACACCTGGCTATTTTTTGTATTTTTAGTAGAGACGGGGTTTCACCGTGTTAGCCAGGATGGTCTCAATTTCCTGACCTTGTGATCCGCCCTCCTCAGCCTCCCAAAGTGCTGGGATTACAGGCGTGAGCCACAGCGCCCAGACCCTGTGTATTTTTCAAAACATTCATTGTGTGTATTTGTGATATGCAGAACCCTCAGAATTTCAGAACCTAGGACAGAGGTTCCTCTTGTTTGGAACTAAGGGTAGAACCAACGTTTAAATATTTTTGAATATTGTAAATGAAGAGATTTGGGAAACAAGGGTTTTAGTCCATCTACCCATCCATCCATTTATTCAAATACATTTTTTTTGAGTACTTCCTATGTACTAGGTACTATGCTAGGTGCTAGGGTCACAGACTGGGGGCATTGGGAACCCTTTTGTAGAAGAAAATAGAGAAAGCTATACTGGATGGGACAACATTATAGCTGGTCTTGAAGAGTCAGTGATCACCAGGGGAGAAGAGAGAGAAAAACAGACGAGAGGGAAGTCTGTGCAAAGGCACAGATTCATGAAAGGGTTTTAATGTCTAGGTTTGAACATGTCTGATGGGCCAAGTTTCAAGGAGCCTGGAACACACCATATGTCTAGAGAGGTGTGCTGGAGCCTAGTTTTGAGCAGTCTTGTTGCCATGTTAAGGAGTTTATAATTTATCCTATAGGCATTGAAACAAGAGAGTTCCTTGACCCCTTTGCAGGACTTGCAACAGGGGTGTGGCTCATTTGCTTGGCCCGCGGTGTGCTCAAACCCTTTTCTGGAGAGGGAGCATGCAGACAGGCAGGTGCAGGAGCCAGGGTGAGCACTTTTGGGCTCCGGCCCCATGGTAGCATCTAGAGTGTGTTACAATTAATGCCCTTAGCAGTTGCTGTTCACAAATGGCTAAGTGTTAAACCAGCTCAGTGGAGAGTCAGGGTGACAGCCTTTTATACCCTGCCTTCTTGGTACCCAGGTCTTTGCCCAGCGTCCAGGAAGAATGAGGTCACTCGGACTTGGAGGATGGTGAATGTGGGGATTTTATTGAGTAATGGAGGTGTCTCTCAGAGGGATGGATGGGGAGCTGGAAAGGAGATGGACTGGAAGATTATCTTCCCCCTGGAGTCCAGCTGTCCCTCGGCCAGTCTCCTCTCTGACCATCCCCAGCCGAACCCCTCCCAACATTCAGACGCACCTTCTCTTCTCTCCTTCTCTGCCTCACCGCCCTGCCGTTCTTCTACTCTTCTTTTTTTCTGCTCATGGAGCTTGGGGTTTATATGGACACACGATAGGGGTGTGGTGAGCCAGAGTGACCTTGGAGAAGGCAACATTTGGGCATGAAAACAGGAAAGCTTGTTCCCATTTAGGGCCGTGGGTTTCCAGGCTTGGGGGCGGGGCCTTTGCTGGGGAAACGCCCTTCTGCTTCCTGTCCGTATCAGCATGCATGTGATGTAATCATGTGCACAGTTTCAGGGAGGGAACCCTTTTCCTCTACTCTCTTAGGTTTTGTATTGAGGGCCTGAAAATTAAACTGAAAAAAAAAGACAACATAGCGAGAGAAAAAAACCCTCAGATTTAATTACATATGTATGTGTGGGAGTTCACAAAGAAGTGTGACCCAAGGAAGCAGTTAGAATTTGGGGCTTATGTATCATCTTAACAGGGGAAGGGACACCTCTGGGAGAAATGACTTCTTAGACGAAGGGGAGAAGGGTCACTTATGGAAAAACGATTGTCTTTTTGGAAAAATAAATATGGCCTTAGGAGAAAAGATAAGAGATATGATGGTTTTGTGAAGTTTGTTTGAGATGTAAACCAAAAATAAAATTCAAAGGCCTCCCAGCACCCCCCAGTTCAGGCCATGATGGGAACTGGGGGTCGAACATGCTTAACTATACCCCTCCAGCATTACCATCAATATGGACCTTAAGTCTGATAAGAAACATTTACAATCTAGTCTCTCTGAAGCCTGCTACCTGGAGGCTGCACAATAAAACCTTGATCTCCACCACCCTTTATCTTAACCCATACATTCCTTTCTACTGACAATAGCTTTTTCAACCAATTGCCAATCAGAATATATTTAAATCTACCTATGATCTGGAAGTGCCCTGCTCCCTTTGAGTTGTCCCACCCTTCCAGATCAAACCAATGCAAACCTTACATGTATTGATTGATGTCTCGTGTCTCCCTAACATGCATAAAAGCAAACTGTACCCCAACCATCTTGAGCATGTGTCTGCAGGACCTCCTGAGGCTGTGTCACGGGTGTGTCCTTACCCTTGGCAAAATAAAGTTACCAAATTGATTGATACGTGTCTCAGATACTTTTTGGTCCTCAGGGAGTAGGGATTAGAGTTGCTTCTGGGGAGGGAATTTATGACAATTTAGTTTTTTGGGTTTTGTGGAGGCTCTTCTTTTAGGTAGATAAGGGATTTTGGAAACTCAAATGCCTTCAGCTCAAAATAACTTTTATGCCACAGTGGCTTATTCTGGATCACTTCAATATGGAGATTGCTTTGAAATGGGAGAGAATAGAGAACAGAAGATCCCTCTGGAGACTGGATGAGTCTGGGCAAGAGCTATGAAGGTTAAAGTTTAATGTGCACACAGTACACCTGGGGACCTTATTAAAACATAGATTCTGATTTAGAAGTTCTGGGCCGGAGTCTGAAATTCTGCATTTCTACCAAGCTCCCAGGTGTTGCTGGTGCTGTGAGTCCCTGGACCACACTTTAAAAAGGAGGGCTTTGGCAGCAGCGGAGGGTAGAAAGGGGAGGAGACCAGTGAAGGTTCTTGACTTTGACTACACAATAGAATCACCTGGCCCGCATCCCGAGTGATGGCATCCGAATCTCTAGGGGTGGACACAGATATCAGTGTTTTGTAAAGCTCCCCAGGTGACTAAAACTGCCGGCAAGGTTGAGTGGCAGTGTCATAGAGCCAGTGTCAGCTGAATTTATTCCTCCATAAGCCACACCACTCCCACTCCTGTGTGTTAATTTCTCTGGCTTTTAAAGCCAAAGCTGATTCCTGGCAGAGTGTGCAGAATGGCTTCGGGGAACTGAAAGACAAACTGAAGACAAATGCTTAGTAGGATAGAAATGATGACCGTTTTATCTCTACCTTCTTTGTTGCTTTTAATTTTGCTGTCTTACTTGGAAATGGCCTTCATGTATCTCGTCTTTCATAGAGTCAGAAAGCACAAACAAAAATCTGCTGTTGTTTATCACAATTGAATAAACATCCTTAAACCTCGAGCTACTCCTGTGAGCCACAGAAGGCTGAGCCAGACAAAAACAAGAATGAAAAAAAAAAAAACAGTTTTCTTTTGTTTTAAGGAAGGTCAATTGCTTTTTCTAATTATAAAAATTATATGGGCTTATTGTAAAAAATTTCAAACATGATAGACAGATAAAACCTGGAAAGGGGCAGTTCCCCAGGATCTAGTTGTTTTATTTTAATTTCCATTTAGAAAAAAAAGAACTTCATGAAAAAGCAAGGTAATGAAGCTCAAACGCAATCAGAAGGGAAAACAACATTCTTGACAAGTTTCGATGGCATTAGCCTATTAGCTTTTTGACTTCCAAACTTTTGCAAATGTGGAACTGTTCTCATCTTCTCACCTGGAGTGATCAGTACTTAATGGTAGTGATTAACTCTCCAGCTCAGAAGGCAACTGGTTATTAAATAACAAACTCCTGCCACGTTATCCTTCTCCAAAAACAATGTGCTCACAAACCCCAGTGTTCTCCTTGCCGGAGCTGTGACATAGGCTTTGGGGCAAGTGGCACAAATGAATATCTCCCCAGGCACACACAAAATCTCTCCACCACTCCCGCTTACTTGAGGTTTAAGAATAAATGTTGCAACAGACAGCTTCCAGTGATTAAACTTGCTTTCTCTGGCAAAAACCCCACGAGTTTGTGCAATTGACGAAATGTTAAGTCATAAATCTGTTAATGGGATTAGGGAAATAAAATATAGATTATTTTTAAAACATTAAATTGGCACAATTATGAGACATCTGGGAAAAATATTAAAGTTCTGTGAATTCTTGAGCATGCCAGAGCCTGAAGGCCAAGGTAGCGGGCTCCATTCATCATCTTCGTGAGTAGAGTCTGTGCTGGACTAGGAGGTACTCGACTATGTGCAGCCTGTTTGTTTCACTAGCACTAAAGTGGGTATCCAATTTAAAAGGATTGAGGGCTGAGATGCAATGAGTGAAGGAGGGTGGGATGAGATAGCTGGTGGACGGACTTGGATGATAATTTAATAAGGAGAGGAAGATTTAACAGGGCGATGGTGAATGTCATCACAGACACATGTATATCAGGGGTCCCCAACCCCCAGGCCATGGACCAGTACAGGTCCTTGGCCTGTTAGGAACTGGCCACACAGCAGGAGGTGAGTGGTGGGTGAGCCAGCCACTCCATATTGCTGGCATTACCCACTGAGCTCTGCTTCCTGTCAGATCAGTGTGGCATTAGATTCTCATGGGAGCATGAACCCTATTGTGAACTGTGCACGTGAGGGATCTAGATTGCATGCTCCTTATGAGAATCTAATGCCTGATGATCTGTCACTGTCTCCCATCATCCCCCGATGGGACCATCTAGTTGCAGGCAAACAAGCTCAGGGCTCCCACTGATTCTACCTTATGGTGAGTTTTATGATTATCCAAAACCATCCCCCTCCCCAGCCTGTGGAAAAGTTGTCTTCCACGAAACTGGTCTCTAGTGAGTGCCAAAAAGGTTGGGGACTGCTGCTATACATGAAATATTTTCACCAAAATGCAATTTTCCCATTTTCTCACCTCGTTTTATTTACCCATGTAAGGTCAAAAGGAAAGTATTATCAGTTGAGGTATATTAAATTTAGTCCCTTTTAATCCTCAGTAACCCATCTCTGTACCCCCATTGTTTCCTCAGATGCAATTAATTCCATTCACCTTCGTGGTGTGTCCTGGGCACTGGCTGGCTGGTCATCAAGAGCTTTGCTCAGGAATAGCCCAGCTACAGTGACTAGATGAATTTTCAAGTTGAGTCCAGTTTCTCACAGTATATATCACTCTTGAAAGGAGAATTTTTTTCATTTTTGATTAATGATGTGGTTTTTCTTGGGGAGCTGATCTACTAATTCAGAATCTGCCAAAACCTTGCATTCCGGTAAATGGTTTTCACATTTCAGGGCTCTTTATTTACTGTTCAGTGTTCTGTTGGTGTTCTAGAATACAAAATGGTTCCCACTGAGCCATTTCTCATCTTTCTGAGCATTGCCTTACATTTGAAACATTGGCAAATCAATTCAAGCCACAATCCAGTTATGCTGATTTTGAAGAGAAGTTGGGATCAAGATCCAGAGTTTTTCCCTGAAGGGAAATGGGGAAGATTCATGTATTTTTAGATCCACTCTAATCAACCACAGTTGCCTAGATAATTCAGGTAGAAATGAGGTCTCTTTCCATTTAAGTGACTAGGTAGTTTAGGCTGTATATTACCTAGGTGTAAATTTCAGTGTACTCTGTAGACACTGATTGTAAATAACTCACATGTTAGTTATCAGGTACTAACTAAATACTTTGCAAAAATTCTTCCCATCAGGAGTCTTGATTTCTTGTTATTTGTGATAATAAAAAAGTAGCATGAAAGCTCTCCAAATATATTAAGTGAAAAATGCAAGTTGCAGAAGAAAGTATATAATATGGTACTATTTATGATAAAAGAAGAGAGGAGAGGAATATACGTTTGTATTGGCTTTAAACGCTTTAAGATGTCTGAAAGGAAAAGGTAATAAAAGCAAAAGACAAATCTAATAACGCTAGTCCCTGGCTGAGAGGGATAGGGAGTTGGCAGATAGGAGTTAGGAGTGGGAAGAAGGCTTTCCACTGGGTGCTTTTTGGGATTTTTCGATGCTTGAACAAATAAACTCATTCATGTCAATGAGTAATTTGGCCAAAAACCCAAATAATTATTTAATTAAAAAAAGTAATTGATGATTAGTGATTAAATGATGGAGGGGCATGTTCAGATGCCTCACCAGCTTCCCTTTGGTATTTATCCTTTAACTGAAGGGAACCAGTGAGGCAGGAATAAGGGCTAATGCATTTACCTTTACTCACAAGCCACGCAAGAGGAGCACTTGACTGTCCAGCCTGTGCGGCAGGAAGAACTCAACCACCTTGAAGACTGCTGGCCAGCAACCAATGGAGTGCACACCCAGAAGTCTTGTGCTCCACAGCTCCCCTAGCTGGGGCACCTGTGTATGGCTTTGTATGAAGCAGGCAGGACAAGATTGGGTCGTGGGGTCCGGATGTGGCCATCTGACTACATCCAGCTATCATCCCATCAGCAGAGGGATGCTTCTCTTAGAAGACTCCATAGGCCTAGTAGGCAGCAGGCACCCTAACACAGAGAAACAATCCTTTGATTAAAAGATCAAACAGACAACACTTTAAAAATGGTTAAAATGGTAAATGTTATGCTATTAATATTTTAGCATAAATTTAAATATCAATAATGTAATATACAAAACCTATTGAATTGTATATTTTAAGTGGATGGATTGTATAGTATGTGAAGTATATCTCGATAAAGGTGGTTTTTAAAAATCAGACAAAAGCCCCCGCCACTTTTTCTGAATTGTTGTGAGCTCCTTGAAGGCAGATGCCTTGCCTTTTCCACAGTCATATCCCAGTGCCTTCAGGAGGACTGGCTGAGAACGTTGTCAGGAAATATTTGTTGTCTGAATGATGATTCACATTGGCTATATGGATAGTTCAAATTCACCCATTAATTCTGTCTAGCTTACATTGGAAACCACCTCTGTATAAGTATCTGGATCTCCATTACAGCAATCTAGTCATTTTTCTCTTTTTCAATCTTTATGGTTAAAAGCAAAACAAAACAGAAAATCTTTACATTTCTAAGGAAGAAGAAATCACAACTTAATAACAAAAAATCAAATAACAATTAAAAAGCGAGCAAAGGACTTAAATAGATATTTCTTCAAAGATATGCCAAATGGCCAAGAAGCATAGGAAAAGATGCTCAATCCCTAATCAGCAGATAAATGAAAATCCAAACCTCACACCTGTTGGATGGCTACTATCAAAAAACCCAGAAAAGAATGAGAATTAGAACCCCTTTGCACTGTTGGTAGGATGCAACAGTGTAAAATGGTGCAAACCCTATGGAAAACAGTACGGATATTCCTCAAAGAATTAAAATAAGCACTCCCATATAATCCAGCCATCCCACCTCTGGGTATGTATGCAAAAGAATTGAAATCAGGGTCTCAAAGAGATATCTGGACACCCATATTCTAGGCTATTCACAATAGCCAAGAGGTGGAAGTGACCTATCCACCCAGGGATGAATAAATTAACAAAAGGTGGCCTACCCATACGATGGAATATTATTCAGCCTTGAAAAGGAAGAACTCCTGCCTCATGCTACAACGTGGATAGACCTTGAAGACACTATGCTAAGTGAAACAAGCCAGTCACAGAAAGACAAATATGTAAGATTCTACTTGCACGAGGTATCTAAAGGAGTCAAATTCATAACAGGAAGTCAAATGGTGTTTGCTAGGGGCAGGCGGGGGAGGGAATAAGGAATTACTGTTTAATGGGTATAGAGTTTCAGATTTGCAAGATGAAAAACTTCTGAAGATCTCTTTTACAATATGTGAATATGCTTAATATTACCGAAGTGTAACACTTAAAAATGGTGAAGATGGCAAATTTTATGTCACATTTCTTTTTAAACACACACACAAAAAGAAGAAATCAGCTCTATAACTGGTATAATACGAAATGTTGATACTGAGTGATGGGTACAGTGAAGTTCATTATTCTGCTCTCTCTATTTTTATAGCATAGAATTCTCTAAAATTTATTTAAAATAAATTTGGTATAGGCATACCTCAGAGATATTGTGGATTCGGTTTTCGATGCCTGCAATAAAACAAATATCACAATAAAGCAATAAAGTGAGTCACACAAATTTCTTGGTTTCCAAGTGCATATAAAAGTTATATTTACACTATACTGGAGCCTGTTAAATGTGCAATAGTATTTTCTCTAAAAAGGTACATACATTAATTTAAAATACTAAAAACTGCTAACAATCATCTGAGCTTTCAATGAGTCACAATCTTTTTGCAGGTGGAGAGTCTTGCCTCAGTGTGGATGGCTCCTGACTGATTAGGGTAGTGCTTGTTGAAGGTTGGGGTGGCTGTGGCAATTTCTTAAAATAGGACAACAATGAAGCTTGCCACCCCACTGACTCTTATTTTCACAAACGTTTTCTCTGTAGCATGTGATGCTGTTTGGTAGCATTTTACCCATATTAGAATCTTTTTCAGCATTGAAGTTAATCCCTCAAGCCCTGCCACTGCATTATCAACTAAGTTTGTGGGATGTTCTAAGTCCTTAGTTGTCATTTCAACAATGTTCACAGCATCTTTACCAGGAGTAGATCCCATTTCAAGAAACCACTTTCTTTGTTCACGCATAAGAAACAACTCCTCAGCCATTCAAGGTTTATCATGAAATTGCAGCAATTCAGTCACATATTTAGGCTCCACTTCTAATTCTAGTTTGATTGCTATTTCCTCTACATCTGCAGTTATCTCCAACACTGAAGTCTTGAACCCCTCCAAGTCATCCATGAGAATTGGAATCAACTTCTTCCAAACTCCTGTTAATGATGATATTTTTATTCCCTCCAATGAATTGCAAAATTTTTTAATGGCATCTATAATAGTAAATCCTTTCTAGAAGGTTTTCAATTTACTTTGCTCAGATCCATCAGAAGAATCACTACCTATGGCAGCTATAGCCTTATGAAATGTATTTCTCAAATCATAAGACTTGACAGTTGAAATTACTCCTTGACCCATGGGCTGCAGAATGGATGTTGTGTTAGCAGGAATGAAAACAACATTCATCTCCTTGTGCATCTCCATCAGAGCTTGCCAGAATCATTGTCAGTGAGCAGTAAGATTTTGAAAGGAATATTTTTTTCTGAGAAGTAGGTCTTGACAGTGGGCTTAAACTATTCAGTAAACCATGCTGTAAACAGATGTGCTGTCATCCAGACTTTGTTGTTCCATTTATAGAGCCCAGGCCCAGTAAATTTCCCATAATTCTTAAGAGCCCTGGGATTTTCAGAGTGGTGAATGAGCACTGGCTTCAACTTAAAGTCACCAGCTACATTAGCCCCTAAGAAGAAAGGCAACCTGTTCTTTGAAGGTTTGAAGCCAGACATTGACTTCTTCTATCTAGCTATGGGAATCTTAGATGGTATCTTCATTCCTCTAGACGGCTAAGGGAATCTTAGCTGGTATCTTCTTCCACTAGACAGCTAATTCATCTACATTGAAAATCTATTGTTTAGCATCGCCACCTTCATCAATGGTCTTAGCTAGATCTTCCGGATAACTTACTGCAACTTCCTCATCAGCACTTGCTGCTTCATCTTACACTTTTATGTTATTAAGACAACTTTCCTTAGACCTCATGAACCAACATCTGCTAGTTTGAAACTTTTCTTTTGCAGCTTTCTCACCTCTCTCAGCCTTCACAGAATGGAAGAGAGTTAGGGCCTTGCTCTGTATTAGACTTTGGATTAAGGGAATGTTGTGGCTGGTTTGATCTTCTACCCAGACTACTAACATCTCCATCTCAGCAATAAAGCTGTTTTGCTTTCGTATCATTCATGTGGTCACTGGAGTAGCACTTTACTTCCCTCAAGAGCTTTCACTTTGCATTCACAACTTGGCTACCTGTTTGGTGTAAGAGGGCTAGCTTTCAGCCTGTCTTTGCTTTTGCCATGCATTTCCTGACCAAGCTTAATCATTTCTAGCTTTTGATTTGAAGTGAGAGACATTTGGCTCTTCCTTTCATTTGAACATAGACGCTACTGTATGGTTATTAATTGGCCTAATTTCAATACTGTTGCGTCTCAGACAATAGGGAGGCCAAAGAAGAGGGAGAGAGACAAGGGAACAGCTGGTTGGTGGAGTAGTCAGAACACACACAACATTTTTCTATTAAGTTTACTCTCTTATATAGGTGTGGTTCACAGTGCCCCCTAAAAATTACAATAACAGCAAAGATCACTAATCATAGATCGCTATAACAGGTATAATCATAATGAAAAAGTTTCAAGAATTACCAAAATGTGACAAAGTGAGCACATGCTGTTGGAAAATGGCACTGATAGATTCACTTAACACAGGATTGCCATAAGACCTTTGATTGGTAAAAATATGCAATATCTCCAAAGGGCGATAAAGCATAGTGCAATAAAATAAGGTGTGCCTATAAATAAATTTAGAATTCAGCAAAACTCAGTAAAATTTATGCTTGAAAATTTCTATAATAAAAAGTAATTAAGAGCCAGGCATGGTGGCTCAAGCCTGTAATCCCAGCACTTCGGGAGGCCAAGGCAGGTGGATTACTTGACTCCAACTTTGAGACCAGCCTGGGCAACATGGTGAAACCCTGTCTCTACAACAAATACAAAAATTAGCCTGGCGTGATGGTGGAATAGTCCCAGCTACTCAGGAGGCTGAGGTGGGAGGATGGCTTGAGCCGAGGAGGCGGAGGTTGCAGTGAGCTGAGATCATGCCACTGCACTCCAGACTGGGTAACAAAGTGAGGCTCTGTCTCAAAAAAAAAAAGTAACTAAGAAAAGAACACAATTCTTTTTAACTAAAGCCACATTGAGAAAGATTCAGCAACGATCTAGATTTCTGAAACATCCAAAGACTCAGGATTGAGACTGTATGAGCTTGGACTGAAATGCACATTTACACGGGGGTCACTTCTGGCATCGCAGAGGGAGAGGACAGCTCTGTGCTGCCTGCCAGACAGACCACATCTGTTGGGAACATTGTCCGCGACAGTAGACGGCACATTTATTTTTCTCAGGTTCCTCTAACATGCTACAAAAATCAGGGCATTATTCTGTGTTGTAATTTTCCATTGTTGAGATGCAAATTTACTAAATATATTTCTGATAGATTTCATTTATATTCTCTGTGTCACCTGGTATGTGAGCAAACTTCTCTACCTGCCTTCCTGGAATCCACAGTATCAGCCATCTTAATGTTTTATTAAGCTTTTCAAACACATCATCAATCCCCCAGCCAGAATCCTGTGCTTTACATGGCTTTAGTCCCAACACAGCTTCCCAGGGATATTTGCCAAAATATTCTTGGATTCATTTGTAATCCATCTACCAACTTATATTTGAAGGATAATTGTTTGTACAAATACTAACCATATTATTATGCCTGTTGATGGCTACCTAGATGATTGGTAAATTATACGAAGGTCACAATAAATAATAATATAACGATAACCACATGTGGAAAATCAAAAGAATATAGGCTAGCTTTCATTCAAGGTATCTCTACATTATGCCAGAGTTCCTGATGAAAACCAAGGAAATTGCACCTCTGGGTCTTTTATTTACCTGCTGCCAAACGTCTACACATTTGGACAGAGGGTGATGGATGGTTTTCAGTGCTGTGGACACAGATATGTCACTATGGGCAATTCAAAGAAGACCAGACTTAGATGATGAAAAAGATGATGTTGAAGGGAAACTTGGAGGGAGAAAATCCAGGGGATAGGGATACATTAGAAGAGGATAAAATGCCAGGAATGACAATGACGGAGCAGCTGGCATGTGCACACACAGTTACATAGTATCACGCTCCAAAAACATAGTGTTGCCTCAGACCTGTGAAGGTTTAATGGAGATACTAAGTAATTTACAAAGGTCTTTTATCACCTTCTTTATTCCACAGGGGTAAGCCGAGAAGGAATGGAATGAATTTCTAAGTGCATAATTCTTATTTCTTGCCGTTCAGCCAGCTGACTGACCTCTCTCCACACTGGCTCATAAATTTCCCACTCCTTGAGTCATGGGTCTGAAATACAAATTGCCCCCCAAAATAATAACAAAAACAAAGAGTGTGCCATTTCTTGTGGCATTTTGTTTCCGAGGCTAGCCTTTGATCTCTGTATCATCACAGGCCATTCTGCAGCATATTGAGAAATCAAGCTACTGTGTGTTTTTTCCACTTGAGCCATTTGTCGGCAGATACTATAAAAACCCCAGTCGTTTCTCTTGATCTTTATCAGAGATTGCTGTTTTCTTTGATCTCCTCCCCTGTGTGTGACATTTGTGCATGGCTTCCCCATTTAATTGTCTGTCTTTTGGTTGCTGTTTGAGTTTAAAAGTTAATCGTAGCTTTCCTTTTTCTTTTTCTTTTTTTTTTTTAACTCTTCAGTTTTTGAGCCAGTCTTCCAGGTAAAGTATTGTGATTTCCTAATGACGTCTCGTCAGTTAGGTTAGTAATGTCTGCCTCTGCTCAGTTTTGCACAGATAGTACATTTCTGAAGTTACGAGGAGAAACCCCTCACAGAAAAGTCCAGACGGTTGTTGTGCATCTTGGTTTGCCATTATCTGTGTGGAAGACATCAAGGCTGGCTTGCAAAGTGTAAACCCGCCTCCCTGCAGAGCGGCCAGCCTCTCCGGTTCAGCCCAGCTTCCTCAGTTTACCCCCACGCACCTCCTTTCACTGTGACAGCCACCGAGTAGAGGATAAAGTAGAAAAAGGAATGTACACATGCGCCCCCGACCTTCTCCCCACCCTATTTGAATGTTGAGGATCTTTTTACAGATTTCCCTAGCGGTGGGGGCCTCCAGAGCCCACCCCGACGAATGCTGAGGCCTTCTGTACAGTTTCCACAGTTACAGCCACATTCTCCATTGGGACTTCTAACTGCAAATATCAGGGAAAGAAGACTGACATTTAGTTTGGCACATGATATGTGCAATGCGTTAGAAGCATCTCTTGTACAATCAGCAGCCCCATTTTGCACATGAGAAAAGTGAGGCTGATGAAGTTAATAAATGAATTTCTTTCCTCTCCCCGCTGCTCTTGTGCCTTTTTAAAACTCTCGTGTTTTTTTTTTTCTCCTTTCTGTAGTTGTACAGGCACCTCTGGGCTCTCACAGCTCAGTACTCACGTTCGTGTATCAAAATCTATAGTTAAGCTTTGCCCCCTGTGAGTGCAAATGGCTGGCGAGCATGTGCTGCCAAGCAGCGGTCCCCGTGTGGAAGAGGAGGCTGAGAAAATGCAGTCAGGCTTCACTTCAGAACAAAACACTTGAGAACACACTTGAGACAGTACAAAACACTTCAGACGTGGCCGGTAAACAGGCCTGAGCTCCCCGGGAAGGACCACATGGGCACAGTGGACCTTTTCCCGTTCTGTTTCCTGGTATCCACATCAGCATTCGGAAGATGTCTGGGCACAGCGGAGGGGTCCCATAAATCACCAGGCCAGCAGACTCACCTCCAGGGTGGGGAAGTCTTAAACCTTCCCCCGCCATGTACCCCACAGAGTACGTTATTCAAGGACAGGCACCTCTAATGACCATCAGCACCCTGGGGGACCGTGTGGGGAGTGGGGCACACAAGGACCTGTATGACTGATGACAGACTCTTCCTCTGTGACACGCATCACAGTTGTGATTAAATAAGTTTGGGTAGGTATTTGCTTACTGTCTGTTTTCCCTAGGAAACATCACGCTTCTTGTGAGTAGGATCTGTGACTGCCTGACTCTCCGCAGCACCTCTGCAGAGCCTGGCATGTAGAAGGTGCTCAGTGAATACTGGTTGAGTGAATAAACAAGGTATTTATGCAGGGTGGCTTTTATTGGATGAGCTACGAAAGATCCCCTGCGGTGCTGAAGCAAAGGCCCCCAGGTGGAGAGGGGAAGGCGACCTGAGGGGAGAGGAAAAGAAAGTTCTATCAGGGAAATGAATCCCTCAGAAGTGGGTGGCTCAGTCAACGGCGAGTGGAACGGTGTCAGTTGGGCTCAGGGTTCAGACTGGCAGCTGGGCGAGAGGCCTGGGAGGGGATGTGTGGGGAGACAGGGCCTTCTGCGTGGGGCTGGCAGCAAGCAGGACTACAGGAAAGGGCTGGGCAAGGGCAGGCCATCTCCAAACTTCCTGCTTGAAAATATCAGGAAAAGGGAGGAATAAAGGAGGGACAAAGAAAAAGGAAGAGGACCGAGAAGAAATGGAAGGGAAAGAGGATGAGGAAGACACAGAAGAGGGAAGGAAGGAAGGGAGGAAGGAAGGGAGGGAGGGACGGAGGGAAGGAAGGAAGAGCAAGAGAGGTAAAATGGACAAAGGAAGATGGAAGGTAGGAAATAATGAAAGGAGGAAGAAAAGAGAGGGAACGAAGGAAGAAAGAAGGGAGGGAAGAAAGAAAGGAAGGACAGAGGAGAAGGGAAAAAATTATCTTCTATTGACAGAAAAACCCTGAAGACCAGGAGAACATGGTTATTTTATAAAACGTCACAAAAGGTAAGGGGAAAACAAACAGTGGAGAAGCGGGAGCAGCTAATCTGTGATCTTGATGGAGAAGAGGTGCTGCGTATGTATCCATAATGAAAGACCAAGATTGACAGGAGGAAGATGGGCCAGGCAGGAGGGTATAAATAGCAGCGCTGGCTTATTTGTAACTTTCATTTTTAGGTAAGGA
The DNA here is from genome assembly GCF_000001405.40 of Homo sapiens. NCBI lineage: Eukaryota > Metazoa > Chordata > Mammalia > Primates > Hominidae > Homo > Homo sapiens. Next base: position 125,554,590 of record NC_000010.11, on the reverse strand, counting down.
TGATTGGCACATGGATGGCTTGGATGAAGGGAGCCCCCTGATCTTTAACTTGCAGGTCACATGGAGAAAACTTTGCAAAAATGCTCCAACATGGAGATGTCAACTTGAGTGACAGCCCTGTGCGAGGTGCCTTGCTCCGGCTGCCTTCTTTACATGCATGGCTTCACAGAAATGATGACTGCCATTTGAACAGAAAGACATCCTTCCCAACCGGGGTCAGGAAACTGACAGGGCCCACCCATTAATAGAAATAACTGTCATTTAAAATAAAATGCTTGGTGGAAAACTTCAGAAATCTATTAGATAACATGGGGCCTGTGATCAGGGCACCCATGAATCACCGTAGAGGATGCTGGTGCTCAGATATGGCGCAATGAATGGGCAACGGTCACATCCCCAGCAGTCGATGCAGCCAGCCATATGGCTCCCTCATGCAGAACATGCAGGCGCCTTCTCCTGATTTACAGCCCCTACATCTTAATCAGGAGCTTTCCTTGTGGGACAATGCAGGAGGGGATCTGCATGAAAGGATGAATGACAACATAGTTTATGATTTGAAAACTTCTTACAGCAAAAACTTTTTTGGTGCTTGGAGTTGTTTGGAGAAGGTTCTTTCCTGTCAAAACAACCAAGCCAGTCATGCTCACTCCTGAGAGTGAGCTCAAAGCTCAGAACCTCCTCTGATCTTCCATGATGTCTTATTTTTTGACCAAATAAAATATTGCATAAGGGACAACACTATTCAAAGGGTTATCATGGCATCTAGGCAGTTTTCCTTAAACATTAAATATATTTCTTAATTAGAGGGCTCTGAACTATACAAAAATGGTGGTGCTTGATGGTAGGTTTGCAGAAAGTGGACGTTTGTGGCCTGTTCTTGGGTGTATGATGTCTGTGGTTTGTGCTCAGACTGGTGGTGTAAATTACAAACATTGGTGCCATGCCTTATGCATCCATGATCTCATTTGATACAATCTTTAGAACAATAATAAGATAATGATTAATGTGACCCATTTCACAGAGGAGACAACTAAGGTGCAGAGCAGGTAAATGACTCTCCCAAGAGCAGCCACGTTGAGAGGAAGGAAGTTCTTGAACTCCAAGTCCTCAGACTGCATTCACTGGGACAACTCTGAGATGTGGGTGTTATATCTGTCACTCGGTAGATGAGAAAACTGAGACTCAGGGGTTGTGCAACTAAGGAGAAGTATAAAAGGAATTCAAACTTTGTCCATGCTCCATTCTATGAAGAGCTTTCAAAGACGATGTCAGCCTTCTATTGCTAGGCAACAAATTTTCACAATTGCAGTGGTTTAAAACAACACTCATTTGTTATCTCACAATTCTATAGGTCAGAAATCATGGGCTCACCTGGGCTCTGCTTAGGATATCACAAGAGAAATCAAAGTACCAGCTGCTGGACTCTTAGCTGGAGGCCCTGGGGGGAGAACCAGCTTCTGAGCTTATCCAGGTTGTTGCAGAATTCAATTCCTTGTGGTTGTAGGACTGAGGTCCCCCTAACATTACTGACAGTTGGATGAAGTTTGTTCTCAACTCCTACAGGATGCTATCCAGCTTTTACATGTGGCTCCCTGCATCTTCAAAGTCAACAACAGTGTTTTGTTTTGTTTTCTGTTTTTTTTTTTTTTTTTTTGCTTAACTCTTGCTGATGTCCCTTTCTACCACCAGCCAGAGAAAATTTTCTGGTTGTGTTAGACCCATCCAGATAATATCCCCATCTTAGGGTCAACTGATTAGTAACCTTAATCACAGCTGCAAAATCCCTTTGCCATATCATGTAGCATAATCAGAGGAGTACTATCATATACACATGAGAGGGAATTACACAAGACTGAGGGCCATCTTAGAACTCTGCCCACTACAGAGATCATGGGCTGGGAATTGCCAGCTCTTAGGTGCTCAGCAGGGCATCCTTGGTTGAAGGGAACACACCAAATCCTTCCCCCCAGGAGGTTGAAGCTGACTCTATCTCTACTCAGGGCACCCATTGTTCCTGAGCAGTAAGAGGTAGCTGGAGACTGCATGCTCCTTGGGGGCTGGGGATCCAGCCACTCACTTGCTCTGGGACCCTGCCAGGCCACATTCTCTCTGAGGCATCATTGTGTTCTCTGTTAACAGGTTTGGGGCCCAAAATTGAAGATTGCATCAGGCCCCACAATGTGCAAACACTGTACTAGGCACTGTGGACAACCCAAGAAAGGAATGAAGCACGGTTCCTGCTTGCAGGGCGCTTACACATTCAATCAAGGAAATAGCCCAACTAACCAGAGTCCAACAGACCCAAGGTTTCCAGGATGCAGCTTCCTTTCAGTACCCAGCCAACAAGTCCCAGGCTGTCCTGCAACTAAGGACGTCTGTTTTTGTCAGAACCCTCAATCCCACTCCCACTCCAAGAGTTTCCAAAAGTCTCCAAGAAATGCACTGGCTTGGTGAGCCCAGCTGAACTGAATCTTAGCACTTCAGCTATGTGTGTCCACTCCCTCATGCCACAGTCATGATCTAGGCTGCCAGAGCTCTCCTTATACATCCCAAGTGTGAACACGGGCACTTAAACTTAATTCCACAAAGTTTAGCAAAGACCAAACCATGCTGATGGCCATGGGGATCTGGGGGTAGCATCAGGGTTTACAGTGCAGTTGAGGACAATTTTTAAATCACCTCTTGAACAAACATCTAGAGTGCATTGGTTGTGGCCTTCATGGGATCCCCTTTTGGCTCTCCTTAGGTGTCCAGCCCAGACACTACTCCCAACAGGGCTGGCCAGGTTCCCACAGGAGCGAGGGGACAGCTTTCATCATATTCTTCCAACCCTCAGTGGATTCAGCTCAGAGGAGGAAAGAAGCCCACATTTCCCTCATGACTGGTTTCCCATCAGCATCATGGTGATCTCGGTTGAGAAGGAACCTCCTTGCCTGGTGCAGACAGCCTTTGAGCGTCAATCCACAGTGCTTGATCGATTGCACTGTGGCCTCATCCTCTCCATGCCAGTGTGGGCTTGGGGTCTTCTCTGCAAGATCACAAGGACACTGAAGTGTCCTTTCTACCCTCTAATAGACAGGCGTGCAGTCTTTCCCCAGAGACAAAGTTGACCTCCACCTAAAGTGAAGGAGGAAATTGTGGGCAACTTTACAATTGCGGTTTCCCTCCTTTTTAGCCATTCTGGTTTTTAAATATATATATCAGGGTGAGCTCAGTGTCAGAGAACCCAGTTAGCAAACATAAAATGAGACATGGGATGCCATGAAGGAGTGTCCCAGGATGAGTTCCCTGGAACAGACTCTGAGGTAGAGAACTGCATGTAGGTTTCTTGAGAGATGGATCCATAAGGCAGTAAGGATTGGGCAGAAGGAGAAGTGGATCTACAACAGATACAACAGAGGCCCAGCTGCTCCGGTGGGAGCTCTGAAGCCAGGGTGACCCTTCAGCATTGTCCCCAAATGGAGGGAAGTAGGCTGGGCTTGGTTTCCCTGCTTCAGCCAGTCACCAGCCGTAGGCTGCCTCTGCAAGAGCTATGACCTTGGGCTGGGCTATTCCCTGTGGCTAAATGCAATTGCCAGTGAGGGCTACAGCTGGGGGAATGTATGCTTTGGTCCTAAAGAGGGGATCTGGGCAGAGTGCCCCAGAATCCACTATAAGGAGGCACCAAGAAAGGCTGAGGGTTACAGAGGAAGTAGAAATACATCCAGGAAGGCTTCCTGGAGGAGGATTAGCAATGTATGAGCAGCATTTGGAGAAACAGTATGAGGTGGAGAAGGGGACCTGCCTCACAAACGCTGTGGGCCCAAGATCTGTGCCCACCTGAAAGCCTGCTGTGATTGTGAAGACTGACAACAACTCCTCTTGTCTCTGGAAAGCAAGAGGCTTGGGCTTTGTGAATGCCGGGATGCCTGCAGCTCTAACAGGGTTTGACCCCTTGATCTTCTGTCCATCAGAAAAATGCACAGGGAAATAAAAATAATGGAGAGGTTAATTAATGGGGCCTGCAGACTTCTTTTTAACCTCCTCCACTTCACTATGTCAATAATAACTTGAGAGTCGACTTTCCCCAGGATGTTCCAAAGCGTGACTAATTGCAATAACACCAAACACATTTCCCCTCTTCTCCATCCTCTCCAACTTGAAAAATGATTTTGCCCTTTTCCAGATATATGATACAAAATGGCTGAATTTGTTTAAACACAGCTACAGAGTCAGAGTCAAAGCTCACTTACTAAGACCTGGGCACCCTCAGTGACTCCTTGGCACTTCTTTGGAAACCAAGCCCAGCAATACCTTGAGAAACTGATGCGCTGCTGTGGACATGAGGCCAGAGACCTATAGAATTCCCTGCTTCCATTATAAAAATGCTTTCTGAGAATTAATCTAGAATCACATAAACAAGATTTCTTCCTCTGAAAATAAATTTTGTTTCTAAGTCATTTACACTGTTTTTCCAAAGGCTTTATAAATACATTTATTTGTTCATTTTTATTTAAATCCTGAGACACGTGCCTCTCAAGATCAGTCGGAGTAGAAAGTTCGGTGAGGACCGGGCAGTTTACATGGCTGTGTGGGAAGTGCTAAGTGTGTCTGGAACACATTAGGGACACATGAGGCTGTGCTCACCACATGCCTGTCAGCTCAGAAGATCAAAGAGGAAGCTCTGCCATGCATTTAGTGTGTTCCTTGAACGGAGTTCTTGTTGCAGATTACAAAAACGGCCATAATTTGTTTAACTTCCTCTATCTGCCCCTTGGATAGTCCCCTCCCACACTGGCTCTGCACTGGCCTTATGTCTTACGTGGCTCCTGGGACATTAGCAAACAAGCCACCAAAGGCTTTAAAAAGTGTTCACACATTGGGGCTGGCTCTCTTGCTGCCCTGGGAAGCTGGGTTCATGAGAGCACATGGCTCAGCCATTCGTGTTGCCCGTAGCCATCAACTACCAGACAGGTGGGTGAGACCAGTCAGCCTCCACTTGATTCCTAGCTGACCATGAGTGGGTAGTGTCTCGCTGAGATCATCAGAAGGGCGTCCATCTGCGTCCAGCCCAAACTGCTTACCTATAGCATTGGAAGTGAAAGAAATGGAGATCTTAGGACACTCTGGGAGTGCTTTGTTATGTGGCAAAAGTGAATCAATTCAATATTCACCCTCAGTCTCTCCACCTATAAGATGGCGGGAAGTTGCCTCCTTCCTAGGTTTCTTGAAGCTTAAATGAGTCCTGGCCCAAAGTAGGTGCTCCAAATTTGTTCCATCCCTTTTCTGCAAAAGATGAGATACAGTGTGCAGTTGGTTGAATTACTGGCCCCAGTTCTTCCCCCCTCTCTACCAGCACATCCTTGCCACGACCCTTTTAAGGGAGTGCTCCTGTCCTTTCACCTTGGACTTGGCTCTTGTTAACGATATCTGGGCAGAAGTGGCAGCGACTGGTTTTGAGCCTACACCTTAGGCGACCTGGAGGGTTTCCATGAGCCCTCGAGTGCTTCCTGCTATTTTCATCAGAAGCACATGCCCTGGAGAGGCCCCTGGCTGCAGAAGCAGGATGAGAGCCATGTACTGGTAGAGCTGCTGCCAAAGTTTCCCCAACCAGAGCAGTTTGGAGTATAGCTCAGCCTAGATCGGTTGATGCCAGCTGCCCCACACATTGCTGAGAATGCTTCATTGTTGTTTTAAGCCACCAAGTTTTGTGGGGGAGTTTGTTACCCGGCATCATTGTGGCAATGGCTAACTGATACAGACAGGGTTTCAACTCACTGCCCACATGTGAAAGTCTTTGGTCTGGACAACTCCTACAAATATTTGGAAACAAGGCCAAAGGAGAGAGGGTATAGCAAGGGTTGGTCCCCTCAAGTTAACCATTGCAGAGTGCTCTGTTGGGAGCAGCACAGTGGAGAATGATAAGCCTTTCTACAACTTAGGGACAATCGGCATGTCTCTGGTGCTGTTAAATACTCTATGCATTAGCCTTTGTAACCCTCAAAGCAGTACCAAGAGGCAGGTACAGGAATCATACCTGCTCCCTGAGTCAGGAAACAAGCTGAGTGAGATTGAGAAACACAGCCCAGGGCTCTGGGAACAGGGCTCTTGAAGTGCAAGATCCAACCCACGGTCAGTGTCTCACACTCAGCCACAATTTAGCAGCCCAGTTCTACTTGGTAACACCAAAATCCCCCGGGTTTTCAGCTATTGCCGGACTGGGGTAGTGCTTTGTGCTTATTGTAAAGGCTCACAACACTGTTGCCTTGAAATATAACATTTCCATTCGTGAATTGAAGAATACCATTATGCAGGAGAACATTTCTTTATGCCCAAATTCTGTATTCATGACGGGTGTTCCACAAATTGTTTCTTTTCATGAGAAACCTCTGTGCAAATGCACGGCAGAGTACCCACTTCTGTGCACACGTTGAATTTTCACAGCCGAGTTGGCTGCACCTTCAAAAAGAGCGAAGTATTGTTAGGCCGCGAGAAACTTCCATGAACAGATAGTAAGGTATGGAAAGTCACTGCAACTGAACGATAAAATTGGAACTCTGGTCCTTGTTGCATGGTTTTCTCCGATACAGATGACTCTATCAGTAGGGGATCATATCAGTTATTTGCCAAACTTGGACTCCTTTAAGAATGAAAAGGGGCTGGGAGAACAGGTGCAACTGAGACTGTTATAGGTAAACCAGGAGTGCGGTCACCCCATCCTGCTAGGAGACTCAAAAAATAACAGCAACTGACCTTTGAAAGGACTTTAGCACTTACAGAGATGCTTCCCATACTCTGTGAAGCAGTATCAGATCATCATTTTACAGATGACAAAACTAAGGCCCAGAAAATGGCATTTAAGTGGCGTGTTAAAAATCACGTGTGCAGCAAAGTGGTGATTCCAATCGAGGTTTTCTAACACCAGATCTTAGATTCTTTCTTCTGCAGGATTTTGTGTCCATCAAATCTCCCATGACTTGCACATGGAGATTACGTGATAAATATTTGTTGGAGGAATAAGTGAATGTAACAGCCAAAGAAGTAACGAGTAACACAACCGTGTTGTATCTTGTGATTTCATATAGGGCTCAGAGGTATTTTGCAATGTAAGAGAAAGGCTCTGTTCTGTTGGAACTTCTCTGAAATTGCCTAATAACTTAATTGGTCTTTAATATGAAGAGGTTCCGCCAATATCCCCTTCTTCTGTTCTTGGGTTGCTAAAAAATGAGTACTTTGTTCTTTCCGGCGTGGGAGGATTTGGTTGATCTCTGTAATCAGCAGTAGTGGGAATAATATCTTTTTATGCATTCTCTGCCTCCCCTCACCCTCTCCAGCCACCCTTTTTTCCTCCTGAGTTTGATGCTCTTCATTGTGGTTCCCCTTCTGCTCTGTGTCAGGGGGCGCTGCTACCTTTTATAAAGACCTTGGGAGGCTCCCTTTTCCCCTCCAAACTTTCCACCAAGGCAGCGTCTGCTGTAAACAATTATAAAATCAGTTAAGTGGTATCGTTCCCCAAGTGCTTCTTTCTAACATTAGTTTTCATTTCTCTGAAAAAAAAAAAATTACGCCTAAGAATTGGAGGCAGTAGGCAGTGAGGTGGTAACAGTATGTCCTACGAAAATATTTTGGCCATGGCATCTATGATAGCTTTTAATGATTGTTTTAAACAATAATCTTTTTCTAGAAATAAACTCATGACAAAGATGGAACACATGTTCTGATCTCTCCGCACTCAGCTCCTGAGGCATCCTTGGCTACCTGCTTTTTTTTTTTTTTTTTAAAAAAACAAGTCTTGTTCTTTTGCCCAGGCTGGAGTGCAATGGCACAGTCTTGGCTTATTGCAACCTCCACCTCCTAGGTTCAAGGGATTCTCCTCCCTCAGCCTCTTGAGTAGCTGGGATTACAGGCACATGCAACCATACCTGGCTAATTTTTTCTATTTTTAGTAGAGATGGGGTTTTGCCATGTTTGCCAGGCTGGTCTCGAACTCCTGACCTTGGGTGATCCAACGGCCTCGGCCTCCCAAAGTGCTAGGATTACAGGCATGAGCCACTGTGCCTGGTCGGCTACCTTCTCATTTATAATCTCCACTCATTTGCCAGACATCTGAGGGACATGCTTTGATCTTGAGAAAGATCTTTCTCTGTCCTTCAAGATGAGGTACAGGGTTACTGTCTGCTCCCACCCAATACAGCATGATAAATAATGTTCACCTCAGCAAAGAACTTGAAGCTGAGAGTCGAGTCTCTCTTAGCACTGGACAAAAGAGCCCCACCTTTGGGTTTTAGGCCATGCCCGGGGCATTATTTTGCATCATCCAAGCAGGAGGACACAGCTGCAGACCAGGCTCCTGCTGAGTGATTGTCAGTTAAACGCAGACCCTGAAGTAAAATAGAAAAAGGGGCTCCCTTACCCCCAGGGCTCTTTGGTCTTGTCCCCACAAGCTGTAGAGGACACTGTTGTACCCCTCTCAGGCCCCCAGCTGTTGTCTCTCCTGCCCACCCCTGTACCTGTGGCCCCTTTGGAGGCCCGTTCAAGGGCTACTAAAATCACTTTGCCCACAGGTCCAGGAGCCCAAAAGGCCTGACAGATTGTGTTTCCCTGGGGCTCAGAGCCAATAACTGGGTGCAGGACAATGATACCCAGTGCTAGCCTCAAGACTGAGGTGTAACTCATGCTTCAGGCTCCCCACAGGAGCAGGCTGAGGCCAAGAGCTTTCCTAAAATTGCACCCTGGTGTGGCTTCTTCCCTTTCCCTGCCCCCACTCCCACCTGTGTCCCAGGAGCATTTCCTTCACAAATCTCTTGCACAGGAATTCTTGTCTTGAAGGAACCTAACCTAAGACTCAAGTTTGCAAGAAAAGTGCTCACTAGCAGAAGGCATGTATTTCAACAGGCATCTATTCAGAAGACAGCCCCCCTTGGTTTCTCCCCAGAGCATTTGCTCAGGGAACTCTAAATAAGGGATTTCTTCTTTCAACACATATGCATGACAGGGACAGCAGCAACCTCTTAAAGAGGACAATGGTGGCACTAACCTGCAGGGAACCCACAGTTAAGCCCATTTGTTGATTCAGCCCTTGTGCGTTCATCGAGGGCATAGGGTAATTTATACTAGAAATGGTGCTCGGTGTAAGGATACAAACAGGGCTAAGACCCTCCCCAGGGTGCCACGAGTGCACAGTGGGAGAGACTAAAAAAACAACACAGAGAGACAGCACAGGCACAGAAAGCTCTGGAAGCAGGACCGTCCTGTTTTCTCCCATATCTGGCTCCTGGGCAGTAGACTGTGTGCTCCCTGCAGGCAGGGGCCATGTCTTGTGTGCCTTTGCATCCCCGGTGCCCAGCACACTGGAGACAGCCAACAGGTGTTGGCACAAAGGAGGGGTTCCCTATGTGGACAACTTGGGGCAGGGATGGGATGAGAGTGGTCAGGTAGGCTTCCTGGAGGAGCTGTTGCCTAAGGTGTGTTGGCTGTGGCTGGGTGAAGAAGAGTGAAGGAACAGTGTCCTAGTCACAGGGAACAGCATGTCACGGCCTGTCCTAGGAAGGCCCAGTCTGGCTTGAGCAATGCAGGTGGCATGGTACTCCTGTATTCGTACTAATAATATCCTACTACTGCCTTTCAGAAGGACACCCTCATACCTGTGAGACGGAGCAGCCGGGTGCAAGGCGGAAGGAGGAGCAAAGACCCCACCGAGTGTGGGGAGCCTTCAGGTTTGCGGCTGATGCTATGGATGGGCCGTTAGCAGGAGAGGAGCATGGCTAGCAAGAGTCCTGTGGCTGCGGACTGGCGTGGGGAGAAGTGGGGACCAGACACCACTCAGCAGGATTCCAGGTTTCCAGGCTGGGGAGCGGGGAACTGGACAGATGTGAAGATGTTTAAGAAATACCAGCCAGAAGAGATTGTGGCACTCTCACGATGGCTCTTCCGCCATCCAAACAGAGCTGTTCAGGATGAGAGAACCCTGGGGCACAGCTCCCCCTCTTCCTCCTGGGTGCAGCCCTGCTAGGGATGAGACCATCTGCAGCAGGAGGTGCACAGCCAGGCCCTGGGAGCTGAAGACAGCCCACATCTCTCTGGGGTGAACTGTCCTGGAGCTCCATGGGGCAGGAGGGGCACAGGGCGTTATAAGCCGAGGTTTCCTATTAGCTTGGCCAGGCTGATTTAGGGGGGAACAGATACAGAGAGGGGACAAAAACCCCCCACACTCTCCAGAGTCAGTACTTAAAACAAAACTGCCTCATTCTTAGAAAGCACGATGTCTCCAGTGCAGAGGTGGGGACCCTTAGGAAAGGGTGATGCTTGCATTTCCAGAGGTGTGCGTATGAGTTCCTTTGAAAAGGTGCCTTGTGTGTTGAGGACACGAAGACCCCCAGGGCAATGGGAACCAGGAGGCTGGGGGTCCAGTCCCAGCCTCGTCACCGACCCTCAGCGTGACCTTGGGCAAGTCATGTGATCTCCTGGGCTTTGGGCTGAGTGAGCCTTAAAGTCACTTCTGGCTGTAACACGCCAGGATCTAGTTTAAAACCCACAATTCTCAGGGAAGAAACAGGGCAGAGGGACCAGGGACAGTTCAGGGTCACAGCAGCTGCCTGACTGGAATATGGCAGAGCCACAGTGTACCACACGCCTTCCGGCAGGGAAAGTTGGTAGCTTGCCTGGAACTTTTGAGAGCACCGTCTCCCCGGACCATGAGGTACAGCCTCCTCCTCTGTAGGCCGCCACGTTAAACACAGCAACTTCCTGCAAAGGAGAACATCAGCAGAAAGACCTCAGGGCTTTTGTGGAAATCAAATAAGGTAATGCAGGTCAAGTAGTTTAAAACAAAGTGCCCCAGCAATGGCAGATGTCACTGCTAGTAGTAACTGTGTTGGTGAAAAAGCAGCAACTTGGTGAGCTTAAAAGGCTGGCTTACCAACCTTGTTCTTCCAGCCAATTGAAACACGCCCACATACACACACATGCGCACCTGCTCTCACACACACATGCACACACACTTAATACACAATGTTACTTACGTGGCATAGTTAGTACAAGCAGAATATTCCTTCTCTGAAATGCTTGGAACCGGAAGCGTTTTAGAATTTGATTTTTTTCCAATTTTGGAATATTTGCGTTATACTTATTGGTTGAACATCCCCAGTCCTAAGATCTGAAACCCAAAATGCTCCAGTGAGCATTTCCTTTGAGTGTGATGTCGGTGCTCAAAAAGTTTCAGATTTTGGAGCATTGCAGATTTCAGATTTGGGATGCTCAGCCTGTATCAAAAAGTCCGCATTCCAAAAAACAAAACAAAACAAAACAAACAAAACAACCCAAAAAAGAAAAAAACAAAAAAACCCACCCACTCTAAAAATATTCAGTAGTGCCCATAATATCCTCCTGCCCTTCAGAAGGGATCCCTTGTATCTAGGCTCATTGACTATTAAACTGAATAAAGGCACAGGGACGTTACAAGCCACTGTTCTGTTCTTGCAGCTAAGCTCAGTGATAGGAAGTGCAACAATGCAAGGCAGTAAAACCAAGCCGAAGGCAACGGTTTGGAAAGGCACTGATGTTGTCAAGCACATGGCATAGAACCAGGTGAGATGACAAGTCATCCAGGAGATGAGCGGCTCCCTTATAGCCTGGAATATGATAAGCCTTGAGTTAACTTTATTCTATTCGGGGACATATAAAAATGTCTTTGGGACGGAAACCTAGTATGTAAGTCTTAGAGAAATTTACAAAATGTATTCCTGGTTACACAGATCATTTTAAAATCACCTAGTACTTTTATCCAAAAGGAAGGGATTTAAAAGAATTTGTGTCTATCTACGTAGTCCCAGGGATCTCTCTGCAGCCCGGCTATGCACACGAGACCCTTGCCTGCCGTTCCCCAGAGAAATACTAGGGAAATACCAGGGGAACACTAGAGGAATACCAGGGGAACGCCAAGTCCTGTTTCTGCTCCATCATCTTGGCTTTCCGGACCAGCACATTCGGGGAGCTTTGCTGGTGCACAGGCAGAGGATGGGAATGCGACACTCAAGGGTGATATTCCTGCTCTGTCACCTGCCACCCCCAGGCCCCATCTCTCCTTGGCCCATCTCCTCTTCTCCTGTCCTCTGAGGAGAGTTCTGTCTTTCCCCACATACTTCCCAGACTTTGAGACACAACACTGGAAGACTGAGTGGAGAGATGCAGGGTTGGAGAGGTGAGGGAGAAGAGGGAAGCTGGGGAGAGACTTAGAAGGTACACGGGCTGGGGCTTCTGGGACTCTTGGGGGCAGAATGTTGACAGTGAAGTATTTAGAGTTTGAGGGCTCCTGTAGCAATTGTGTAAAAACTGGAGGAAAAAAAAGGAAGGCAAAATAGTTTTATTGATTTATTATTTCAATAGTTTTGGGGAACTAGGTGGTGTTTGATTACATGGACAAGTTCTTTAGTGGTGATTTGTGAGACTCTGGTGCAGCCATCACCCGAGCAGTGTACAGTGTACCCAATGTGTAGTCTTTTACCCCTCACCTCCTTCCCACCCTTTCTCCAAGTCCCCAGAGTCCAGTATCATTCTTATGCCTTTATGTCCTCACTTGTGAGAACATATGATGTTTGGTTTTTCATTCCCGAGTGACTTCGCTTAGAATAATGGTCTCCAGCTCCATCCAGGTTGCTGCAAATGCCATTATTTCATTCCTGTTTATGGCTGAGTAGTATTCCATGCCGTGTGTGTGTGTGTATATATCTATATAGCTATACATATATATATATCACATTTTCTTTATCCACTTGTTGGTTGATGGGCATTTGGGCTGGTTCCATATTTTTGCAATTGCAAATTATGCTGCTATAAACATGTGTGTGCAAGTATCTTTTTCATATAGTGACTTCTTCTCCTCTGGGTAGATACCCGGTAGTGGGATTGCTGGATGAAATGGTAGATCTACTTTTAGTTCTTTAAGGAATCTCCACACTGTTTTCCATAGCGGTTGTACTAGTTTACATTTCCACTAGCAGTGTAGAAGTGTTTCCTGTTCACCACATCCATGCCAACGTCTTTTTTTTTTTTTTTAAATGATGGCCCTTCTTGCAGGAGTAAGGTGGTATCACATTGTGGTTTTTGATTTGCATTTCCCTGATCATTAATGATGTTGAGCATTTTTTCATATGTTTTTTGGCTATTCTATTCAGGTCCTTAGTCCACTTTTTGATGGAATTATTTCTTTTGGAAAAGGGGTTTTTAAAGAAGTGTTTCTAGATATTATAATTTGGATTGCCTCCGATATTCTTCCAAAGGAGACTGAGATTCTTGGTGTCATTTGTTGTTGCTTGAAAGTTTCTGATGTGACACTCTGCTGAGGCTGGACCTCACGGGGCCTGAGGACCTGCCCAGGCCACACATGATTATCTTGGAAAAGTAGGAGCAGTGTTCAGTGCTTCTGAGATTACTTCCCTCCCCAGCACCTGAGGAGCCGTGTTCCCGTTAGTGAATATTGGAGTGGAGCGCACTGGACCAAGTGAACGGTCACCTCCCTCTTGCTTTTCACCATCCTCAGAGACCAGCTTGGCCCCTCCCAAGCTCTAGGGGATGGACTCTGCTTTCCCATTTTATCTACTGGATCACTGGCGTTGCAGTCACATATCTGCTCAACACATCCTCAAGTTTAAGATATTCTGGTTTATATTTGAGATATTTCCAAGATCCCTAGGGAAAAAAGAAAAAGGGAATGAAAGAAAGGAAAGGAGGACCGGGCATGGTGGCTCATGCCTGTAATCCTAGCACTTTGGGAGGCTGAGCCGGGTGGATCACGAGGTCAGGAGATCGAGACCATCCTGGCTAACATGGTGAAACCCCGTCTCTACTCAAAACACAAAAATTAGCTGGGCATGGTGGCACGTGCTTGTAGTCCCAGCTACTTGGGAGGCTGAGGCAGAAGAATCGCTTGAACCCGGGAGGTGGAGGTTGCAGTGAGCCGAGATCGCGCCACTACACTCCGGTCTGGGTGACAGAAAAAAAAAAAAAAGAAAAAGGAAAGGAAGAGATGGTGTGAAGGAAAGAAGGAAGAATAGCACTTCTACCGACTCAGAGCCAGGCACTGGGTCTGATACTTTACATACAGAGAATGGTTTGAGCCCCAGAGCCACACACAGCATGACTTGGTCCCCTTCATTTGTGAAGAAATTGAGATTTGGAGAGGTTAAGTTACTCAGCCAGTAAAACCCAGTTCTGCCGACGGACAGATCTGGCGTCTGTGCTGTAGGGCTTCTGCCATTCCAGGACTCACGCTATACTCCCAGTCTGAGCCTCTGCAAATGACCCAGCCTCCCCATCCAGAGCTCTACGGACTGAAAAAGATGAAGCGTGGACTTTGAAGGACTTCCTCAGGTGAGAAGCCTACAGTCGTACAAGTGGAGTCCCAGCTCACCGAGGCGCAGCTGGAACTGACCTACCGATGTAAACTGATGTGAAAACAATGCCCTGGAAAGATATTCAGGCCCCCTATTCTCCTTCCACTTGGTGGACAGTGAGGTCCAGAGGGAACTGCTGAGAACCAGGAGACCAGGGTTCCACTCCATGACCTTCAAGAGTCACTTACTCTCAACACACCTCAGTTTTCTACTCTGGGAAGTGGAAAATAATATTTATTAAACCCTTCCAAACCTGTTAAAATACATATTAGACGTGAACACCTCTTTAAAAGAACACTACAGGAGGAATGCATAACGTTTGCCTCAGTTATGATTGCATCTCATGCAGTCATAAGGCCTCTGTTTTGCGTGGTTTCACATTCTTGTGAAGTAGGCAAGGTGGGCATTTGTTTCCCCATTTAGCAGATGTGGAAACTGAGGCCCAGGAAGCCCAAGTCGCATGGTTTTTAGGTGCGGGGAGAGCGCGTGCCTTCCCTCCCTGCCACATCTCGCACGTGCCTGTTCTTTGTCCAGGCCCATTACCCACCTGGAGCATCCTGAGATGTGGGGGCTGACAAGGCTGCGTCTTGATCCACTTACGGTCCAAAATGTCACTGGAAGAGGCTGCCAGCTGTGACCAGATGTTGAGAGGAATCAGGAAGAAAGCAAGTGGCTGGCCATACACAACCCATGATCACTCATCGGGAGGAAGAGCTACTAAAGGCACTTACGCTGCTGGTGGCAGGGTGTAGTGTCACCTTCAGACAAGAGGGGGAAGTGAGAAATGGGAGCACCCCTCAGTCAGGGTTCAGCAAGGGAATTTACTACCTCAGTCTGTGAGTGTTGGTTTCATTTCCATGGAATAACATTTATTTCAGTTTGATGGATGAGGCGTAAATCAACTCTGATGCCCACCTCTGTCTGTATATGTGGGCTGTGATGTACTGTTTCTTTAAAAAAAAAAAAAAAGTTGGAAAGGTAATTCTTCCCAGAGCTAGATTAATGATTGCACGTCTCCTATTACCACGGGCTTGTAAGACCAGGATTGACAGCTGTTTTAGTGCTCTCCGGCTGGGAGCGGTTTGTTTAACAAATACAGCAGGACACACATGATCCCCTGGCTGCCTGTTTTCATTCCCATCTCGTAGGATGGCATTGTGCCCACTCACAAGCCAGCAGCTCCCTGCCCTTGGGCAGAGGTGCCAGGGAATTGTGGCTTAAACTGGCACCAAGTGGTGCACGGAGGATGTTCTGCTTTTCCTTCTCCTGCAACCCAGGAACCCTGTGTCCTCTCCACATGTGTTTCCACCAACCTGGCACCTGAGTATTATGACAAGACTCTGAACAGATGACACTATTAACAATAGTGGGTACTGAGAATTTGTCATGGGTCAGGCATGGTATTGAATACGCCCTTTACATTTTCTCTCTCATTTGAGCTTCATAGCAACCCTTGAAGGTTTGCAGAGGGGTAAGATCATTACCCCCATGCTATAGAGGAAGCAGTGAGGATGCAGAAAGTTCCACTAACCTGTCTGGCATCTTATAGTTGTAAGTGGCAGAGCTGGAAAAGACCCAAAGGGCAGGACCAAAAATCTCCCAAGTGGGGAAATTTAAATGGCTAAGAAAATATATGTAAAAGTTGAAGAGTAGAATCAATAAATTCAGATGAAAGCCTCACTAGTTTATCATGTCAGCTTTCAAATTAGCAAACAAATAAATGTTTCTCATGACAATATTCAATGCTGATGTGGTAAATCACAGGTGACCATAAATTCTTTGACACTCCTAAGAAACAAGGTCTCGGCCCGCTCCCTTGAACTTTGGTGAGCTCTGTGGTGCTTCGACCAACAGAATACAGTGGAAGTGATGCTGTGCCTTAAGAGACTGGCAGGTTCCACTTCCCATCTCTGGGAGCCCTGGCTCACTGGGTGGCACCCAGAGTCTGACTGCCCGGTGGGAGAGACCTTGTGATGAGGCCCTGAGAGTGCATGAGCAGGGGAAGGGAGTTATAAGCCCGGCCTTCCAGCCATCCCTGCCAGACTGCAGGCATGTGGGGAGGCCAGCTTGGACCCTCTGACCAGCGGCCGACTCAACACCACCAAGAAACCTCAGTCAATGCCATGTAGGGCAGAAGGACTGACCGGCTGAGCCCTGCCTGAATCCCTGACCCATAACATCGTAAGAGAATAAAATGACTGTTCCTCGAAGTCTTTTTGGTTTGGGGCTAGTTTGTTCTGCAGTGGTGTGTAACTGGAAGAGCTGGGAAGCTGAAGTGTTGCAAGCACTCTCAAACCCAATGGGGCAGTGCATGCTGGGGCACACTTTCTAGAAAGCAATTTGGTAATATGGATCTAAGATCCTAAATGTTCATTTCTACTGGTTCCCTAATTCTCTTTTGAGGAATCCATTCTAAGCAAATAACTCAAAATATAGACAACATTTCCCACATTAACATTAAATTAGAACCATCCAAATGTCAAACATAATGAAAATTTAAGTTCTAGTGCAAACACTGTCACATTCTGTAGTGTTTTTTTAAGTTTTTAAGAGTTTTTAATGACAGTGGAAAAGAACTCGAAACTGTGTATTTAATATGGGTTTATCAATGTTAAAAATACAACATACAAGCATACTATAAGGATATATACCAAAAATAATAATCAGAACTACCTCTAGGTAATGGGATTACAGTTGACTTTTTTCCTTATTGTTCAAACCTTTTTCTACTTTCTAAATTATTTATAATGATACTGTATTACATTTTTTAATCATAAAATAAAGTAAAAACAAAAAGGAGAAAACTCTCTTAATTAATACTAAGAATACTGAATGAAAATGGGCCTTTGGGGTGGAGAAAATGTTTCCTTCAAGTACAAGGTGTAAGGTATGCAGGTTGATGTTCTAAGAAATAAACTTGACTTTCCAAGGACACCGTGAGTTTACATTTAATCTGTAAAGGTTTGAGCTTGAGAGATCGTGTGAAGCTCTACAAGCTGGGGAGAGCTGCTGGGTCCAAATGTCCCCTCCTTCAGGAAGCCCCGAATCCACGGGTGCACCTCATCGGGAAGTGACCCCACTCATCCCAACCCAACTCTGAATTTCTGAAGCACTTGACTGGTCTCATTCATTTGACCAGGTTTAGTGAAAATTGACTCCCACCAGGCCCTGTGCATGGCACAGAGGATATGAGTGGTCGTCTCTGTTCTTGGTTTCAAGGAACTTACGATCTAGTCCGCAGGCACTCGTTACTTTGTAGGTGGCACTAGTGGCTGTGTCCGTGGCTTGTCTCCTCCAGCAGCCTGGGAGGTACCCGAGGGCGGCAGCATCCATGTCAGTCTCTCTTCAGTGTTCCCATGGCACCCAGGGCTGGCGCCGGGCACATAACAGGCACCCTCTGGGTATCTGTGGAAGTAACGATGCGGTGAATGCCCCACCCACCTCTCTGTGATTGTTGCTCGAGTCAAATGCACTAAAGTCCATGCAGTGTTGTATATATGGAAACTAACATACAAACAGAAAGGACTCGAGTTATTAATCACAAGGACCAAGAGCGACTGAACATTCCACATAAGAGGGGAAGGGTTCTCTCATTTGCATTTTTCTGAGAAGCAGTTCTGCCTGCTAAATAAGACTTTCTTGTTCCAAAAATTGGAAACAGAGAAAACAGATCACTGTCTCCAAGATGTCAGCAGAAGCTGATCAGAGCACACCTCCCCGGGCTGGAGTGCCCTGCGTGTTGTCCTGTGCTAGCAACCCTTAGTAACAGCCTTGGTGGAAAGGGTAAGTGTCATGAGCAAACCAAGGACCCACCGGACCCCGGGCACTATTGCATGCCAAAGAGAACACTTATTTTCCCTTTGTTTCTGTGGATGTTTTTAAAGGCAGAATCCCTACTCATTGTTTTCAATCTAATTGATTATGAAGAGATTGCTGGATCAGAAAAACTCACAGAAGAGCAGATGTGGGGCAGTGGCCCTCCAGCTGTAATGTGCCTAAGCTTCATCTCAAGTATCTGTTCACAGTGCAGGTCCCAGACCCATGCCCAGAGACCCTTACTCAGTGGATCTGGATGGGGTGAGGATGGGATATGAGATTCCCAGGACCTCAGCTGGAGAAGCCATGATATTGGGGTGTGCTGATTTGGGGCTCTCCAGAGCTAAGCTGGTTAGAGGGATGTGGCTCTCCAGAGCTAAGCTGGTTAGAGTGGTGGGAAATGAGTGGGGTTTTTCTTGTGAGATTTCATATGTTCATTTATTGGTTTATCCCTTTATTCATTTATTTTATATAAACATTTATTTAAAGTCAATAATGTGGCAAGATAGAGACCGAAACAGCCCATTGGAGGTCACTGGCAAGCTAAGGGAGGTTTCTGGGGCGTAACGAGGGCAGAAGGCAGATTGCCGTGGGCTGAGGGAGTGGGAGGTGAGGAAACGGAGCCCCTGGGTGCTGGTGATGCTTACACGAAGCTCGGCTGCAAAGGGAGGAGAGCGTGTGAGAGAGAACAAGAGTGAGACAGAGGAGGTGAGAGAGGAGAGAGAGAGGGAGAGGGGAGAAGAGAGGAGAGAGGAAGAAGAAAAGGGAGGAAGGGAGACAGAAGAGGGATCCAGAATGTTTTGAAGATGCTAACTGGGCAGTGGCCTTGTGTGTGTTAACTGTTGATGGGAAGGGGCCAGTAGGAAGGGTGAGGCTGATGGCCCAGGAGAAAGCAGAGATGGCCCCTGGAGCGAGTCCAGAAGGTGGGATGAGACAGGGTCCGGAGCTTGGGGGAGGACTGGCTGGCGATGAAGAGCTGACCTCTGACTTAGCACAGTGGTTAAAGAGTGGTCACCTCCTGGCTCTGCCACATGCTACGTAAGCGCTTGGCCCCGGGCAGGTGTCAGGAGGACACAGCACGGAGTGGACATTCCAGCGGCGAGAGGCACTCACATGACCAAGAAAGCCTGAGTTGTGGCACACAGCCGAATTAGCCCCAGCTGTGGACAGTCCGGCATCTCAGAACTCAGTTACCAAAGATGCTGTGATTTATTCATGGCAATTCAGAACAGGGGCCCACAGAGGGCCACCTGCCCCCTGTTCCTGCAGAGCTGTGTTGGCTGAGCCATGCCCATTTACCTCCATGTTGTCTGTGGCTCCTTTCTCTCCAAGCTGCAATAGACTTGTGGGGATAGAGACCATATGGTCCCCAAAGCCTCAAATATGTACTACAGAAATACGTGTTGCAGAAGAGCTTGCCAACCACTGAGTGAGAATATGCAAGGACTCTGGGCAGCTTGATTCCAGTGCTGTCTCTACACGGATGCCTGTGTGCCCTGGGCAGCCTCCTGGTCTGTAAGATGCAAGAGCAGGAGTCCTCCCAACAGCATGTAGGCAGTGCTCACTGTGTCCTCACTCAGCTGGGCACTCTGTCTGATATGGACTGGCTGTATCTCCAACCAAATCTCATCTTGAATTGTAGCTCCCATAATTCCCACATGTTGTGGGAGGGATCCAGTGGGAGTTAATTGAATCATGGGGGTGGTTTCCCCCATACTGTTCTCGTGGTAGTGAATAATTCTCACAAGATCTGACGGTTTTATAAGGGGAAACCCCTTTCGCTTGGTCTCTCATTCTCTCTTGCCTGCTGCCATGTGAGACGTGCCTTTTGTCTTCTGACGTGATTGTGAGGCCTCATGGAACTGTGAGTCCATTAAACCTCTTTTTCTTTATAAATTACCCAGTCTCGGATATGTCTTTATCAGCAGCGTGAAAAGGGGCTAAATACACTGTCTTCATCTCTTGGCATGCTCGCAGCCAGGGTGCCCAGCCATCCTCATCACCAGCTTACAGACTGAGGCCACAGAGCCCTGGCAGAGTCTAAGCCACCTGCCCAGTGCCCTGCAGGAGAAGCCGAGTTTCTGAGCCGGTGCTCTTCATGGCTCTCCTGTGACATCCACCCTCAAGCTCGGGGCCCTACATGCCGCTTCTCTGGAGGTGCTCAGGGGTGCCCACAGCAGGAGAGGAGGAAGCTGGGGGCAAGACCTGGGCATCCCTCTTTGCTCCCACCAGGGTCGCTCCACTTTGATCCGTTTATAGCCTGGATTTAAGCATAAACATCACGTGAAAGAAGGGTCTGCAGGCCAGCTGGGCTCTCAGGCTGTTTCCAGGAAAAGAAATCTGTCTATTTTCAGGGCCCCCAGCCAGATGCCTTGAGCCGTGTGTGCTTCCTCTCCCTCATCCCCACACCCAGTCACCCACCAGCTGTTGACTTTACTTGCAAAATATCTCTTTATTTAAGCTGCATCACCTCTTTCCCGGACTATGGGCCCATCACCGCTCTGAAGGCTCAACCTGCCAGGACCACATGACTCCCGACTGCTCTGCAGCTACACGGGCACACGTCCACCCCAGGCAGCAAACCTGCATTTTGGTCACTTGGGACGAGGCATGCAGGTGGCTCAGGCTAAATTATGGACCCTGCCAGGCAAACGGCTCAAACCACGTGGGCAGGAGAAGCTGCTCTAAGTTGGTAGCATTACCCAAGGGCTTGAGGACACGTCCACAAAGTGGGTAAACAATCACATTGTGATATCAAAGTGAAGCCCACCTTCTATTACAGGGGCCAAGTCTAGCAGCAGTGACTTTGCTTTCAAATCTTTTAATTAAATTTGTTTTTAGGTAGTAAAGTTCCATGTGCACTTGTTAGATGCTCCCATGTCAATAAGACCCCAAGAAACACCTAATGTAATTCTAGCCCTCAGACTTCTCTCTTCTGTTTACAGCACGGGACGGTGGCACTGAGTGACGTGACACAGACTGACAACTACGGAGCCACGTAACAAGCATCACTTGTGCACACAGCTCCTGAGGGCCAGGAGGAAACTTTGTCTCCTTGAACATCTAGACTGTAACATCTGCTTGACCAAAATGTCTGATTGGATGATTCCTACGGAACAAAGTCTAGTATAACAAACTCATGCTCCACTGCCCAACACTTAATATTATACTAATAATGCTCAGTGTCTGTGTGGTTCATCTGTGTTTTCAAAATACATCAAAATGTTTAATTAGGCAGTAAATATCTATTCCTTTCCTTCAAAAAAGAGCTTAAAACAAAGGTCATCAAAACATGATTCTAATTTGATCACTTGCCTTCTGAAGTCACATCTCAGACTCAAGCAAAGTGTGGAGTTGTGGCAATTATCTGAATTATTCAGGAAGCAGAATTCTGGCCTAAATCATCACATTCCCAGAGAACAAAGAATATCTGTCAGTTCAGCTGAAAAGCAGAAAAATTGAACACTTTGCTCTTTTTCTACATGAAATAGCATATATGCCACCTTATTTTCTCTGAGCTAATTGGCTAATGAATTCTGTTTGACCCTGAAAAAGCTTAAGAAGATGAAGCCAGAAAGTTAAAGATTCTTTTGCTTTGCAAAAGTTGGAGAGATCTATATTTACCAAAGATCATTTTGCTTTAAGTTCCTGGTGTCAAATTGGAACTTTCTGAAGAATAGAACTTTTTCTTATTTCTCCAGTAATATTTCAGTTAGCCCCACTCTCGGTTCTTACCTTTTCACCTGAAAAGATTCCATATCATGGAATCATTAGTAAAATCAACCGTTGAGAGCTTTTTTTTTATATATCAAAGTTTTCTGGCCAGGCACGGTGACTCACACCTGTAATCCCAACACTGGGAGGCCGAGGTAGGTGGATTGCTCAAGCTCAGTAGTTCGAGACCAGCCTGGGCAACATGGCGAAACCCCATCTCTACCAAATACACAAAAATTAGCCAGGTGTTATGGCACGCGCCTGTGGTCCCAGCCCAGCTACTCAGAAGGCTGAGGTGGGAGGATCACTGGAGCCTGGGAGGTCAAGGCTGCAGTGAGCTATGATCGCATCACAGCACTCCAGCCTGGGTGACAGAGCCAGACCTTGTCTCAAAAAAATTTTTTTAAAGTTTCCTATTCTTTCCAAGTGATGCAGAGTCTGAGAAGTCACTCATAGGTCTAACATTCAAGTTTATAAATTATGCTGTTTCACTTTTGACACCATAATTTAGGATGAAAACCAGGTTTGCGTAAAAAGCCCCTGACTCTCCAAATGGGGAGTTTCACCAGAAACATCAGCGATCCCATTCTGTTCATTACAACAAAAAGTTTCTCCCGGAGGCAAGTTTGGCTTTGAATAAAATCAGATAAACCCAGGTTGGAGGAGGGGATGGTGGTACGGGGGTGGATCCCGTATTGTTTCTTTCTTTTTTGGTAAAACAACAGATCACCAATTAATTAGGATCTGAAAGAACAGAAGTACTCCGCATTTCTAATTTTGAAATCCTTAATGTATAAGTCCTTCTAGGCTCAGAGTTTATATGGCAACACGATATGTTCAGAAGAAAGTCTGGAAGGAGTTTGGATCTCTGTTCTCCAGTTCCTCGGAAGAAAGGATTAGGACAGCGCGGTTGTGTGAGTTCTGGAGCCACCGGGGCTCGGTCAGCACCTCCCCCAGATGACGAGCCATCAGCTGATTCATCTTGATTTCGAAGCTGCTGACACCTGCTCTAAGCACCCTGTCCTGTTTCCATGGTAACTAAGGGAAAGCATCCTTGTCCACATACTTTCGGAACCTCATTAAATCAGGCGGCAGGGCAGCAGCTGTGTTCTCCATGCGTTTCTCTGACAGCCATGAACTAATTTTACGATGCTCAGGTGATTTTGGGTGCTTTCTAGGCCAGACTGTTGAGAATGTGTAGATAGTGGGACAGATGGCAGAATAAATAAATATTGCCAAAGTGTTTAATGCACACACATTTTCTGAAAGGTGCGAACCAACGATAGTAATTTTATTGACTGAGGTAATTTGAAGCCAAATAATGGTTATGAGGAGGATGGAAGCTTTTGGAAAATGTGAACTTGAGGCACTCTTCTGATGCTAAAAATCTCTAAGGAAAATAGTACATCACCAGTGTCACCAGTGTGGTTCTAAGGCAGCTGGTGGCCCAGAATGTGAGGACGTGAAATACAAAACTTTCTCATTTCCACCATCATATTATTTGCTGGATTCAGGAAAATCTGAAGGAAGGTCTTTTTATGCAACACACACACACACACACACACACACGCATGCACACGCGCGCAAGCGCACGCACACACACTCAGCCCAGGAAGTAGACATTTGATTAAACCAAAAAGTCAGTCCAAAGCCCAATTTATACCAAGGGAACATGCAGATTTCACAAACACTGACTCAGAAACCAGATTTTCTCCACTGCTTTTTTTTCCCCAAAGGGGGTTGAAGATATGTATTCAACTGAAAGAAATCTGGGCTGGCCTGACTGATCCAGAACAAACATTGCCTGCTGATTTCCAAAGAGAACCCCAAACCTCTCCATGCTGAGAATGGTGGAGGAAACGTTGGATTTGTTGGTTTTAATGGAGATGACCGACAGCCAGGAGAGAGTCCCAAGCTTCTGCTGTTCTCAGGTGGGATAGAGGGTCGGCATCTTCCCTAGATCTAGGGCTGGACTTCCTCGGCTCCAAACTCTGCCCTGCTGCTGACAGGGCCATGGCCTTGGGCAACTTATCTAACCTATTGGTGCTGTAACTGCTTCACCTGTAAACTGGAAATCATCACAGTTCCTACCTCATAGGGTCATTCTGAGATCGTAACGAGTTCCTATTTGACAAGTGCTTACAACAGTGCCTGGTGCTTATTAAGTGCTTCCTGGGGGTTCACAGATTGGAGTTTTCTTTCTATATTCGTTGTACTGAATGAGCATTGTCTATTTCATAGGCCAATTCCAATTTTTCCATGTAGCAGTTACAAATGAGATGACTTTGGAGAAAGTTAGACCTGCGTCCGAATCCTGGACTGCCACAGATGCACTGGGTGTGTCACCTTGTGCAGTGACGTAACCTCCCTGAGCCTTGGTTTGCTCATCTGTAACAGCAGAACCCACCACCCAGGGTTGGGGGCTGGCGGGTAATGAGGATAAAGTGCGGTGAGGTGAGTGCAGCACATAACTGGTGCCTGGCACACAGGAAGTGCTCCATCCATAAAAGTGATAATGATCACACCATTCGCAGTATTAAGAAGTTATTGCTCATCAAAATAGGTTAATATACTAGGAAAGCTAGGCTTTGTCTTATTTGACAGATAACATAAAAATAATAGAAAGTAATGAAGTGGCCAGAAAGATTCTGCATTGCACATGTGAAATGTGGAGGTAGGAAAGAGATTACTCCTTGATAAATGAGCTCTTGACCTTGTTTGGTGTGGATTCAGCCCTTACAGGAGATTCTGAACTTTTAGCCTTCAAAAATTGCATAACAAAATGTTCTCTGTGTTGAAGAGGTCAAGAATCGTGTAAATTTTTGTGCAATTAGTTAGAACCAGGATACCATTAATAAATATGTCAAGAGTTGGAGCTGTCATTACATATACCAATTCTCTGCCCCTGTTATGAGAAAAGATGTGCCTGGATGATTGTCCAATAAGCGAAATATCATTGTTACTCTGGAATTGGGTAATAGTCATATGTAACCAATTAAAATCCCATTATGAAGAATAGAAAACCCCTACTTTGAGGGTGAGGGGGATCAAGGTTCAAGAATAGAGAAGCAGGATGTACAGGAGGAGAATGTGAGTGGCCACAGTGACCTAGAGTGCTGACTGTCCCTCTGGGGCTTGTTGTCCTTCCTGGAGCAATGGGATCTCGCTGCTTCCCCAGCTCCTCTATGCTGAGCAGGGTTGATTCAGGAGGATCTAAAGAGAATGACATAACTTACGTTATTTTAGGGTATGAACAAACAGTTGTTGACATGTGTCATGCATAAAGTCCTGTGCTAATGGCCAGAGGGACTCGGAGGTCCGTCAGACACAATCCTCGTCCTTGGAGAAGCCTATGGTCAAATGGGAAGGAGTCATGCCTAGAGAGTGAGAGGGTGGACTAGGAAGGGAATAGGATGGAGGGGGTAACATATGTCTTGCAGCAGCCTGTGCTGCTAAGAACTTGGTGCTGGGCTGTAGGAGAGGCCCCTCACACTGCAATCCACAGCAGGGGCCCTTCCGCAGGACCAGGCAGGAAAGAACATTAGCTAGAGGCCCCAGCACCCCCGCTTTCTCCTGCCATTCCTACCTCTTCAACAAACTCCAACCCCCATGGTCCCTTTGGGTGGAAATGTGAGGTTTCTATTATTTTGGCATTACAATTCTCACACCTGCACTTGAGGTCAGGAGGTCAAGACCAGCCAGGCCAACATGGTGAAATCCCATCTCTACTAAAAAATACAAAAATTTGCCAGGCATGGTGGCACACACCTGTGATCCCAGCTACTTGGGAGGCTGAGGCACGAGAATGGCTTGAACCCAGGAGGCGGAAATTGTAGAGAGCCAAGATCGCACCACTGCACTCCAGCCTGGGTGACAGAGTGAGACTCCATCCCCCTAAAATACAAACAAAACCAATTCTCCCCAAAATATGAAAGCAATGTATGCTGAAAAAAATGTATAAAGAAGAAAATTAAAGAAAAAAACCATCCAAAATAATTTTGATACCTTGGTGAATTTATTTCTAATTATTTTTCTCTGTTGTTTGTTTGGTTTTAATGTGGGTGTGATTACATAGAATATTTTTATCTAAGTTTTTCACTTAACATTAAAATAGGTGCATTTTCATGCCGTTATGAAATATTTGTACACATCAGCTTATGACTGCATAATGGTCCATTCTGTTATAATTTAACTAAACATTCCCTTTTTGTTAAGGTCATTTCCTACTCTTTGCTATTGTAAATAATTTGCAAGAAACAATTTTGCATTTAAAAAGTATTTCTGGCCGGGCGTGGTGGCTCACACCTGTAATCCCAGCACTTTGAGAGGCCGAGGCTAGTGGATCACCTGAGGTCAGGAGTTCAAGACCAGCCTGGCCAACATGGTAAAACCCCATCTCTACCAAAAATATAAAAATTGTCTGGATGTGGTGGCACACGCCTGCAATCCCAGCTACTCGGGAGGCTGAGGCAGGAGAATTGCTTGAACCTGGGAGGTGGAGGTTGCAGTGAGCCGAGATTGCACCATTGCACTCCAGCTTGGGTGACAGAGCAAGACTCCATCTCAAAAAAATAAAATAAAATAAAATAAGGAGCATTTCCAAAACTGATATCTTTTTAAAGATATCCCATAGGATGTTTTAATAGATAAACTACAAAAAATAAAAAAGAAGTGTTCTATGCTCCAATTAGTTTGGGAAAAGCTAAGTTAAACAAAGCTGGGTTGAAAAAGTAGGCCTCTTCCCTGCAGAAATTTTCAGAGCCTTTGTACATGCTGTATTGTGAAGCTCTAACAGAGGAATACGTTTCCCAGACCTGTTGGCACAAAATCCTTTCCTTTCAAGGAGAACTTATTAGCAGGACTGACACTTTTCAAAAGAATGAAGATGTATTTATTTTTTCCAAAAAACACAATCAAAATTTCTTTCAGACACATTTTATTTTATGTTATTTTTTTTTTGGCAGTGGCAACAGTGGCATGATCATAGCTCACTGCAGCCTCAACCTCCCAGGCTCAAGTGATCCTCCCACTTCAGCCTCTCAAGTAGCTGGAACTACAGGCATATTCCACCATGTCTGGCTAATTTATGTATATTTTTTGTAGAGATGGGGTCTCTCTATGTTGTGCAGGCTGGTTCAAACTCCTGGGCTCAAGTGACCCTCCTGCCTCAGACTCCCAAAGTGCTCAGATTACAAGCATGAGCCACCACGCCTGGCCCAGACACATTTTAAATGACTAACATATCCCTAATATTGAAATCAGACAAATGCAGCTTAAGATAGGAAAGCTGTAGGTCACTGTCACTCATGAACAAAAATGCAAACATCCAAAATAAAATATTAGCAATTCAGTTACAACAGGATATAAGATAGGTTAAGAATGCAAAGATCATTTACGCTTAGGAACCTCATTAATGCAAATTATTAAATCAAAAGATTAAGGAAGAAAATCTTAAGTGATCATCTCGAGGGACATCAAGACTTTCTACGAAATTTCCAGCCGGGCGCAGTGGCTCACGCCTGGAATCCCAGCACTTTGGGAGGCCGAGGCGGGCAGATCACCTGAGGTCAGGAGTTTGAGACCAGCCTGGCCAACATGGTGAAACCCTGTCTCTACTAAAAATACAAAACTTAGCTGGGTGTGGTGGCGGGCGTCTGTAATTCCAGCTACTTGGGAGGCTGAGGCAGGAGAATCGCTTGAGCCCAGGAGGTGTAGGCCACAGTGAGCCAAGATCACGCCATTGCACTCCAGCCTGGGTGACAGAGCAAGACTCTGTCTCAAAAAAAAAAAAAAAAAAGACATTTTATGAAATTTCAGGGTTATTCTGGCTTTTCAAAAAAGGAACAACTTTTAGAAAATAGCCACAAAACAAAAATTTTGTTAAAATAATATAGAGTATATCTTGGAATACAACAAATTAATATACAATAGTATTGCACTAAAGATATTTGGACTGAAGTTAGGAATGAGACAAGAATGCCTCCTCTAAATACTATTATTGCATACCATGCTGGAGGTGTAGCTAGTACAATAGGACAAGAAAAAAGTTAAAGATAGAAATGTTGGAAATCATCATTAATAACAGATTATATGACTATCTATCCAGAAAACCTAAAAGAATCAACTGAATATTATAATCAATTTTAAAATTTAGTATGCTGACTATTTTCTAAATAGATACAAGATAAATACACAAAATTCAATTGCTTTCCTTTATAAAATTAATAACCAGCTAGAAAATATAAAGGAAACAGAGATGCCATTCAAAAGAGCAATTAAAAGTACAAAATTTAGGGAATTAATTTGATAAATGCATAACTTTGGTATGAAAAGTACTGACAAAGCTTTACGGAAGGCTATTATATTATATCTGAATAGATAGAGACAGATAATGTTTCAGATCAGGAAAGTCAATGTTGTAAAAATGCAACTACTCCTCAAAGCCTATTTAATGAAATTTTCACCACAATCCCAATTTCCTTTTTAGTTTTTGTGTTTGTTGATTTTTTCCCTTAATAAATCAACCCCAAATTTTAACAAAATAAAATTTCAAGAATAACCAAGAACATTTTTAAAATGATTTCACCTTACTGAGATAAAGTAAAAGAGGGGAAAGAGTGTATCCTGGTTAGGGACATAGTCTTGGTACCTTGATTTCAAACAATAATTCAGAAATATTAATATGTTTCTGATTAACAGTTCTGGGGAAAGGGCAATGACTATTAATTGAATAGAAATGTTTGGTAGAAGTTCCTCATTATCTAGGGGAAAATGAAGCAATAGCAACTTCATTAAATAAAAAAATTAGAAAAAGGAAAAAGAGGAAACAAAAATGAAAAATAAACATGGATACAGAAGAATCAGAATCAAGAATATCAGTTTTTACACTAAATATAAAATGTTGAATGACGGATTAAAAGACAGAGAATCAGATTAAGTTAAAATGCAAAACCCAGGCCGGGCGCGGTGGCTCACGCCTGTAATCCCAGCACTTTGGGTGGCTGAGGCGGGTGGATCACAAGGTCAGGAGATCGAGACCATCCTGGCTAACAAGATGAAACCCCATTTCTACTAAAAAAAAATAGAAAATATTGGCCGGGCATGGTGGTGGGCATCTGTGGTCCCAGCTGCTCCGGAGGCTGAGGCAGGAAATGGCGTGAACCTGGGAGGTGGAGCTTGCAGTGAGACGAGATCCTGCCACTGCACTTCAGCCTGGATGACAGAGCGAAAAAAAAAAAAAAATCAAAACCCAGCTCTATGCCGTTTATGAGAAATAAAAGACAACTTTTATGAAAAGGTTGAAAATATGAGTAATCAAAGAGCTAACAGATAAAAGCATATAAAAAGAAAGTTGGCATGGCAATATTAATGTCACAAAATGAAATTTTAGGTTTATAGAGCTAAATGGAATAATGAGGTACATCGTGTAATGATAAATGCAAAATTTATGTAGAAGAGGTAATAGTCATAAATCTGTGTGTACAACAATGTAACAATTAAATACCTTAAGCTGAAACTGTTAAAATGCAAGTAAAATTTAATTTAAAAAATATCAACATGAAAGGAGATAGATCTACTAGGTATAAGGTAAGGATGTAAAGGGATTCACTAATACCATCAATAAACTTGACTTCACCGACATACATTGAGCTTTACATATCTCAAATAGAGAGTACACATTTCCCCCCTGTGTACATGAATCATGGACAAAAATAACTCAAGTCCCACTTGGTCACACTAAAACATCTTAATGAAATAAAAAAGCTTATACTTAAAGGCCACATTATTATGTCAACAAATTTTAAATTATAATTAAATAATTCAACCAAAAATCTTAATTAAGAACCACAATTCCACCTAATCATTGGGTCAAACAGAAAATTATAAGGGGAATAGCAAACTACTTAGACAATAATGAAGAGAACACTTCAGTCTATAAACCTATGACACAGAATAGAAAGCTCAGAAATAAACCCATGCATATACAGTCACCGGATCTTCGACAAGGGTGCCAAGAACACACCATGGGGAGAGGACTGGTTCTTCAATAAACAGTTCTGGGAAAACTGAGTATCCACATGCAAAATAGTGAAATTCGACCCTTGCATTGCACCATACCCAAAAATCAACTCAAAAGGAATTAAAGATTTAAAGGTAAAACCTGAAACCTTAAAACTCCTAGAAGAAAATATAGGGTAAAGCTCCTTGACATGGATCTTGGCAATGATTTTTGGGCTATGACACCAAAAGCACAGGCAACAAAAGCAAGAATAAACAAGTGGACCTACACCTAACTAAAAAGTTTTGGCACAGCATAGTAGCAATCAGCAAAACGAAAAGGCAACCTATAGATTTGGAGAAAATATTTGCAAACCATCTGTCTGATAAGGGATTAATATTCTAAATACATAAGGAACTCATACAATTCAATAACAATAATAAGAAGAACCCAATTTAAAAATGAGCAAAGATGTAAGTAGACATTTCTCCAAAGAAAACATGCAAATGGCCCCTTCTAATAGACACAAAACACACACAGGAAGAACACCATGAAGACAGAGCAGGGTGATGCTTTTACCAGCCAAGTATCACCTTGCTCTCTGCCGGGATGATGGATGGCCAGCAAACCACCACAACCTAGGAGAGAGGCGTGGGACAGAAGTTTCCCCAGAGCCCTCAGAAGAAGCCAACTCTGATGATACCTGGACCTTGGACTTCCAGCCCCAGAAATGTAAGATGATAAATTTCTGTTGTTTAAGCCACTTGGTTTGTGATATTTTGTTATAGCAACCCTAGCAAACTAATACAACAGGAAAATGAAATAATAGATATAAACATTGGAAAAGAAGAGATAGAATTACCTATTTTAAAAAATGATACAATTGGATACTGAGAAGCCCCAAGGGATTTGGGTTTTTTGTTACTAGAATTGATGCTTTAACACCTAACGTGGCTTAATACAAGGCTCACAGCTGGGTTCATCTTATGGGAAGCATTGTCAGGAGTGTGACGGGCAGGAGGAGGATGACAGTGGGGTGTCTTCCTTTCTGCTGGACCGAGAATTGGCAAAGGCTGGCTCCTCTACCAAAGGCTAAGCTCCTCGCCAGATGTCCTCTACTACATTGATAGCCTCAGTGACAGCGTTTTTTCCAGGTCCTACCTTGGAAAACCTTGCCCCACTGCGTTGGCGTCCGGGGGTGCTTCTCTTCTCCTTGTTGACTTCCCTTATTCATGCCCACATCTTAATCAATACTTGATATTTAAACTCTCCTCAGTACCCGACTCGAGTGCACCATGTGTTTCCTGCCAGGACACTAACACAGCACCTGGAAGAAGAAACTGGAAAATTATTGATTTGCAATAGTAACAGAAGCCACAGATACTTAAAAATGAATTCAACAAAAAAGTGCAGTATCTAAAAGAAGAAAACCAAAGACTTACTGAATGATCTAAAAGGAGGTCTGAACAAATATTCTTCTTGGATTAGAAGACAATATCATAAAATGTCAATTCTCCCAAATTAATATAGAAAAGGAATCTAATTTTGATTAAAATCTCAATTAGCTTTTTTTTAGTTGAATAGAATGACATTAAAGCTTATATGGAAGAATAAATGCCCCCAGAACAGCTGAGAAAGTTATGGAAAAGAACAGTGAGTACACTTGCCTTACAAAAGAACAGATCGTGCATAAAGCCCTGCCATCAAGTCACTGTGGTATCAGCTAGGAATAGACAAACAGATCAGTGGAACCGAAGAGAGAACTCAAAAATAGATCTTGACAAATACAAAAATATAATATATGACAAAGATTCATCTCAGTGGAAAAAACATGGATTATTTAATAAACAGTGGCAGTGCAATGGCTGCCTGAAAGAAAAGAGAATTGGATCTCTATCTCACATTGCTTAAAAAATATGATCTAGATAGACTAAAGACGTGAAAGCAAAAAAACCAAAACTCGAAACATTTCCATAAAACCCATGGGTCTACACATACCATCTAGGGGCTCAAGAGGCCTTCACCACTAGAAACCTAGAAGTTATAAATTTAAAAATAATAGAGAGATACATGGCTAGATACAGTTTTCAAACTTTTAGAAGACAAATTGGGCTCTGTATAGAGTCAACAGACAAATCGTAATTTTGGAAACAATTATTTGTCATGCAGCCAACATAGAGTTCGGTGCCAGTTTTGCACTGGAGACGCGGAAGGGAAACTGGAGCAGAAAGGGATTCTTCTTCCTGGCCCGAGGAGGAAGCGGTCTTCTCAGCTGGAACACGTGGAGCCTGCGAGACACCCGCCCCCGACCCCCAAGCAGTGCGCCCCCAGTGGGCAGTCATGGTACTGCCTCTGACTCCAGTTCCCTGGAGGGGAACAAGAAGTTTCCCTCCAGTTCCGTCTTCTCAGCTGGTGTGCCTGGGGCCTGTGGGACCCCTGGCAGTGTGCCACCCACTGGGCAGCAGTGGTACTGCCTCTGCCTCTGCACTGCCGGAAGTTTCCCTCCCGCCGCACTAGCCCTCTTCCTGTTCCTCCTGCACCCCACACCTGTACCAGCCTCATAGCCTCCTCCCCGTGACACCTTCCCACACTTGCTCCAGGTCTCTGCTCAAATGTCACCTCTGAGACATCTTTCCTGAGCACCCTACCTTAAATAGCACTGCTTGCTCCATACCTCTCATTCCCTATTCCCTTTTCTTCATGTCCCCTCTGACTTACCAAATATTTATGTGTTTGTTTATCTTCTGACTCCCTCCTGGGATGTGAGCTCCGCCAGTGTGGAGACTTGACCAGCTTGGCTCACTGTCACATCCTCAGTGCCAGCAACAGTGCCTGGTAGGCAGAAGATTTTCAGTAAGCTTCTCTTACTGAACAAATGAATCACTTTACAGGCAGCTTACTAGAAACAAGTTTAAAAAACTCCATATTCATACCTGGCATTTTTAGGGAGGAGCATAAAAGAATATATATACATTGTAAATTGTTACAGTCCTTTAAAAATTCTACCTGGAAACATTGATCAAAATTGAACATGCATGTATCACCCAATTCTGTGAATCTAACCTACCAAAATAAAAGCAGGACATAAAGACATATATAAAAGGGTGTTTATTTGTGCAGTGTTTAGGAAAAAAAATTTAAGGAAATTAAATATCCCCTGTTAGTAGCAGAATGACTGAGAAACTTGTGGTACATCCACATTATAAAATATTAAGCAGCACTTTAAAATAAATTAAAGTTACACTGGTTTTGGAGGGATATCCGTGTTGTTGAGTTTTAAAAGCAAGATGCAGAAATATGTGCATAATATGATCATTTATATGTATAAGTATTAAACATCTTTAATAGAATAAAATTATTAGCATTAAAAACTGTTGTTTGCCGACAACATAAAATGAGTGCATACAATGTACTGAGAAATAATGCACACATACCAGGGAATTAAAAACAATTGTTCCATATAGAAAAGATGTTACTTTGTTGATGACTCATACAAAAACAGTTTATTTTCTTATAGAGTTACAAAATGATTACATAACAGAATAGAAATGTGGGAAAATTCCAAGGAAGGGTTGACTCCAAGGCTTCCTTGAGGAGGTAAGAGATGGTTTTAAGAGAAATGAAGGTTTAGGTCAAGAAGGAAGTAAATAGATGGCAAATTTGCTTGCCAAAAGGTTTTTACTTACTGGGCGTATCGGGCTCAAAGGCTCAGGTATATAAGTTTCATGAATTAGGAGAACGTATACTGGAATTTATATAAATCAAAGTGAAAGACTCATTTTGAAATGATATAATTAAATAATTTGCACCATTAGGGATATAATCTTTCAAGAAGTCATGTTGCTGCATCTACTGAAGAATCATGTTCAGCAAGATAGGATGCATTCATTTGGACATAATCATTAGCTGAAAACTGCAATGTAGAGATCCCTGATAAACAGAGAATGTGATTAACAAAGAAAATGAAGAATCTATTTGTAGTAATAAGAACAAAAATGGAATTGTCTGTAGAGTCAGCTATTTTCAATGTTCCCAAACTCCATCTCCTCATCAATGTGTGTATTTCAGAATGTCAGATTGTGCAAAACCTAATGAGGCTGGCCATGGCCGATTGTACAAGGAGAGTCAATGTCTATTGAAGAGACAAGTAATTATCAAATACTTTTTAAAAAATCTTAAATGTATGAAAAAATTGCAAGTATAGTGCAAAGAACTATTTTTAGGAACCAGAGAAAGTCGCCAATAAGAATATTTAGTAAGTATTGTGTATTTCTACAGACAAGGGTATTCTACATAAATAAAATTCAACCATACACTCAGGAAATTAACACTGATATAACACTGTTATCTGACCCCCAGATGACATTCAAGTTTTTCTAATTGTCCTGATAATGACCTTTATAGCAAAAGGATCCAGTTCAGAGTCACATGTGATAGTTGTCATTTCTCTTTAATCTCCTCAGTTTTTCTTTCCCTATGATGACCTTCACACTTCAAAGTTTACAGGCTAGTTATTTTGCAGAATTTTCCTCAATTTGGGTTTGATATCTCCTCAAGATTAGATTCATGGTATGTATCTGTGGCAGGAATGCCATAGACATGAGGCTGCTTCCTCTCAGGGGGCACAAAATCTCAATTTGTCTCATTACTTATTTTGCTCACTTTGATCACTTGATTAAGGTGGAATCTGCTCGACCTTTTTTTTCTATTTGTAATTAATTTTTCTATTTGATTTTGTTTTTTTCCTCTTTGTAATTAATAAGTATTTTGTGGGGAGGTAATTTGAGACTATGTAAACATCCTACCTCATCATACTTTCAATTTATTCATTTATTTATATCAATGTGGACTCGTGGTTTCCTATTTTATCCAGTGGGTCATAATCCATTACTAAAATGATGATTTAGTTTGACCCTCAAATTGTCCTAGATTTGGCAATGAGAGCCCCTTCAACCTGGCTCCTGTGTCTTTTTGGCATAATCCCATCATTTCTTAAGTACTTTCTTAGTTTTGGGCACGACAAGAAATTCCAAGCTCATTTTGTTCTTTCTCTGTGCCAGCCATGAAAGCAGCCATCTCTTCAGGGAGCCCAGGTTTCTTTCAGCAAGAATGGAATTTAGAAACCAATATCTAGGTGCTGGGTGTGCTCAATGCTATTGGAATGTCCCTGCTTCCAGGTTCTCTTGGTGGACAGAACTAGGAAATATATGTACACACACATACACACATTGACATTGACATTTGTTTCTCTTTCTGTATACATTGAAAACCATGTGTTCACACCAACACTCACAAGTTTTCAGCTTTCTTCTTTTCGATAATTGCAACTCCTTTCTCTGGCAACAAGAAACCTGGCTCCCATTATCCTTAACCTTAAGTATTTATTTAATCAGAGTCCAATGTGAATGCCCTCCTCATGCACACGGGCCCTGACAGCCCTCATCAACCTGTCTCCACCCCCCACCCCATGAAGATATCCTTCTTATTTATTTATTTATTTATTTATTTATTTATTTTTATTGATCATTCTTGGGTGTTTCTCACAGAGGGGGATTTGGCAGGGTCATAGGACAATAGTGGAGGGAAGGTCAGCAGATAAACAAGTGAACAAAGGTCTCTGGTTTTCCTAGGCAGAGGACCCTGCGGCCTTCCGCAGTGTTTGTGTCCCTGGGTACTTGAGATTAGGGAGTGGTGATGACTCTTAAGGAGCATGCTGCCTTCAAGCATCTGTTTAACAAAGCACATCTTGCACTGCCCTTAATCCATTTAACCCTGAGTGGACACAGCACATGTTTCAGAGAGCACAGGGTTGGGGGTAAGGTCACAGATCAACAGGATAAGAATTTTTCTTAGCATAGAACAAAATGAAAAGTCTCCCATGTCTACCTCTTTCTACACAGACCCGGCAACCATCCGATTTCTCAATCTTTTCCCCACCTTTCCCCCCTTTCTATTCCACAAAACCGCCATTGTCATCTTGGCTCGTTCTCAATGAGCTGTTGGGTACACCTCCCAGACGGGGTGGTCTGGGCAGAGGGGCTCCTCACTTCCCAGTAGGGGCGGCTGGCCGGGCGGGCGCTGTCCCCCCCACCTCCTTCCCGGACGGGGCGGCTGGCCTGGCGGGGGCTGACCCCCACCTCCCTCCTGGAAGGGGTGGCTGCCGGGCGGAGACGCTCCTCACTTCTCAGACGGGGCAGATGCTGGGCGGAGGGTCTCCTCACTTCTCAGACGGGGCGGCCGGGCAGAGACGCTCCTCACCTCCCAGACGGGGTCGCGGCCGGGCAGAGGCGCTCCTCACATCCCAGACGGGGCGGCGGGGCAGAGGCGCTCCCCACATCTCAGACGATGGGCGGCCGGGCAGAGACGCTCCTCACTTCCTAGACGGGATGGCGGCCGGGCAGAGACGCTCCTCACTTTCCAGACTGGGCAGCCAGGCAGAGGGGCTCCTCATGTCCCAGACGATGGGTGGCCAGGCAGAGACGCTCCTCACTTCCCAGGCGGGTTGGCGGCCAGGCAGAGGCTGCAATCTCGGCACTTTGGGAGGCCAAGGCAGGCGGCTGGGAGGTGGAGGTTGTAGCGAGCCGAGATCACGCCACTGCACTCCAGCCTGGGCACCATTGAGCACTGAGTGAACCAGACTCCGTCTGCAATCCCGGCACCTCGGGAGGCCGAGGCTGGCGGATCACTCGCAGTTAGGAGCTGGAGACCATCCCGGCCAACACAGCAAAACCCCGTCTCCACCAAAAAAATACAAAATCCAGTCAGGTGTGGCGGCGCGTGCCTGCAATCGCAGGCACTGGGCAGGCTGAGGCAGGAGAATCAGGCAGGGAGGTTGCAGTGAGCCGAGATGGCAGCAGTACAGTCCAGCTTCAGCTCGACATCAGAGGGAGACCGTGGAAAGAGAGGGAGGGGGAGACCGTGGGGAGAGGGAGAGGGGGAGGGGGAGGGGGAGGGGGAGGGGAAGTTTTTCGAAGATATCCTTCTTTACCCATTCCAACATCCTGCACTGGGCAGCTGCCTTCCCCTGAGTGTGGACACCCACGTCACTCCAGTGGGGTGCCACATCCCTGCTCTGGGCCCCTGTAGCTCTGCCAGTTCCATCCCCTGCACAGATGTCTACCTTGTTCAACCCTACCTGTGGGCTTTTGCATTGAATTTCTATCAACCTCTTTGCCAGTCTATACTGGCTTAGTAAGCTATTATAATCTAAGTGGGCTTTCTGGGGGCTGCATAGTCTCAGAAAATTGGGGGTATCGTTTAAGGGAGCCTCCAATGGGGCCTGAGAGAGGCAGTCACTTCCTCTACCTCACCTGGCCAGCCCGAATGAAAGTTGTCATTGGGCTCAGATATAACACAAATGTGTGGGTCCAGCTGTGACCCCCACACTACAAAGCCTGGATGAAGGGCCCTTGCAGCAGAATGGCTTTTGCCATCTTCCAACACTTTCCACAGAAAATGATACCTTTTCCTGACCCATCCCTTCTTAAGTTTGGCTGGAGACAGAACTTGCCCGGGTGTAGCTGCCTCAGGGGACATGAGATGGAACGGAGCCTTCTGCTCACACCCACCTCCCCAAGGGATTGAACTGTCCTTCTGTCTTGCTGTGCACCATTGAAAGACTAGGAAACAGAGAAGGGAAAGGCCTCAGTGGAAAGGTTCTTGAATGTAGATCTGATATTTCAAATATGATAAAGATACTATTGTCTTTTGCCACTCAATGCCTGAGGGTGAAACTGAGTGAACTTAATGTATCATGGAAATCATTATGAGATAATTTTGATTGCTAAGTCATTCCATCTACACTGGAAATTGTTAACAAGCATTGTCCATACTCATAAACATTTAATATTTTATAATTTTTATTTTATGCCTATAATAAAAATGATTTAACTGTGTTGTCTTATATCTGAGAGGTTTGGAAATGTTTGTACTTGGATGATTACATTTTTTGGCTCTCTGACACTTATTTGAAAGGATATCATTTCTCAGTTTTCTTTTTCTTACATTTCAACAAAATGATACAGTGAGGAGGAAAACTGACCGTACTCAGGGAACTTAAATAACTGTGAGAACATTCCAGTCACAGGTTCAGATGTGTTCATAAGAAACCCGAGGTGTAAGTTTGTCACGGCATTTGCAGGTTTCTGTTTCTCAGGAATCATCTTTTATTTTGATCACAGTCACCCAAGCTCCATCTCCAGAGGCCAGCAGGGATTTAGCCGGCCTGTTGTGTCTGAGAATCTCCCTCACACACAAAAGAACATTCCAGCAACTCCAAGATGGGGTCCAGAGAGCATCTAGGCATGGTTTAGAACCCCGCCTAGTGAGGCATGTTAATACAGAGCATTCCTCTCTTTGTTTTAAATATTTATTTATTATTTTTATTTTTTTTGAGACAGAGTCTCGCTCTGTCACCCAGGCTGGAGTGCAGTGGTGCAATCTCAGCTCACTGCAACCTCCGGCTCCCAGGTTCAAGTGGTTCTCCTGCCTCAGCCTCCCGAGTAGCTGGGACTACAGGCACCCACCACCAGGCTGTGCTAATTTTTTGTATTTTTAGTAGGGAAGGGATTTCACCATGTTGGCCAGGCTGGTCTTGAACTCCCAACCTCAGATAATCCACCTGCCTCCCAAAGTGCTGGAATTCCAGGCATGAGACACCGTGCCCGGCCTTAAATATATATATTTTTAAATCCAGATCACTTTAAGCTTTTATTTTATTTTTATCTATTTGCTTCAGCTTAAAAAAAACGTTTTAACCTGGATGGCTTCAGGGAAGCCAATGCCTGGAGCGCAGCCACCGTCGTCGCTAAGGCTTTTTGCAGCTCCCCCAGGGACTGATCTGACTGGGGGAAGCAGAGAGAAAATGATTCTTTGTGCTTCCTGTACTCAGATTGGAATGTCTGCCCCTTGCCTCTGCATATCTCAGACC
The DNA here is from genome assembly GCF_000001405.40 of Homo sapiens. Lineage (NCBI taxonomy): Eukaryota > Metazoa > Chordata > Mammalia > Primates > Hominidae > Homo > Homo sapiens. The sequence continues at coordinate 125,515,763 of NC_000010.11, read as the reverse complement.
AGGGATCCTTCAAGGCCTGCTCCTCACAGCCGGAAGCCACCCTCCCATCCTTGGAAGGGAGGTTTTCCCTCTGGAGCCTTGCTGGTGGCACTCACCGCTAGAGACAAAGCAGGATGGCCGTTCCTGTCTGGTGTCCCACCCTCAGATCTCTCTGGGTGACTTTCACTTCTTGAAGCCAAATACTGAATTGCATTCCACCTCAGCAGCCCATGAACAGTTGAATGAATGCAGGAAAGGAGACAATCAAGGGGAAAGGCAGTGTCTGGAGGAAAGAGCACGATGTCGTTATCACAGAGATGATGATCCTTCTCCCTCATTTTCATAAGTGTGAGGCATCTGAGCTAAGGAGAGGAAATGTCTTGCCAGGCAAGGGTGGACGCTGCTCTCCAATATCCCCGTAGCCTTGGCTGAAATATTCTGAAATTCTCCTCCTGAAATCTTTATAGCTTGGAAATACCTGTGAAGAATGAGAAAAGTGTTCACTGCTTCAAAGTCAGCTCAGGCCCTGGGAAGTGAAACGTGAGATAAAAACCCAAATCTTTAAAGAGAAAAAAGCCCTGTTGGTTTGCTGAAGACAGAAACAGGTGAGAATGCAGCATGATGACGACAGAGAGCCCGGACCACATCTAGGGACACACTCCACCCACGCCTTCCAGCCCCACCTCAAAGGTGACTGTGAACCCTGCGACGTTGACAACAGCCGCACTGAGGGTGCGGCAATGAGGCTGTGCCCGCCAGCGGCAGTCGGAGGCATGGTGGCCTTGGGGCTCCTCTTTCTCTCCTCCCAATTGTGTGTCATGGTATTTTGGCCTCCAGGCTTTGGCCACTCTCCAGCCATCTCCTCCCTGCTTACAAAAGAACTGGGCTGAGAGGGCAAATTGGGACCAGAAAAGTTTTTTTGGAACTTCTTCTGGCGACAAGCCTAAAAGGCCATTAAAGCTAAAAGCCATGTAATTTTTCTGTTGGGCAAAGAATGGAGTGAGGGTCTGGTTCTACTTAGGAAGTAAGATTTCTGCTTTTGTGGGAAGCCGGTGGTAGAAACAAACCATTTTGTGTTTTCAGTTTTACAATCATTTCCTCTACTCTGCTAGGTGGAATAAATAATTGTGTTCCATTATGATGGAAATAGTCATTTCATTCACATCAGAAAGCCTCTGGCAGCTTGGAAACAACAGACAATAGGCATCCATGCTGGTATCATAAGTACTAACTTTTCCAAGTGTGTATCTTTAAAGAATGTTAAAGAATAAAGACATCCGGTAAAGGTCAAATTCATGTTCTTATTTAAGGACGGTGTTCATTTGACATTTTGGTTGAGGAAAGACAGTTTCTCTGCTACTCAGAGAGGAAGTAAAAGTTGTCTAATGGCAGATGTAGTCGTTGCTGTTAAACAAAGGCCCTGATATTAACTTCGCCTCTGTTCTAAATCACTGGGGGTGGAGGGGACAGCCTGGTCTTTGCCAGATGAATAAAGACAAACGGTCAAGTAAAATAAAGCATCTTCCTCTCCATGAAAAGACAAACACAAAAACTACTTTAAATGAAACAGTTTTTGACAGATGTCTTTTAGCTTTAAAACAAACACATACACAACCTGAAAAAAAAAAGTCTTTTGGAGGAAAAAAGGAAGGAAAATATTGGCAGAACACACTGCAGATCTCAAATTTTGTGCAGACTTGCGAGGAATGAAATGCATGACAAGACGCTGATGTGGGTTTGGACAGCTTGACTTCACTGGTGCTGTACGAAGACAGTGAGAATCATGTAGACTGGCTTAACACCTTAAAGTGCAAAGTCATTGTCAAAAAGGAGTCTTGAATTGGTTTCTACATCTCCTTCTCTAGCCACTTAGTCCCTGGTACAGAGTCATCAAGGTGTCACCGGCTGCTGGGCTTGCGGGGGTCAGGCCTGGCCTGAAGTCCAGCCTCTGATGGCCTTTGGGTGCAAATCTCCACTTGCCCACATAGCAGGCACTGTCAGTCCCACATCAAAATCCTCCTGGCTCTTTCTGCAGCTGTGGGAGCAAGTCAGTTTCTGCTGAGTTTAATTCATCTTCCTCTTACAGAATGTGTTTGGGTCCAGCTAGGAAAGATCAATGCCTCCCCTGTGTGCTTTCGACCAGCAAGGAAATGAGCAGAGATGTTTTCAGTTGTCCGCAGCTCCGACTGTCTCTGGACAGCTCTGTCTTCCTGGCCGTGAGTCTCAGCCACTCCTGCATTCAGACTCCGGCTGGTGTAGGTGGAATTCGATTCAAGAAAAATCACCTGCCCACCTGCCCTCTTCTTGACATGATTATTCCAGCTGAAACATTCTGTTACTTGCAGAGCCCTTATTATAAAGTCTTTACTGTCTATTTGTTGTAAATAACTACCATTTCAAGTTGCCAGAAACATTCTTTTATGTAAGGTGATTGGCATATCTTTCTTTAAACAATGATCTAAAAATTTATTTTACAATTCATGAAAAGAGTAAAGTAGGTAATTATTATTGTAAAAGTAATGAATTTGAATATAATTTTCAAAAATTCATTTTGCCACAATTAAGGGTATATACTCTGCATTTATTGCTGATACATACATAAGAGCTGAGATTCCCCCCCTTCATTAAAGAAAGAAGAATCCAGAAAGCCAGGCATTAACTGAGCAAGCACTTGAGTTATGAGCTCTATCGTGTTTTGGGGGAAAGAGGAAAGAGGCCAAGAATGAAAATATCTCATTGCAGCTAAAAGGAGAGAATCAACTCTTTTGAGTTTTGCTCAAGGAGGTTGCTGTGCTTATCATCACTATGGAAAATATCCTCCATCAGCTTATAAGTAAGTGGGCTGCCAACTCAAACGACACTTTTGTGAATGACTCTTCATGTTTTATTTTATTGGAATTTTGGGGAGGTACAGGCTTTGATCAAATCCAAATACTATTTTCTGACTCCTAACCACCGAAAACTATGAATGTAAATGTATCAAATGAAGCCAGGAGTGGTGGTACACACCTGTAATCCCAGCACTTTGGGAGGCTGAAGTGGGCAGAATGCTTGAGCTCAGGAGTTTGAGACCAGTGTGGGCAACATAGGGAAGCCTCATCTCTACAAAAAATTACCAAAATTAGCCAGGTATGGTGGCACATGCCTGGAGTCCCAGCTACTTGGGAGGCTGAAGTGGGAGAATTGCTTGAGCCCAGGAGGTCAAGGCTGCAGTGAGCCGTGATCACACCACTGCACTCCAGCTTGGGTGTCAGAGTGAGACCCTTTCTCAAAAAAACAAAAAAAAAAGTATCAAATGGAAACTCCACTATGACACGCTTTTATCAATGGGCAGGATGAATAAATATGTCTTTTTAAAAAATTCAATAAATATTTACTGAGCACCCATTGTGGGTGAAACGCTATGGTAGGCATTGGGGGTTTAGCCACAAGCAACGCTGACCCAGTTTCTGTCCCTGTGGAGTTTATAATCTGGTGGAGAATAAATAAGCGATGACAACATTGAGATGAGAAGAGTTACAGGGGCAGAAGCACAAACAAGGGTATCTAACCCAGGTTTAGGGGATCAGGGAAGGCTTCCAGGCAGAAGGGGCCTCTTAGTTGAGACCTGAAGGATAAGTTGGATTTAACCCAGCAAAAGTGGGGATGGAAATGATGAGGAAGAAGCCCAGGCCAAGAGAAAACAGTGTGTGCAAAAGTACAGGGAGGAAAGGAAACCCTGGACACTTGGAGAAATGAAGGTACTGAGGGGTGATTGCAACAGAGAGTCCAAAGGATGGAGGAAAAAGAGGTTAAAATGATAGATATTTTCAAACATCTGAGGGACAGTCATGTGGAAGAAAGATTAGGTTTGCCTGTGCAGCCAGCTGGTTCCGGGGGCCCAGAACCAGAATCAAAGGGTAGAAATCCCAGTGAGGACATTGACTAAAAATTAAATTAAAGTAATGGCTTCCACTGATTTAGCCCTTCAGACATACCAGACACTGTGTTAAAAAGGGTTATACCCATTATATCACTGGATCCTCAAAACAAGCCTGTGAGGTAAATGTTGTTAGAAAACAGATGCAGAGAAGTTAAATGAACCAGCTTAAGGTCATGTCACTGGGATGGACAGAGCTGGGGCTCCAGAGCACCATGACTCAAAAGCTGCAATCGTGCTCTCAGCCGCCACCCTCAAGCTGCTTCCTTGTGAGAATTATGTGGTCACAGAGTAAATGTGTGGCTCTAGAAATTTCCCATCACAGAAGGAGTTTAACCATTTGGCTGGGATGGTGCAGAGGATTTAAATATTAAGGATAATCCGTAGACTTCCGAGGGACTTCCAATTAGGAGATTCAGGGATTCAACGACGTGTCAACGGTGGAATATATAAGACAGCCCTCAAAGAAGACCGCCCTCTCCATGTTGGGCAGTTTGATTGTCATGTGTGTAATGGACAGCTTGCAGAGCCACCCTCCTGGTGTGCCTTGAAGGGAGGCATTCTCAGTCTCCATCCATGCAGAGGAGAGGGATGACCTGAGCACCGCGACGGGGGCGGGGAGGGGCGTAGTGAATTGGACCGAATTAGGGCAGCACAGCCCTCTAATAAAGACACGCATCTTTCACAAACATCTGCTTTCACTAATGTTGGCCTTGGGCAGTATTAAATTATGTATTCAGCTCTTAAACTATCACAGATTCATGTTTCAAAAACATAACTGTGAGAAAATATTGCACTACTAGCAGAAACAAAACGGCTCTGCTAATTTTGCATTAACATTTTTGGGTGCACTTCTATAATAATTCTTCATTTTCTTTCACATTAGAAGACACTGTGGGAGACTACCTAGGTTAGAATGCAAAGGAACTTTTTTTTTCCTGTATGGATTATTGCCAAAAAGAATTAAAAAGAACCGTTTTTGCTCACCATTCAGTGAAGAGGACCCAAATAAATAATAATAAATTATACAATGTGTTAGAGGCAGAGAAATCTTAGTGAACTTTCCCAACTTGTTTTCTAAAATGCTCAGAAATTTATTTTCTAAAAAGCTGCCTTTTATTTACAGAGAGTGTTCCTCTGTATTAGTTCGTTCTCACACTGCTGATAAAGACATACCAGAGACTGGGCAATTTACAAAAGAAAGACACTTAATGGAGTCATAGTTCCACATGGCTGGGGAGGCCTCTCAGTCAAAGAGGAAGGTAAAAGGCACGTCTCACGTAGCGGCAGACAAGAGAAAAGAGAGCTTGTGCAGGGAAACTCCCCATTGTAAAACCATCAGATTTTCTAAGACTTCTTCACTATCACAAGAATAGCATGGAAAAGACCTGCCCCCATGATTTAATTACCTCCCACCAGGTCCCTGCCACAACACGTGGGAATTGTGGGAGTTAAAATTCAAGATGAGATTTGGGTGGGGACACAGCTAAACTATATCATCCTCTAAGAGCTCATATCATTATCTTCTTGATGTGTACACTGGGTAGGCTGGCTCCATCCCTGTCCTAGCATTTTCTTGAAACAGAAAATCACAGCCTGAGGACTTCACCTTTGAATTTTAGAAAGACAAAGGGTTGTTGAGGACAAAGGTGGATTCTCTCTTTGCTCATCAACTCTGATGTACTACCCAGTACTCACAGTCCCTTATTTTCCCCAAGCACTACTGTTTCTCAGGAAGAGGAAGATGTAAGAAGAAATTAGGCAGAGGTAGAGGGGAAAGAAACATGTGGACAATTGCCTGGAAATAAACAACCCTGCAGCAGCATAGAGATAGAATTAAAGTCATTAAAATAAGATGGTCATAATAATATTATATTTTTGGGGACTGTGGCTTGACCTCTTAATGGTTAACAGTGTTGGTGTCCATGACAGCATGGCCAGTGTCTTAATTTTTAAGCCCCGGTTCCTAGCCCACTAGAAATTTCTGAAATGTCTGTAGACTTTGATTTGAGACAGAGTTTCACTCTGTAGCCCAGGCTGGAGTGCAGTGGCACAATCTTGGTTCACTGCAACCTCTGCCTCCCGGGTTCAAGCGATTCTTCTGCCTCAGCCTCCCAAGTAGCTGGGATTACAGGTGCATGCCACTATGCCTAGCTAATTTTTGTATTTTTAGTAGAGACGGGGTTTCACCATGTTGGCCAGGCTAATCTCAAACTCCTTACCTCACGTGATCTGCCCACCTCAGCCTCCCAAAGTGCTGGGATTACAGGTGTGAGCCACCGTGCCCAGCCTGTAGACTTCTTTTCTGAGAACTTGCACATCCCTTTTCTGATCTTCTCCTCCCCACAAAGCTGGGAGGAAATAATTTTTTGAGAAGGAAAACATTTGAGAACTGAGGAGCACTGTCTCATGACTGCCAACCCAAAATCCTAGAACTTCAGAGGCCTAGTCCAAGGGACTTTCTGTGACACCAAATAAATGTGTCTTTTTTCCCTTCCCCATTGTGAATGGAAAGATGCATGCACAGGTTGACAAACAAAAAGTTAGACAGGTTAAACAGATACCAACGTAGACTCTTTCTCCTGGGAAGGGAAAAAGATTACACTGTGCATCTCTCTTTCATAAATAATGCCAGTTTGGCAGGCAGAAAAATAAATCTCTGGTATCAGGAAATGCCAAGAGGTCACACAAGATAGTATGTGCCCATTCCCAGCTTCACCTCATGCTTCTCTTTAGCCTGTCTTCCATTGTCATCTGAAAAAACACAGCTTGATCTTTAGACCTCATCTGGCGTTAGCCATGCCTGCAAGAGTTGGGTACCTCTTCCCGGTAGCTGGGACTGTCCTGTAGTTCGTGGACTCTTCTAGGAAACAAACAACAGCTGAGGGCCTTTTCTGTTTTGGAGGCACCTTGCTCAGGAGACCTTCTTACAACATCTGCCCTGAAGTAAGGAATGGGCCTTCCTCCTCATCTTCTGGAAACACGTGAGCCTTGAGCTTGTCCTGAACACTCGAGTCTCTTTTCAAGTATCTGGAAACAGTTGGAGGGAATTTTTACCTTGGCCAGAGAAGCCACTGTTGTATTCCCTTTTGCTCTCTCATCTCTGGGCTCTTGCTTGAATGTATTGAGTGTAAGCTAGTGCTGACCCTGGCCAAATGGCAGCCAACACCCACAGCTGTGCTTCTGTGGGGTGGAGACGCAACTGAAAAGTGTCCATGAGGGCAGCCCCAAGCGTTTGGGAGACAGGCATAAATAGACTGCAGGCTGAGTAGGGAGGCTGGAAGGTGGGCTCATACTCACCCATCAGGAGGCCTATTTGGAGGCCATGTCTACCCCAGAAGCCACCAGGAGTAACAGAGGAATCCATTGTCTGCCTCCCCAGTGGACTGAATTGAGCCCAGTAGAAAGGGAACACAGGAAGGCAGAAAGGAAATCAGCCTTGTTGAAGAACAAGGACAGCATCATAAGGCCAGAGGCAATTGAGAAAGCCGGGGTCACCACAGTGTGGCCAGATGGAGTTTTTCTTCCCAGAAGAAATAAAACCAACATGTTGGAGATGATGGCCTCTGACCTCCATGTCAGTAAAGGCAAGAAAAGAAAGCACAGGACTTGGGGAAAGGAGGGGAACATGGGTTGTTAGCAGCTAACGGTTCGATGTGTTGGATGGCCCAGGGAAGTGAAAGCCACCATGAAGGCTACTTTTATAGGAGCCTTCACCAACCTGGGCTGTGAATCTGGCCTGAGCATGAAACAAAAAATTCCATTTCAAATGGACTCACCTGAGTTAGACCACAACCCAGAATACAGTGTCCTCAAGTTTTTACATTTAGTCATATGTCAAGATCACATTTTATGAAATTCTATGCAAGATCCTATGGTTTTTGAGTATGATAAATGTAAAAAACATTAATGGACAGACTGATATACAACAAGGTGTAGCTCAATAATGTGACATTTGTTAAAATGACATTTAAAAAGTTATTACTGCTTGTAAATAGTAAAAACAATTCATGCTTCGTCTAAGTTATTCTTTTACCACAAGAAATGAATGTAGGGCTTTGTTAGTCTGTGGATGAGACAGGAGCCATAATGAGCCATTTGAGAAAAGACCACATTGGCGTAAACTAAATAAAGGAAACTCAAGATGCAACTGAAGTTCGGGAAAATAAGCGCCATCACTTACAAAATACTGAGATGTTACATGTCAAAGTTTGATGAGAAAGGTTTGGGGGCTTACAGAAAAGTCTGCACATGTGGAAATAGGATCTCCAGGCCATACTCAGAATTCCAGAGTTAACCATGAAAGCTGTCACATGGTCCCGGCTTCCTTTTTCTGGGAAATAGTTGTACATTATGGCTGTTTGTGACTAAAATGTAGTTATATGACACAATATTCTCATCAGAGCCCTCTTCCTCTGTGTCCAGGCATCTGAATTACATCCGCAATATGCCTTCAGGCATATTACATACAATTAGGGAATCTTCTTTAGAAGCTCATTTTTTCCAAATATGTAATTTTGGCTGAACGATATTAAGGGATTTTTTTAAAAAGATATCATTACATTAACTGAAATTATTACTATTTTAATTTGCCTGCAAAGCCTTCATTTCAATATTGTTTCTTATAAGTTGTAACTTGGTGGGTGTCATAATCCTGATAGAATTTTAGCTACTTGATAGCCTGAGACATTTTGGAGGAATCATTCCCAACAGAAAATCAGTTTAATGAGCACTTCTGGTGTTAACTGTGAACAGCTATTTCCCACACTCTTGAAGTACATGACTAAACCAGGGGCTTATGCCACCTTTTAAAATGTAACACCTGGTGTTCTGTTCCTCCCCACTCCTGACCTTAACAATCATCTTTGAGTAATGCCTAGCCAATTTATGGAATTGATGGACTACAGAAAAAAACAGAGGCGCTGAGCAAGCTTCCTGAAATAGCAAATTCTGAGATGAATTTTTAGAACAACCACGTTAAGATGCAATACAATGAAACGTTCTCTTATAATTTTCAACCAGCCAAGACTTTGCCAAAAGGGTATTATTTGTTGGAGAAAATGACATCCCTGGGGATGCAGAAAGCAAATCGCTGATAGTAATGGAAATATCTAACCGCTCACTACATTATCTCTTCAACAAAAACTGGTGAAAACCTGGGACACACTGTTCTGTGAAATATGAAATGTTCAACATACATCCTACATATGGTGTTCTTGTGGTCAAGGTGGTGCTTGAAATTTTTCCCCTCTGCTCCAAACACAGCAATGACAAAATATGCAGTCAATGTTTCTTTTTTTTTCTTTCATTTATTTAAATATTTTCATTTTACTTTAAATTCCAATATACATGTGCGGAACGTGAAGGTTTGTTACGTAGGTATACGTGTGCCATGGTGGTTTGCTGCACCTATTGAACCTCTAAGTTCTCTCCCCTCGCTCCCCAACCCCCAATAGGCCCCGGTGTGTGATGTTCCCCTCCCTGTGTCCATGTGTTCTCATTGTTCAACTCCCACTTATGAGTGAGAACACGCGGTGTTTGGTTTTCTGTTCCTGTGTTAGTTTGCTGAGGATGATGGCTTCCAGCTTCATCTATGTTCCTGCAAAGGACATGATCTCACTCCTTTTTATGGCTACAGCAGTCAATAAATATTTCATATGTATTTTACAAATTAAATTACATGTGAAATATATAAATTTAAAAGGATGGCTATGCTAAAAAATGAGCTAAACATCCCTAGGGATCAGAAAAAGAGCTACAAAGCAGAAAGAGTGGGGCACTACAGCAGGCAGGGGTGGTGAAGATTTAATTCCTGTAGAGTGACCTAGACAGGGGCATCCTATGTGCAGCTGGAGACCAGAGTTTGGCTTTCTTCACACAACTGAGGGCTGGGTCAAGCTTTCTAATACGTGAAAGGAGACAGGAAAAGCCCTAATTAGTGTTACCTGAATGTGACAGTGGTGGAAAGAAGCAGAGGGAACAGCAATGGCAGCACTTAGCCCAGTGGCTGGCCCTGGGATGGCACCGATAGCACAATGGGACTAGACACTGAACTACCAGGCTGAGTCCTGGATCCTACAGTAGAACTCCTTTCAAAAGTGGAGTGAATCCTCTCAGACCCTGCCACTGCCTTATCAACTACGTTTGTTCTAAATCCTTTGTTGTTATTTCAAAAATATTCACAGCATCTTCATCAGGAATAAATTCCTTTTCAAAAACCACTTTATTTGCTCATCCATAAGAAGCAACTCCTCATCTATTCAAGTTGTATCATGAGATTGCAGCAATTCAGTCACACTTTCAGGCTCCATTTCTAATTCTAGTTCTCTTGCTGTTTCCAGGACATTTGCAGTTACTTCCTCCACTGAAGTCTTAAACCCCTCAAAGTCAACCATGGGGATTGGAATCCACTTCTTCCAAACTCCTGTTAATGTTGATATTCTGACCTCCCATTAATCATGAATTTTCTTAATGGCTTCTAGAATGGTGAGTTTTGTCCAGAAGGCATTCAATTTACTTTGTCCAGATCCATCAGAGGAATCATTATCTATGGAAGCTATAGCCTTACAAAATATATTTTTTAAATAATAAGAGTTGAAAGTCAAAATTACATTTTGATCCATGGGCTGCAGAATGAATATTGTGTTAGCAGGCTTGAAAACAACATTCATCTCCTTGTACACCTCCTTCAGGGCTGCTGAGTGAGCAGATGCATTGTAAATGAGTGACAATATTTTGAAACAAATCTCTTTTTTCTGAGAAGTAGGTCTCAATAGTGGGTTTAAAATATTCAGTAAACCATGCTGTAAACAGATGTGCTGTCATCCAGGCTTTGTTGTTCCATGTACAGAGCACAGGCAGAGTAGATTCAGCATAATTCTTATGAGTCCTAGGATTTTCAGAATGGTGAGTGAGCCTTGGCCTCAACTGAAAGTTGACAACATTCACCTCCAGCAAGAGAATCAGCCTGTCTTTGGAAGCTTTGAAGCCAGGCATTGACTTATCTGGCAATGAAAGTCCTAGATGGCATCTTCTTCCGATAGAAGACTGTTTCATCTACATTGAAAATCCATTGTTTAGCACAGCCGCCTTCATCAACGGTCTTAGCTAGATCTTCTGGATAACTTGCTGTAGCTTCTCCATCAGCATTTGCTGCTTCACCTTGCACTTTTATGTTATGGAGATGACTTCTTTTCTCAAACCTCATGAGCCAACCTCTGTTAGGTTGAAACTTTTCTTCTGCAGCCTCCTCACCTCTTTCAGCCTTCATAGAACGGAAGAGAGCTAGGGCCTTGCTCTGGATTAGGCTTTGGCTTGAGGGAATGTTGTAGCTGGTTTGATCTTCTACCCAGACCACTAACACCTTCTCTATATCAGCAATAAGGCTGTTTCACTTTCTTATCATTTATATGTTCACTGGAGTAGCGCTTTCAAATTCCTTTAAGACCTTTTTCTTTGCATTCACAACTTGGCTACCTGTTTGGCACAAGAGGCCCAGCTTTCAGCCTATCTTGGCTTTTGAGATGCATTTCCCGACTAAGCTTAATCATTTCTAGCTTTTGATTTAAAGTGAGAGATGTGTGACTCTTCCTTTCCCTTGAATACTTAGAGGCCACTCTATGGTTATTAATTGGCCTAATTTCAATATTGCTGTGTCCCAGGGAATAGGAAGGCCCAAGGAGAAGGAGAGATACAGGGGAATGGCCAGTGAGTGGAGCAGTCAGAAAACACACAATATTTATCCATTAAGTTTCCCATCTTGTATAGCTGCGATTTGTGGCACCCCAAAACAATACAATGACAATTGCAACATCAAAGATCACTCACCCCAGATCACAGTAACAGATATGACGATAATGAAAAAGTCTGAAATAGTGTGAGAATGATCAAAACGTGACACAGAGACACAAAGTGAGCACATGCTGTTGGGAAAAATGGACTTGCTTGACACAGCATTGCCACAGAACTTCATTCTGCAGAGAATGCAGTACCTGCAAAGCACAATCAAATGATGCACAATAAGACAAGCTATGCCTCTATCTTAAAATTGTGAAAAATAAAAATAGTTTTTAGGTAAGATATAGGGGCCACAGCTGCATTCGATGAATGGTATGGACAAATTATTTCTTTCCATCCCCTGGATGTCATGCTTCAGGGTAGCAAGAAAGAATGTTTTCTTGAAGACTCGTATATTCCAGATGGAGGATTCTAAGGGAATAAGCTTGAGACTTATGCTTAGTCAATTTTCTGTCATCACAGAGCTACATGATTCTTTGGACAGAGCTCAACTGGCCATCACTCTTTTTCTCTGTGGATTGCCTGATGCAGCCACAGGAAGCTTCACATTCTTTCACTTAAGGAATTAGTCCACAGTGTGGATGGGTCAAGGTAAGTACCTAGTCTAGAATGTTTCTTTGGTTTTGGTCCTGCTATTTAGAGAAAAATAATGATGGTTCTTTGGATTTGTTGAGTGGCATCAACATTGTTGAGAGTCTACCCCTAGAAAAAATTCACCAGCCATTACTGTTGTTACCTATAGTAAAATCTTTTTCCTATAGCAAAGAAAATTCCAAATTTCAAAGTTTGAATTTACTTTTTAGGTTTCTCACATAGTACTTGAGATCATAAATTGAGACCCTTACCATATTCTTAATCCTTTTTTTCTTGATCATGACATAAACCCATCCAAGGAATAGACTTCCACTAACTTTTCTGCCTTGTAATTGTATCTCAAGAACGTTACATGCTGCTTGTTTTCTTTAAACTTAGTTTTTCAGGCCAGGCGTGGTGGCTCATGCCTGTAATCCCAGCACTTTGAGAGGCCGAGGCGGGTGGATCACCTGAGGTCAGGAGTTCAAGACCAGCCTGGCCAACATGGCGAAACCCCATCTCTACTAAAAATACAAAAATTAGCCAGGTGTGGTGGTGCATGCTTGTAATTCCAGCTACTCGGGAGAGAGAGAATTACAAGCATGAGGCAGGAGAATCGCTTGAACCCAGGAAGCGGAGGTTGCAGTGAGCTGAGATAGCACCACTGCACTCCAGCCTGAGTGACAAAGCGAAACTCCGTCTCAAAAACAAATAAATTAATTAATTAAATAAAATTAGTTTTTAAAAACGAATGTATTTGCCACAGAAGATGGTGAGTAAATGACAAAAATAATTGAAGTTAAAAAAAAACTGTATGGCAAGAAAGAGAAGAATCTGGAGAACATCAATTATCTAATTAAAAAATGAATTTCTGTGTTGCAAGCCCATAGCTCAGTGGTGGGTCAGTCACCTTTAATAAGATGCAGGGCATCCCCATTACTAAGCAGCATGGCAGGGGCACAGATGGCATTGGACTGCGGCAAGGGTATGGGGGTGATAAGTAATGATATCAGGAAGGGACATTAAAAATATGTGTGCCTGCGCCACTGCACTCCAGCCTGGGCGACAGAGCTAGACTCCGTCTCAAAAACAAACAAACACACAAAAAAACGTGTGTGCAGCCCGGGCACAGTGGCTCACGCCTGTAATCCCAGCACTTTGGAAGGCCAAAGCAGGCGGATTTGAGGCCAGGAGTTCAAGACCAGCCTGGCCAACATGATGAAACCCCGTCTCTATTAAAAATACAAAAAATTAGCTGGGCATGGTGGTTCATGCCTGTAATCCCAGCTCGGGAGGCTGAGACAGGAGAATCGCTTGAACCCAGGAGGTGGGGGTTGCAGTGAGCTGAGATCATGCCAGTGCACCCCAGCCAGGGTGACAGAGGGAGACTTCATCTCAGAAAAACAAACAAACAAAAAATGCATGTGTGCATTCTGTATATGCCATACCTGGGCTCCTTCTATTACCTCTTAAACTATGAGAAATGAATTTTCTCACTTTATCTTTACTGGAATTTTGATCTAAAATACATTCTGTTGCTCAAATTTGACTAAATACTTCTAGGACAGAAATATGCAAAAATCCTTGTCTAGAGCAAGGTACTCCTGAGTTGGAGATGGGAAGGTAAGAAAAGAATGTGTAAGCATGAAAAATCAAAACATAGTCAACCATCTAATTGGCCAACTACCTTCTAACACTTCAACACTTGAATCTTCCTGGCTACTTGTACAGAATTGTTAAAGTAGAATAAATCATTTGACATGACTAGGTTTTAGGAAAATATGTGAGAGTCATTCAGGCACAAAATCAGCTTGGAATAGATGAAATTTTCCATCTGAGTGCTTCTACCGGGAGAAGCACTTAATGTATAAATGTATAAATCACTCAATTGTAAAGGCACTTCAATTTTATTTTCCTTTAGTTTTGAGCTTTTGGAATTGCTCTGTGCAGTTCCAAGTAAAAGCTCTTAGATAAAAGTTGCATGCTGAAAACCACCGTCACAAATATGCAAGTACAACTATAAATTTATACAACACTCAAGCTGTTTGTAGTTTGCAAAATTTGGTAATAAAATGCAGAAGTGGGGTTTCCATTTAACACTCTATGGCACTGGCACTGCATGTATAACTTGGATGCAGGCAAAGATGGAAAATTCCATGCATGGAGAATCTCTTGTGGTTGGGGCAGTCTGCTAATATCTTAATGAGGCAATTATGATAATTATGACAATCTTAGCTTTACATTATTTGTGGTGTGTGCATGTGTGTGTGACAGCCTTCCCAAGCAAACACAGTATTCTGATTCAGCAGCATTCAATGAGGAAAATTTCTGTGCTAATAATACAAAGTGGATCTTAAACTGCTGCATATTAATCAAATTCATTTAAGTACATTCATTAATTTGTGTGTATAACAGCCAAACAGCAAATGTGGAGTTTGCTGATTTTGCACAAAATACATATATTAATGAATGCTAAATCTTCAACATGAGTAATAGCTTTAAAAATATTTTCATAAGGCAAAATTTCAAGGGGTAATACTGAATAATTGTTTTCTTTCAAATATTTCCACTTTCATTTCATTTTGTGTTATTTGGCTTTAAATGGAAAAAATAAATATGGAAGAAGAAAAACAATTAAGAAATTAAAGAGTAAGCCCAAGAGATTACAAAGAAAAAAAATGTAATATTGGACAATATTATTATTAAATTTCCTACCTCTCCAAATCACTTAATTTAAAAATAGGTTCAGGAAACCTTAGGCATGGTCCCATTTCTATGTACAAAAGAATATGAACTTGAAGCTTAATCAGGAAAGAGCCTTTCGTTTCTTGTGCCTGACTGGAGGCTGGAGAGGCAAGACAAAGAGAGCCACAGCATTGCGGGGCGTGTGTCTGTACACCCGTATGTCTAAAATGAGTGAAAAACCTTTACGTTTCCTCCTAAATCAGAGGAACTTTAGACTTGTGCTCACAGTCAACAATACCTTTGTGATGTATTACTTTTCACCCTCAATGCGAACTGCTCTGAAGGCAAGACTCCTTTCCTTGCCCCTATAGTAGTCAGCACTGTGCCTGGCATGGAGCACGCATTCAATAAATGTCAATTTAAAAACAACTATTGAGGCCACGTGTGGTGGCTCATGCCTGTAATCCCAGCACTTTGGGAGGCCGAAGCTTGTGGATCACTTGAGACCAGGAGTTCGAGAACAGCCTGGGCAACATGGCAAAACCCTGTCTCCACTGAAAAAACAAACATTAGCCAGGTGTGATGGCGAATGCCTGTAGTCCCAGCTACTCACTCTGCAGGCTGAGGCTGGAGAATCGCTTGAGCCTGGGAGGGGTATGTTGCAGTGAGCCCAGATCGTGCCACTGCACTCCAGCCTGGGCCACAGAGAGAGACTGTGTCTCAAATAAATAAATAAAATAGCTATTGAACAAAAACAGAATACTGAAAGAGTTATGAGAGATGTAGGCATAGTACATACAGGTTCAGAAGAGTCAGTGCAGGGAAACATCGAGAAGGCTTCAGGTCAAGGCTGTATGCTGAACTGGGAACTTCTTAAACATGGGATCTGATATGGTTTGGCTGTGTCCCCACCCAAATATCATCTTGAATTCCCATGTGTTGTGGGAGGGACCCAGTAGGAGGTAATTGAATCATGAGGGTAGGTCTTTCCCATACTGTTCTCGTGATAGCGAATAAGTCTCACAAGATCTGATGGTTTTAAAAAGGGGAGTTTCCCTACACAGGCTCTCTCTTTGCCTGCTGTCATCCACATAAGATGTGACTTGCTTCTCTTTGCCTTCCACCCTGATTGTGAAGCCTCCCAAGCCATGTGGAACTGTAAGTCCAATAAACCTCTTTCTTTTGTAAATTGACCAGTCTCGGATATGTCTTTATCAGCAGCATGAAAACAAGCTAGTACAGGATCCTTCAGTTTCTTCCTTCCCTGCCTGCAGCTCTGTGCTCTGATTGTGTCTAACAGGTGCTTGGCGAAGGACATTGTAAGTGAGGAAGTCAAACAGACGGAGCGAGGTGGGAATTCCTAGGTAGCACTGGGTGAGCAAAAACAGTGGGACTGAGTGTGTACCATAGAACTCTTGTTCTGTGTGATTTGGGGATGGGGAGGGAAGGACTACAGTGAAACTACTATGATCGGCTCAGGCATACTACATTTTCTTGTTAATTAGGAGGAATTTGCCAACTTTCTTAAAATGCACCCCTGCTTAAGAACAGTACTATATATCAGCGTTTCCCAAAATGTGTTCCCCAGAGCTCTAGTGTTCTGTGAGGTATGAAGAGGTGGGGAAAGTTCTTTATTTAACTAGGTTTGTAAAATACTTCTGGTTCTTTGTGCTGGGAGCTTTACGTGGTACATTAGAATATCCAGGGCTCTGAGAAGTCCTGCCCTGAAGACATCTGTATACCTTTCGTGAACCTACTACTTCCCCCAAATAATTTGAACACACACTCGAGTTTCCCACGATGTTTATTAACATTTCATGGGGCATTATTACTGCTGCATGTCCGCAATTCCTCTGCTAAATATTCTCTTGTATTCTGCCATGCAACCATAAAAAAAGAACGAGATCAAGTCCTTTGCAGCAACACGGATGGAGCTGGAGGCCATTATCCCAAGTGAATTAATGAGCACACGAACCGAAAATCAAGTACCACATGTTCTCACTTACAAGTGGGAGCTAAACACTGAGTACACATGGACACAAAGAGGGAACAAAGACACCAGGGCCTACTTCAGGGTGGAGGGTGGGAGGAGGGAGAGGAAGGAAAAACTACCTCTCAGGTACTATGCTGATTCCCTGGGTGATGAAATAAGCTACACACCAAGCCCCTGCAGCATGCAACGTACCCATGTAACGAACCTGTACGGGTATCCCCTGAACCTAAAATAAAAGTTGGAAGAAAAGAAAAAGGAAAAAAAACTTATCTTGTATTGTGATGGTCATAGGAGTCAAAACCTTCTGTGAGTTCCAATGGGGATTATTGGTCCACACCCTTACCTTCGAGAACACACTTCAATTGTTTAGACACATGAGAATTTTCTCTTCTTAGCTTCACTTGCTCTTTTATCTTAGTTTGTTTGCCACTCTCAACATCAGAAAATTCTCTTGTGCATCTCATGTAAATGCCTTGTCTTACCCTTTAAAAGACTGAGAAAGGATGATTTCAAACCCATCATTAGTCATTTTTCTCCTCAAAATGGTACAACTGAAACCTCCGTTTTCTTTTCCACAGACATAACATTCCCTTTCTACTTTCTTCTCAAAGGTCTTAAGCTGTGGCTCCTTTTTCCTCCACTCCAGGATCCTTCTAAATACTCAGAAGGAAAGGAGGGTAGAACTGGGAAAATTCATTTGGTGAACATTGAATGAATGCTCAATTGAACGTATTTGCCACGTGCAAAATTAAGTGCTAAATCACTAACTGGTGTGAAACGCTATGATTCTGGTTGCTGTGTTAATTCCAGTTATGTCAAACCCTTCTCATCTTATATCCAGGCAGTCTTTCTTCTTTTCTTTCTTTCAAACACTTCTCATCTTATATTCAGGCAGTCTTGCTTGCTTCCTTGCTTGCTTGCTTGCTTCTTTCCTTCTTTCTCTCTTCCATCCCTCCCTCCCTGCCTCCCTTCCTTCCTTCCTTCCGTTTTTTGAGATAGGGCCTCATTCTGTTGCCCAGCCTGAGTACAGTGGCGAGATCTCGGCTTACTGCAACCTTCACCTCCCAGGTTCAAGCGATTCTCATGCCTCAGCCTCCCAAGTAGCTGGGATTACAGGCATGCACCACCACGCCTTGCTAATTTTTGGCATTTTTAATAGAGACAGCGTTTTGCCAAGAGTCTGAAACTCTTGACCTCAAGTGATCCACCCGCTTTGGTCTCCCAAAGTGCTGGGATTACAGGCATGAGCCACCATGCCTGGCCTGTCTTTCTTTCTTAACTTCCCTTTTTTCATTGGCTCCTGTTGGGTCTTCTCTTCTTCTGCCAAGGTAATTTTTGATTCTAATATTATTTCACAAGATGCTGATCACCAATTCTACTTCTTTATACAGAAAGCCTCTCGACTAGGATGATGAAAAGCAATTGTTTCCACTAATAATTAAAGTCCTGAAATTTGTAAACTGTTCATAAACAAAAATAGATTAAGATAATAACATCTCCTTCATACTCTGTACTGCAATACGCTTACTCAAGTGGGAGAGAAAGGGTTAGGTTTACAGCTGGCAGGCCGGGGCTTACACACATCTCAAAACACTCTGCAGTTGGTAATCTGGGCAAAGCACAGGAACATGACCCACATGACGTGATACCATCAGTCATGTCTCCTAAAGTAGGACAACATTAAGAAACACTCATGCTTTACCAAAATCCTATCTCTCTACTCAAGCTCCTTCGGAGACTCTCTGAGCATATTTTCTATTGGCATAGACTATGAAATAAAGGGAAAAACAGTCGTCAGAAGGCCTGGGTTTAAGTCTTATATCTAATCACTGATCCCACATGGCTGTGGGAAAATGGACACATGTTTTCTCATCTGTAAAATGGAGCGACACTGGACAATGTTGTGAAGAATGAAATGCTGTAATATATATGGAAGCCCTCTACGCATGTAGGACATTACATTGGCCAACAGTTTCCACCTTGTGCTCCAGAAATACTAGGGGCTGCATGAAAGGGCTTAAAGGCCATTGAGAGTGAACCTAGAAGGCCACCTGCAGTCCCTGCACCTCCATCTCTGGCCGCACAAACACTTGGCTCATAGCAGAGCCATCCTGATCTGTTTTGCAAATAGGGCTCCCAAGAAGAATTACTCTGAAAGATTTAGCCAACAATAAAAAGGGGAAGAGGGCTGAAAACTACTGACAAAAATTATTAATCCAAGTAAGTAACTTGTAATTACAAAATGACCATTTCGGATTCATGCATATAATATTCAGATTTGTACATGTAAGGTACACATGATCTAGAGATTTGTACAGTTGTACATGTATTGTACAGATACTAAAAGTAGACCTCTGTACATATAAAATCTTGCTGTTCATAACATTACCATGAAAACCTATGTTTTGACTCTCAAAAGATGGTGGCTTGGTTTCTTGTTCTTCAGAAATAAACATATCAAGTGATGCTGTTCATTAAATTGCATGGTATGAAACAATATCGCACATGACATGTATACATGACCAACACAACCAAACATTAAGCTACACAACATGAGGTCTCTTAATTATTAGCAGTCATATTGAGATTAAATTAGGCATTAAATTAAGTTTAAAGAGAGATTAAATTGTGACATGAGGTACAGTAAAGACACAATAGGCATTGAAAATAAAAGGCAATTATTCAGAATAAAATCACAGTCTTAAGGTTCTGAATACCTGTCTGCTTTCAAATTTAAATTTAAGTTTATTTTGGTCTAAAAATAGGGATGAAAAGGTGAATTTCATTATCTTAGTGCCTTAATTTTGGAAATCTTGGGTACCACAGTCTATCAGAAGTTTTCTAACACAATGTTGGTGAGGAGTTTTTATGTCAGATATGAGTTAAGTTTCCATCAGTTTGTATCATATTTTATTCTTTTATATGATTATTTTCTTTACCTAAGTTCCTTTTTTAGTAGATAAAATATCTAATATTTAGAGAGCTTCTCAATCTTTATTTTTTTCTTTTAATTAGCTCATACTGCTCCTCTCTGACCTTTGCAAATATCCCCACTAGCCAAAAGGATTTTCTCAAACTTTAACTTCCATAATTTGCATTATGAAAAAAATAAGTCTGTATAATAACAGTCTTTCTTCACTACACTATGGAGTTTATGCTGAAATTCCAACATGCCTCTCCACTTTTTCTGTCTGTTTGAAGATCAACAATGCAGATCACAGGATGTAATCAAACCTGAAAAACACCGTCAAGCATGCTGTTTTAAAGCTGTAGCGCATAGGCTGGGCTTCTTGGAACCTGGGCTTATGGAGTTCTCCTTGTGAATTTCGTTTTCATTAGAAATGCCTTCTCCCAAAGACATAAAACACACACACAAAATTGACCTTACCTAAAGTGTATAAATGATGTAAAATAGTTTCTTTCAGAAACGAAACAATAAATTCACCATTTTATTCACATAATCATTCAACACTGAAAATATTGTGATAAGCTTGTAACTTTAAGGCTTCCGATATGAAATTCTATATCCAGCATGGAAGTGCTATATTTCTACCTAAAACCTTTCCTCTTTTTATGCTGTTCTAGGACATAGTTCAAGTCCATGATTTGTACGTAGATCTGGCGTAGATTTTGAAATTTCATTAACAGGAACAAATCCAGTTTCTGTTGATTTCTTCACAGGAGTCTTTCCACCGCTTCAGAACATGCCTGGTGACCTCATTTATGTGAACACTTTAGCCAGAACAAAACTCAGCAAGCCACTGATGAATCCAGTGAAAAGGAGAGACCTACTGAGCCTTTGGGAATGTATGATGCCTTGGATTGGTCCAGGGTTCTGAAGCCTAAGTCACTCATTGTACGCAGGAAGCCGAATGTAAGACCTTCCACAAGCACTTTCACAAACAGGGGTCTGTTTACAACATGTGCTCCCAAAGCCCACGGTCTCTTTGCCAGTGATTGTCTGTCAAACGTCCAAGCTCTGCCGTGCCAGGGCAGCTTCAGTTATCCACGTTTCCCAGGCCACACAGCCTGGGCAGAAAATAACCACAATGACAGTCACAAAGCAGATTCCTCTAATTCTACCCCCCCCAGAGTCAGAAAAACCGTGTGATATGTGCCATGTCCCTCCCCTTCCTTTCCAGCTGCTGTGTGGATGAGGTCTCCTGCTGCTCTGGGACCGTGCTTCACTCCAAGCCTCAGAGGTGGACACCTTTGATACCAGGGTGACCAATCCCTGGTCCTGGTCCTACCTACATGAGAGTGATAGAGCTCTGGGCTGGGGTACAATTGAGTGACACACTCTTCCAAGTCCTCTTCCTCCACCACAGAGCACAATTTCATAAAGGTTTTGGCTTGCATTATAGGTAAGACAGCACTGTGAGGTGGGGTGGGGTGGTGGGGGTGATGAGAGATGATGTTTGAGCAGGGAGGAAGAGTAGAGGTGGGCCAGCAGACAGATGGGGGTTGGAAAGCCCAGGGCACATCTACTTGGGCAAAGCAGAATCTTATAGTTAACCCATCCTCCTAGGCAGTTTGTCTTACTCAAACCAGTGTCGCAAAGTAGTTGTCCAGCCCCAGAAGTGAGATGTATTGTGGTAAATAAAACAGTCTCTGAATCCCTTTAGAACTCCACAGGGATTCCAGAATTCCCTTAGGCTTCTTCCAGATTGGGCCTTGGATAACTGCCCAGGTGGTCAGGCTTTTATCAGCTTCATCCTTCACCCACCATGAAAGGACACTTCCTGTTTGCCTCCTGTCATTCCCCAAGTCAAGGATCCCTCCTGCAAATGACCTGGCTCCCTCCAGGAGCATGGCCCAGGCCCCTGTGCTGGGCCTTATGGCCATAAAGGATTTCTGGGTCAGGAAGGGAGACTGCGGCCAGCTTCTCCTGCAACAGTGCAACTTGGGCACAGTGGCAGCAGCTCCACGTTGGGTCGCTGGAGACCCACACAAAATGGCTGATGGATAATGACAGCAGGTAATGGTGCCAGGGGATGGCAGCTGAGTAATAGCCACTGGGTAATAGCTTCAGGGCAATGGCTGCAGGGCAATGATTGCTGGGTAATGGTTGCAGGGCAATGGCTGCTGGGTAATTACTAAAAGGCAATGGCAGCCAGATAATAGCATAATGGCTACTGGGTAATGCCTATGCTCGCTGGCATACATGCAGCCCGGGTCAGCTGCCAGGTGGGGTGGGTGGGGCTTATTTCCTCCTGGGGCACATCCTTGGTGAATGTCCACCCTCTGCAGAGCTGCTAACTGAGCCCTCAATATGCTGGAATCTGCAAAGGAAACATGGCCGATTCTAGGCAGTGAACCAGCTCCCTCTTTCCTTACCTGGCATTCGCATCACCACACTTTCCAGTGTGCTTCCCTGTGAGCTTTTCACCATCCCTGTCCCTCAACCAAAATTCATCTCAACCAAAATTCAAACTGAGTCATGCAAACATGTATTTTTCATTTCTGTCCAAGCAACTATTTATAGTCTCATTAACAAATTTTAAGTAATATAAGTAAATGTTACCCAGATAATCTTAAAGCCTTCATCTCACTCAATAAACATCTAATGAGAAATGAAAACTATGGATATTCTGTCAATACAGGTTGTTATGTAAATCTTCTGTCTAGTTTTTTTGTTTGTGTTTAAGAAAAATATTTGTTGGTGTTATAATTATTGTTAAATACAAATATTTAGGACAAGGTAAATGCATAAAATTTAGAAGTAGTTGCCCAGAGATAAAATTATTTGCCAAAGCTTTCATAACTAAGAATAGGAAAGGCTAGAATGATATCCTGGGTATTTTATTTGTTTTCCCACACAGTGCTTTCATGTCCCCTCCTGGTATCTGTCAGAATTTATAAATACCAACTGCAAGTTCAAGCATTATTTTCTAAATCAAAAAGTGAAATCTTTTTGGAGGAAGCTCAAAGGCTGTGCCTTGATTAGCATAGACAACTAGATTAGAACCACTGGCTGTAACTTGGAGCAAAATCTTGCAATTTTATTCTTGTCACTCCCTGGGGAGCAATTGCACTTGTGGGTGCATTGCACTCTGGCCTCCTTTGATCTCTTTATTCAGACCTCCTGTTTACTGCATTAAAACAATTCACTTCATTCATCAGCCAGTCTTTCTTTGTTCATTAGATCGAATTATTATTATTATTATTATTATTATTATTTTGGTTAAGGGCACAAGGAGGTGCATTTGGACTCATTTCTGTATCCTCTGTCACAGATTAAATTTTATTTTTTCCATCTTTTGAAAGAGTTGTGCTGTGGAGATTTCCTAGACTAAGTAGTGTGCTGATTTTCTTTTCCCTGCTCTCATCCCTCCTATTGGATGCAGAGTCGAGTTTCCTTGTTATCATTCTTGTAACCAAAAAAGCAAAGATGATCTCTTTGGAGATGTTTGGAGAAGCTGGGGATTCCATTTTCTAGCGATGGGGTCAAGATGTTTGGATTGGTGACAATATGTGTCCATCCTGTTCCAATTCTGTCTGGAGTAGGGAAGATTGCCTTTTCTTTCTCTTCCTTGCTATGCTGTTATTTGTCAGTCTTCTGAAGCTAGAAGGTGATGCTGTTTAGCATGTAAATAAAGCAACACTTTTTCCAGTAAATAGCTCTGTCTAGCATTATATGCCAGGAGCTCTCATCCACACAATGATGAATTCAATTCCTGCATTGTGCTTTCCTTTCCTGTCCTTTCACAGAGGGAAAGGTGATCACACTGTAATTATATAAATCCCTTTTACTTTATTTTTTCTGATTGTGCCTCTAATTTTCCTAGTCTCGTCATAGATAGCATTTCGCCTTGCTAATATAAAATTTCTGTGGCAGTCTTTGTGAATTAATTTACTTCCTATAGTCCAGTGTTTTATAGATGATGTAAATGAAGGATATGGCTTGCAGATCTATTTAAAGAGACGTGCTTATACTTCACTGTTTTGGCCAGATGAGTGGGCACATGCTTTTGCGTTTTTATTTGAACCCCCCCGAAGTTGGTCATTATATTTTGAATGCCACAGCACGTCTATACCATTATTTAAAGGATCTTGTTCATTCATCCATATAATGATTGGCATTGGCTATAACTTGATGCAATGTTACACTATTTTAATTCTTTCTCAGGCAATGTTATCTTTGATCGCTTCCTATTCACTGGGAAAAAAAACCCCACACAATTGCAATCCCACACTATGTTTCAGTGATGATGCCAAGTGCTCCCTGGAATATAGCTATTCAAGACAATTTCTCCACCCTCAGGCTGCTCATTAAAGGGATGGCAGTTTCTAACTTTAATGAATAAGGTAGAGTGAAAATTCCACTCTTCTTTGAAAGAGACTCCGTGGTTTTCCTTTTTAAAGTGTTTTCTGCTGCCTATTTCTTTGTTTAATTGGAAATGGTGTACACTCCTCCATAACCATGGCCACAACTCAATATGCAAAGTATTTCCTTGTCACATTTCCTTTTTTGTGGTTCAAGTGTGTATTTTATCAAAGAATTCCAGAAAAAGCTTTGTATCTTTCCCCCAAAAAACACGCCATTGATTACGTATAGTGCATCTAGATTGTCATCTTGTCCATGGGTAGAGTTACTCCTATATTTTGGGGATTTTACCTCCCTTCTTACCAAATACTGATTTAATATGTTCTTTTAACCCAGGGACATTCACGGCAGCTCCAAGTCCTCATTGAAAAGTTTAGCAAGAAAGAGCCAAGTAAGAAAGAATGACAGGGACCAGTGTTTAGGAAATGCTGCCTTCTTTTCAAAATCCAGTAGCCCCAAACCCAGCCAAACTTGAGTTCCTTTCTGTGTTTTAAAGGCATAAATTCTCTTTCTTCTTTTTACATAAATGAAGTCTAAAAATTTCTATTTATCTCATAGCGAATCACAACCATAAAGCAGGACTCAAAGTATAGGAGGGATTTTAATATTTTAAGACAAGTTCTGGGAGATTCAGTCACATCCCAGACTTACTGTGTTGGTGTAGGAGCAAGCAGGTCTGCATCATGCTAGGTCTTGGAGACTTTCTTTCCTTAACTTCCCCACTTAAGGCCAGTACCTGAACTCCTGAGCACCAGCAGATTCACATGTGTGCAGTAGTCAGATGAGAGAGAGGGACCCGTGGATATTAGGATGTGTATTCAAACTCTGAAGGTATTAGTGCTAATGACGAACGCATTGCTCTAGTTACTGTTTATTTAGCACTTGTTCTGTGCATGACAGTGTTCAGGCATCTGGAGCATCCAAGATATATACGCTATGATCTGTACTCCCCTGGGGCTTTCAAAATAGTGGAGAAGATGCATCTAATTTATTTGAAATGAGGAGAGAACAATAAGAAATAGTTAAAACTAAATGCTGGCTATGCTCAGTTAGCATGGGACATACTAAAAAAAAATCATTACTTATTTAAAATTCAAATTTCACTAGGGGTCTTGTATTCTTTCTGGCAACCCTAGCCCTGTGGATGTGCATGGTCATCAAGAGCTGAAATTGATGGTCCCACCACTGGCTTCTACTAGCTAACACACGCCACAAGTGGTAGAGTGACCACTTGCACGTGTACGCTGTCTTACTATTTACAAAGCATTCCGTATACATATTTACATTGAATCTTCACCATAGCCCTGTGAGATAGATACCACGAATCCACTTTTCAGAGGAGGAAAGTGAGGCTCAAAGCCCTTATCTGAGTTTCAAATTCAATCATCAAGGGGGATGGATCCCCGACCCCAATTTTATGATCCCAAATCCAGTGCTTTTTCACTACACCACAGCAGCCCATATTGTTCCACAGCTGGTGGGCTTTCTTCACTTCACAAAGCTTCCATCGCTTCAGTTTGGCTGCCAAGTTTCCTATTGGAGTGGCAACTTCCTGTCCAAAGCCACTTATTCGCCACTCATTGTTCCTGGCTAAGGCCACCCTCAGCCTGTTAGAAGAGTGAAGGGCTAGGAAGAAAGTTGTGGGGGAGTTTGCGATGGTTTTCCCTGGGGCTTTTCTCTAAATCCCGTGTTTGGAAGTCCTTTCTGAATGAACTCACACTTGGACTGAAGAGGGAGATTGCCCATGATCCTGAACTCGTTCAGCTGGTGCATCAGTCAAGTTGGTTGCCTTTTTTTATGCTGGAAAATTTTATTTTGCTAATAATGATGAATATGGAAGTGAGAAAATAACCTTAACAATTGTTATTTCTGAACTTTAATTGTTATTTTTCTTGATGGTGTAATGCAAACTGTAAAAACATTCGAACTAGATATGAACGTAAGATATAAAATAGAGATACCTCTCATAATTCCACTTTCTTTTTCCACTTCTCAGAAATCATCCTTATAACAGATTGATATATATTTGATGTATAATCTTTCAAGGTCCTTTTCTGAATTTCTACAAATATACATATTCCAATTATTTTACAAAAATGCGATCATGTCGCTTCGTAATGTTTTTCCACTTAAGTAATTATCTTAAACAATTCCATGTCCACACACATAGATTTACTTTTTTTGTTTTTAGTAGTTGCAGAGTATTCCATTGTATGTACATACCACAATTTAGTTAACCAATATCCTATTAATGTACATTTGGATTTTTTCAGATTTTAAAAATTGTAACCAATATTACACTTTTTGTGAATATTTCTAGAGAGTAGGTTTCTAGAACTGGACTGTCTAGGCTGGAGTGTGCACGTTTGATATGTGAAAAAGCATTGCCCAGTGGCAATCTAGAAGAATTTTACCTACCGCCCCTTCTGTCACTTCCTATTCAAGTTGATCTTGAGATTTTTCACATCTTCTTCGTTTTTACAAAGGACATGAATTTTTATCCTATATGTGTGACAAATATTTTCCCCAGCTTATTCTTTATCTTGTGACTTTGTTTATCATTTTTTTTATTGTGCAAACATCTTTCATTTCTAGGGAGCCTCATTATCTAGTTTTATGTGATTTTTAGCTTTCTCACTATATCAGAAAAGCCTTCCCTATGCCAACATTGCATAAGTCACTCATGTCTTCTTCTAGTGCTTTCGTAGTTTTAGATTGTTACATTTAAATCTTTGAAGCATCTACAATCTATTTCAGTGTAAACAGTGTGATAGGGATCTAACTTCATGTTTTCCCAACGGCTAACCATCTTAGTTATCCATCTTTTACCCATTGATTTAAAATGCCATTGTTATCGTACATTAAATTTCTATATATACTTGAGTCTTTTTCTGAACAGTGTATTCTGACCTACTGGCATTTCTCCCTATTCCTGAGTCAGTATGGCACTTTTTAAAATGCTGAAACTTCCAATATATTTTAATATTAGTGAGGGCAAGTTTTTTTCCCCAAGCTCTTGATTCTCCATTTGCACGTGCTTATTTTCACAGATGAGTTTTTGGCTCATTTTTATCATATTATATCATATCTCAAGTCAATAATTTTTCATGGGAATTTTTATTTTATTGCAGTGAATATACAGATGCTTCTTGACTTACAATGGGATTTTGTTCCAATAAACCCATCGTAAGTTAAAAATACATTTAATACTCTTACAAACATCATAGCTTAGCCTAGCCTAGCTTAAGCATGCTCAGAACACTTATATTAGCCTACAGTTGGGCAAAATCGTCTAACACAAAGCCTGTTTTATAATGAAGAGTTGCATGTCTCATGTAATTTATCAAATACTGCAGTGAAAGTGAAAAACAGAAAAGTTGTATGGGTACTTGAAGTACAGTTTCTATCTACTGAATTCGTATAGCTTTTGCACTATCTTAAAGTTGAAAAAATGTACATTGAACCATAAAAGCCAAAGTTCCCTTTACTACCAACCACGGTTTTGGTCTCAATCCTCTCAGCCCTGTTAGCAACTTGGTGCATGTCCTTCCAGACCCTGACCTATATATTTACAGACTAAAAACACAAGTGTGCACAGATATACAATATAAATGGGTTTCTACCAGGGCTGGGCTGACCGCCAGAACATACCGGGAAAGCTGTTAAATACTGAACTAGTTCCATACAAGCTGGTTAATAGCTGCTGCCCCCAGGCCTCCCTGCTGACCCACTCTGAGCTACCCCAGCTTCTCCCCTGCATAGCATTTATTATTACATCAGATTTTGCACATACATTCACCAATGGCATTGGTTTATATTTGTGTGGGTGCTATTTTTTTTTTGTCGTGTTTTGGTGTCAGGATTATACCAGCTCTACAGAATGATTTAGGAAAAATTTATTTTTTAAAAAAATTCTCTGGAAAAGCCTAAATGTCACAGTTGTTGGTTCCTTTGGCAACACTTGTTTATTAAGCCATCTGGGACTGTTAACCTTTCAGGGAGGGAGGGCAATGCGGGTACACAGTTCTACCTACCTGTTACATTGATCTAGGCTTCTTGCTCTATTTAGGTTATTTCTTTAGTTGAGAAAATAGTGATAATGTTTATTTTCCTAGAAAATTATTTACTTGTTGAGAGTGCAGGCTAAGGAGTCAAGGTACATTGTCCACATCCTACCACCACCACTTACTGAATTTTTTTAAGTTTTTGTTTTTTTTTTTTTTTTTTTTTTGAGACAGAGTCTCACTCTGTTGCCCAGGCTGGAGTACAGTGGCGTGATCCCAGCTCACAGCAACCTCTGCCTTCTGGGTTCAAGCAATTCTCCTGTCTCAGCCTCCTGAGTAGCTGAGATTACAGGCACCAGCCACCACACTGGCTAATTTTTGTATTTTTTTAGTAGAGACAGGGTTTCACCATGTTGGCCAGGCTGGTCTCGAACTCCTGACCTCAAGTGATCCGCCCACCTCAGCCTCCCAAAGTGCTGAGATTACCAGGTGTGATCCACCATGCCCAGCCCAAGACTTTATTTTTCAGTACAGTTTAGATTTACCGAAAAATGGAGAGTTCCTATATACCCTGCTTCCAGTTTCTTCTCTTATTAATATGTTACACTAGTATAATACATTTGTTGTAATTAATGAGCCAATATTGATACATTATCATTAGCTAAAGAACAGAGTTGTCTTCATTTGTTTTGTGTTGCTATAAAAGAATATCTGAGACTGGGTAATTTATATTCAATAGTTTATTTGGCTCAGGGTTCTGAAGACTGGGAAGTCCACGACTGAGGGGCTGCACCTGACAAGGGCCTTCTGGTGACAGAAGACATTGTGTGGCTTCAGAGTGCGTGAGGAGTGATAAAGAACCTACTCTCGTGATAAGGACGTTAATCCATTGATGGCAGAAACCTCATGACTTAATCATTTCTTAAAGGTCCCACCTCTCAACACTGTTGCCTTGGGGATTGTTTCTATCACATGAACTTTGGAGAACACTTTCAAACCAGAGCAATAGTGCATTTAGATTCTTTTTTTTTTTTTTTTATGGAGTCTCTCTCTGTCGCTCAGGCTGGAGTGCAGTGGTGCGATCTCAGCTCACTGCAACCTCCGCCTCCCAGGTTCAGGGGATTCTCCTGCCTCAGCCTCCTGAGTAGCTGGGATTACAGGCGCGTGCCACCACGCCCAGCTAATTTTTGTATTTTTAATAGAGACTGGGTTTCACCATGTTGGTCAGGCTGGTCTCAAACTCCTGACTTTGTGATCCACTCGCCTCTGCCTCCCAAAGTCCTGGGATTACAGGTGTGAGCCACTGCACCCGGCCAAATTCTTTTAGTTTTTACTGAATGTCCTTTTTCTGCTCCAGGGTCCCATCCAAGATCCCACAGCACATTTGGTCTTCGTGTGTCCTTAGGCCCCTCTTGGCTGTGGCAGTTTCTCAGATTGTCTTGTTTTTGTTGAATGACCTTGACAGTTTTGAGGTCATGCATTTTGCAGGATGCTGCTGTATTGAAATTTATCTTTAGGTTTTTTTCATAAGACTGGGGTTATGAGTTCTTGGGAGGGAGACCACAGAGGTAGAGGGCCAGTCTCATCGCATCATCTCAAGAGTGTGTCATGCATAAGATTTATGATCGTGCATGCTGGCCCTGTTGACCCGGCTGGGATAGTGCTTGTGAGGTTTCCCTGCTGTACAGCTACTCTTTTCCCCTTTTCCATACTCCACACTTTGGAAGGAAGTCACTATTTTTAGCCAACACCTAAGGAATGGAGAGTTATGCGTCTCCTGTTTGAGACTAGAGTATCCACATAAATTATTTGGAAATATTCTGCAAGGAGATCTGTCTATACTCCTCCATTTATTAATCTACTCTAATCTATTCATTATCAGCATGGACTCATAGATATTTATTTTATATTTCCAATACTACTTTATTTTATTGCTCATATTGCTCCATTTTCCACCCTTGGGAGCTCTTTCGCTTGGTTCCTGGGTCCCTCTGACAGCCGCCGTCATTGTGGGGGGGTTTCTGTGTGTTTGTTTGTTTTTGAGCACTTGTTTACTTTCTGTCCCTAAAAGAAGCTCCAGGCTCATTTTGTGCGTCTCTTGCCGCAGTCCTAGAATCAGTCATTTCTCCAAGAAGAGTTGGTTCCTTTCATTGCAGGATGAGATTAACAAACAAGATCTGGGTGCTTGGTGCGTTTGTTGTTCCTGGGGTGTTCTTTTCCAGTTCTCTTTTAAAACAATTTACTGCCCTCGGCTTTGTCAACTATGTTATTTTCATAGCTAAAATTTTCCAGCAATTCAGTGAACTCTTCCAGGAAACAACCAAAGATGGGTTCCTTTCTCCCACCCCGAGGTGTCTCTTCCAGTCTCTGCAGTGAGGCAGAAGACCTCAGCTTCTTGGGCTTCTGAGCTAGCTCTGAACACACGGCACCACTCCCTTCAATGTTTCCTTATGTTACGCTCAGTTTTGAAGATATTTTACGTAAGCGCAGCGGGTCTAAATTTAAGTAAAAATTTCAACTGCTTGTCTTGCTACCAGTGTAAAAATCTTTGTTGAGGTGACAGTGGAATGAAGAGAGCTTCTAAGCAAAGTCAAGCTCACTCACGTGCAGGCAAGGACCACTGCCACAATACAGTCCTCTTATAGTACGTTAAATTTCTTTTAATAAAATTTACAAGATTTACTAAAAATCTTGTAAAATTAATAAGACTTAAAACATCTCCTTAGAAGAAAGTGTGTAATTATTCTCCTTGTATGGTTTTTTAATGACTTTGCCTATATTTTATATTTATTTTCTATTAAGTGTGTTTTCTCCATTTTCTCCTTGGTTAGAACTGCCAAGAGATTGGGTCTATTTCATCAGCTATTTTGAAAAACCAACTATTGATTTTATCTATCAAGTTTACCTTTTTGCTATGTCAGTAATTTCTAATTTTATTCTTGAGATGAGATATAAATGAATTTGCCTTCTATTTGATGTTATTGTTCTTTCTTTTTCTAACTTCTAGAGTTAAATGCTTAGTCATTTAATTTTAGTCTTCTTTGTTTTCTAAAAAATGAGCTTAAGGAAATAAATTTTCCTCTATTAAAATACTATTTTGGCCGTAACCCAAGAACTTTGATTTGTTCTACTTTGATTTTTTCAATTTCTAAATGTTCTATAATTTAATTTGTACTTTATTTTTAACTTGAGTGTTATCTAGAGGAGAATTTTTTAATGTTCAAGGTTTTAGAGTCATTCATTTCTGGTTTAATTGAATTACAGTCAGAGAAAGTGACATTTATGGTTTTTACCTTTAGAAACTGAGATTTCTTTGTGACATAAACATTTTGAAAGGTTTTGTGGTTTTGAATAGAATGCCTGTTTTCTGTTTTTTGGCCATACACTTCTGCATATATCTATTAAGTTAGAATTGTTTATTGTGTTATTCAAATTCTTTGTGTCTTCATTTATTGGTCAGTTTCTGAGAGAGTTGTATTAAATTGTCTCACTATTTATTTTGTTAGTATTGCTTTGACTTTTCTAACAGTTTTTGTATTGCACAATTTTAGACATAAAAACATAACTATTTTATCTTCTTAGTAGATTGCTTCTCTAAGAAGACCAAGGCTGGGTGCGGTGTCTCATGCCTGTAATCCCAGCACTTTGGGAGGCTGAGGCAAGCAGATCTCGAGGTCAGGAGTTCAAGATCAGCCTGGAAAACATGGTGAAAGCTTGTGTCTACTAAAAATACAAAAATTAGCTGGGCATGGTGGCGTGTGCCCAGCTACTCAGGAGGCTAAGGCAGGAGAATTTCTTGAGCTCGGCGGGCAGAGGTTGCAGTGAGTAGAGATCACACCACTGCACTCCAGCCTGGGTGACAAAGTGACACTCTGTCTCAAAAAAAAAAAAAACAAAAAAGAAAGTCAAGTATTTTTGCTCCATTTAATATTATTCTTCATTATTTTCATCTTGGTTTACTTAATATTTCCACTAGCTTTCTTTTTGTTAAGATTTATTGAATTTATAATTCATATGGTGAGAACTCATTAAGCATTGCCTTTTAAGAATAAGTAAATTTTTACAGGTTTGAGTCCTGTTTTTCCAAATATGTTCTTAGTTATTTTATCAATTTGTGGCTGCTATAAGCAGGATCTTTTCTTCTACTATATATTCTAATTAGTGATTATTTTATATAGTAAATCTATTTATTTTTGAATATTAATTATGTAGCCAGCCACCTTAAGTTATATTTTTTAATACGAGTTTTCAGTTAATTCATTTGGGTGCTCTGATTATCAGTCACAATATGTTAAATAACAGTAATCTGCCTTCTCCTTTTTCTGTTTCTCCTTTGGTTCTATTGTTGGGTTGCATTGCCCCACATTTCCAGCAAATGAGAGATGAAACTAGCCAGAGAGACATTTTTGAAATGAATGCAGGGTACTGGCTTCATTGTGGTAACAAGGTACACCTCCAGTTAGAAATGTATTTTGTTGCAATAACAGAAAACTTGGGTCATAGAGATTCAAACAAAAAGTTTTCTTCTTTCCAACCACAAGAATACCGGGTAGAAGTGTGTTATGGTTCCGTCCATGGCTCAGCCGTGTCATTTATCGGAGTGGGCTGGCTTTTCCCTCTTGATTGCAAGAAGCCTGCAGCACCCTGAGAGTGGGGTGGTGGTTGTTTTTCAGGAATGCAGGCATTTCCCCAAAAGCCAACTCCTTACCTCTGCAGATGTCTCCTTAGCAAGGGACGCTGGAAAACCAGGCTTATACAGCCTGCCTTTCATCTACATTTTCAAATGTATTAGCTACAGTTGTACAAAATATTGTTTTGAGTTCCTTTAGCTCCCATTGTATCTATGGTTATTTTTCTATTCTCACTTTTAGTGTTGCATTTTTGTGCTTTCTCGCGTTTTTCTTGATTCGTCTAGCAAGTAGTTTATTTTACTGTGGGTTTTTTTTTTCTTTTCTCTTAAAGAACTGCTCTTGGTTTTATTCTGGCATTTTTGTTTGCTAATTTATTTTTATCTGCATATATCTTTATTCATTCCTTACTTTTGCTGTTTGTGTTTATTTGATATTTTTCTATATACTTGATTTGGGTGCCTAATTCATTTAGTTTCACTCTCTAATGATTCGTAGTGAAAGAATTTAAAACTGTGTTTTCCTCTGAGTACAGCTTTAGTATCTGATACGTGTTGTTTTTGTTGTCATTATCTTTATCTGTGGTTTTGAATTCTTTGGCCTGAGAGTAGTTTAGAAGATGCTTGCACATTTATTAGTTAGGGGAGGGTTTTTTCCTCCTTTGTTATTAGCTTTGATTTTATTGTACTGTAGTCAGAAAATCTGAACCATTTATGTTTTCTTAGAATTTACTAGTTTTGTTTATTACTCAACTTCTACAAAACACATGAACACGTGAAAAGAAATTGTTGTTAATTATGTTAGTCGAATCCTGTGAGGTTTTTTGTTTTTGGTTTTGTTTTCCTCTCTTTACTTACTTATTTTTAGTCTATAGAGGCCAGTAGTGACTAAAAAAGATATGCTAAATTCTCCCATTACTGTCTTGTTTCAAACAGTTTATCTTTTTATTTCCTGCAATTTTCACTTTATCTATTTTGATGTTATATTGTTCGGCGTATGAAGATCAAGCAAACATGCATTTTCACAGTGAGTTTTATACCTCAGCATTATCATACTTTTCTCCTTAAATTCAACTCTAATATTAATACTGCTTTATAAACCCTACTACTTTCCATTTGCTGCCTGGTGTAGCTTTGGCCATCCTTTTACTTTCTAAGTTTGTCTTTTACAGCATATAGCTAGATTTAGTTACAGATCCCAAATGTAAATTCTTTTTTTAAAAATGGAACTTAACTTTTATCACATTTGCATTTATTTTTATAATAGCTGTGTTTCATTTCAATGTTTTAATCTTATTTAATGTTTTCGGGGGTTTTTGCTTCCTTGGTTTTTCCTTTGTGTTGTTTCTCTCACTATATGTTTTTGATTGTTTATTGTCCTGGGGGCATATGGAATATATTTAATCTGTTTTAATTTCTAACTAATGGCTACCTTTACAACTTTAAACAATAGGCTTAACTCTCTCTCCTTTTATGAATTTAGGATATGGAACAGTGTGAGGAAATTAGGACTCTTGCATTTATTTTTCTTGGTTCCCTCTCTTTCTTCCTAAGTTTAATTGGTATTTTTTGATAGTTTTATTTAGTATTTATCTTTTATCCCAGTCTTTTCTTATTATATTTTAATTTTTATATAAAACATTTATGTTCACTTTATAATAGCAAGTTTTATAGATATTTTTAATGTTTCCTGTAAAATGTTTTATTTTTTGCATGCATAAACTTACATTCTGTTAATAATATAATCACCACAATTAGTTAGCTTTATTGATGTGGATTTGATATTTACCTCAAATCCTTTTAGACACTGGTGTTCCTAGTCTACCTCTTCTTTGAGTTCATCAGAGTTTATTTAGCAGATGTGCTGATTCACATAGAAGGACAATATCTCTCTTTAGTCCTTGCACATTTGCGAATGTCTTTGTGTTGTTATTATGTATGAATGCTAATTCAACTGCATAGCAAAATTCTTGGGCCACTTATCTGTTTCCCCAAATCTATAAATATCTGTTGACATTAAATATGGTTGAGCTGAGCTTAATTTTTACCTTTTGAAGAGACTTGTCCTGTCTTCAATTAGTGCAGCTTTCTTTATTTCTGAAGTTCAGTAGATTCCCCAAGATATGTCTTCCTATTGCTGATCATGATTTCATTGAATTTGGTGAGTCTGTTTGATGGGAAGATTCCATTTTCTCACCTCAGGAGAGTTTTTCCCATTATCCTTTAAATCTGCCTTTCTGCACCTTTTGGTGTGTTCTCTGTTCCAGGACGTTGGTGTTTGTATATTGATCTCTGTGGCGTGCCCTCCTTACCTGTCACTATTCTTGTTTCCTTTTGCATTCTGTTCAACTTTCACAAATCTCTTCCTTATGTCTCTGACTCAGTTTTCTGCAAAGCCAATTGTTTTTCTTATTGCTAATAATGGGTTGATTATTTCTGCCTTGGGGTTTATTTTGCCCTCAATTTCTTTCCTTAATTTCCCATCCCCCTTTTTGTGTTATTCTTAAGTTTTATCATCTGACTGTCTATCTTAAGTTTCATGGGCATTCTGTTTTAGTAAATTTCCTTGAGAATGTAAGTATTTCCG
The DNA here is from genome assembly GCF_000001405.40 of Homo sapiens. Taxonomy (NCBI): domain Eukaryota; kingdom Metazoa; phylum Chordata; class Mammalia; order Primates; family Hominidae; genus Homo; species Homo sapiens. The sequence goes on along the minus strand of NC_000010.11, from coordinate 125,480,272 downwards.
ATGATGCTGTCATTTAAGCTGGGACTCACCGGGTAAGAAGACATCCTTCAGGTGGAGAGCCAGGGTGCCGTTGTGCCTTAAATGCTGCTGGCCCGCAAGCCTTCCCCATTCCATAGGTTCTCTCCACCTCCTGTCCTTCCCACCAACAGGAAAAGGGGAAGCTAACTTCATCTTCAGTCTTACACCAAAGGAAACTAATCCACTGTTTTCAGGTTACACTTATCAGTCTTAAATCCCTAGAGAGTTAATTAACATTCCATCTAAGTCTTTTTAGGTTAAAAGTTCATTTCCTTGGTCTTCATTGCCTTATCAAATTTAAGCAGTAGTGTGGCCCAAGTAGAGGAGGATAATTGAATCATCATCATGTCTGCAAAACCAGATTGTGAAGTCTTTAACCCTGGCTTTGGGAGTTACTGCAAATGGCCATCTGCCTTCCTTTCGGTTGGTTGTTACCGTAGGCTGGTTCCAGGAGGGAGACGCAGGATCCTTTAAGCTTCTTCTTATTCCTTGGCTCCCCTGCAGGTTATCACAGAGGTCTCTCTGCCTTCACTTTCTCTAGGAATCTTTCCTGGCTCTGCTTCCTGAGTCTACGGTCTTGTTCCTTCTTCTTCCATTCTTCCCATTGGCCTGCTCTGGACATCTGGGCTCTTTCTTTCTCCCTAGGCCAACCTCTGCCAGGATATAGATTATAGAAGCCCTGCCCCTCCCACATCTACAAGTCCTACCTAGATCAAGTCCCAGGCTCCCACTTGCCCAGAAAGGGGAGGTGAGGCATTCACAGGAAAAATGCAAGATACACTGTGCATCCTCAGGTGACAGCCACGCACATCCTGCAGTTCTTGGGTGATTCTTATTTTGGATATTGGTCATGGTCTGTTGAATGGAAAGAGTGTTCCTGGTGTTTGAAAGCATATCCTGACACTCACCTCTAAGTCTCTTGTTTCCAAATCCTGGGTAGAGAAAAAAACGTGAACCCACGCTTCTTGTTGATGTAGACCAATGAGTCAGCAGGGACATGGTTGGCTCTGATGCAGGTGTGTTGGTTGCCTTGATGATTCACATCCCACAGGAAGAATTGCTGTTAGCAACATGATATTCTGAAATGGTGAAGAACTTGTGAGAAAGTGCCCAGTGAAACAAAATACATCTGCCCTCAATTTACATCATTGTTGCTTCCTGAAAATGTCAGTGGTGTATATGAAAACCACGCAAGGAATATTTGTGCTTAGATATTGACCAGCATTAGGTACTGGGATTGGATCACCACAAGTGGATTTTTTACCTACCTGAATGTGCAACAGGACATTTAAAAGCTGTGCTGAAGACAGGATAATGCTTTCCCATGTGGGACTGTCCCATCTATTCCCAGACCTGTTCACTAACTGACAATGGTGTCCACCAATCACTGTAACAACCAGAAAATACCATTGCAAATTTACAAGATGCCCCCTGGGGTGGCACAGCTCTCCTTGAGAACTACCAGTTTAGATAAACTGAGTCTTCGTTTCAGATACCTTTAATAGATCCATTGGTCAGATTGTGGGGTAGAAGAGCATCAAGCAAGTTAATACTTATAAAGATTTTAGAACAATGCTTGGCATGTTGGGAGCTCTGTATATGTGGTTATTATGCAAATAATGCATCAGTGGTAATCTAAACACGCCCAAGTTTGTTAAAGTTAATAAGCAGACAATTATGAGGGCTAAGCCCATGTGACCAGTTGATTTTTTTTTTTTTTTGTAAATGATATGAAATGTACACAATTTATGGTAGGTCATTACGTATGTAAAAGGTAAGAAGAAGAATCTATATGTTTGCTTTTATAAACAAGGACACAATGTTTGCTGGTGACATTGTTTACCTCTGGAGAGGACTGGATGGCTGAGGGATACGGTAAGAGGAAGACTTCATTGTATATGCTTTTAAACTTTGTTTTTTTTTTTCTTTACTGAAGTGAATGACATGCCTAATTCAATATAAATAAGAAATACATTTTTCAAAATTTTAAACAATTGAGCATATATTTCAGGATATCATGATTCCGCATGACAGTGACATATGAATAAGAGTTTAACATAGGTGACTGTGTTATTTACTTTTTGTAACCGAATGAACTTTAAATAGTATTTCTATTCCTGCTTGGATCTCCATTATCCATTATTAAAATCAATGTCTACATTTCCTGATGCCATATTGTTTAATTTTCACTGGACACAGAAATACACTTAAGCCATTGTTTCTCAAACCCAGCTCTCCTCCTCCAATTCCCAGGTCCCAGGGACTTTGGAGGCTCATAGACAGTGAAAATTCTGCATTCGAATTCTAACTTATTAGGCTTTCTGGGACAGAATGACTGTGATCCTGATGCAGCCAGTGAGTGGGTGGGAGGAGGCTGGCAGGGCCTCTGAGAAGTTAGAAGGCTTAGCAAATGAGGATTGAAGGATCAGGGAATTTCCCAGACATAGAATCTCAAGTTTGGAAGGAACCTTTGGAGACTACCCAGGTGACTCTTCCTCCTCCCTCCTTCCCATCCCCACTCCACTTCCCCCCTCTCCTTTCTTCCAACTTTCCCTCCTTTCCTTCTTCTTTCCTCCTCTCCCTCCCCCATTCTGTACTTCCATTCCCCCCACCTTTCTTCTCTCCTCTTTAACAGATGATAAAACTGAGATTCAAAGAGAAGAACTTTCTCCAGGGTCACTAATGAGTGAGGACAGAGCTGGAATTCAAACCCAAGCCTCCTTTCTTGCTAGAGGGATGCAGGTGGAAGAGGCTATTTCCCATCTTCACGACGTTTCAGAGCAACTGCTTTGCTTCCCTTCCATGTGCTTGGCAGGGAGGGGAAGGGAGCAGAGGTGAAGACATCGGACATGAAGGCATTTCTTTGCTGTATCAAAGTTTAGAAAACACTTGGGAAGCATCTAAAAGACAATAATTTCAAGCCAAGGTGATGTAGTTACAGCCCATAGTGACGAACTGGACATGAACTCCTGCTGGAGCCAGGCAGGGTGCAGGGAGAAGGTAGCCCTGAGCGTCCACCCTGTGTGCACCAAGGGAGTTCCAGAGCTAACAGAAAACAACATCTGGGCTCAGGGGCAGACCTTCTCCTCAGTGCTAATGTGTGGAAAGATTCTGGTCATTTCTGTGCTCTGTGCTCCCCCAGGCCCCTCAGCATAACTCAAAGGACTTTTCTTATATATTAAAAAAAAAAAAGCCGTAAAAATGCTTATTTGTACAGTCAGGGTCTGAGGTAGTTTTTATATCTGTCCCCACCCAAATCTCACGTTAATGTATACATATGTAACTAACCTGCACAATGTGCACATGTGCCCTAAAAGTTAAAGTATAATTAAAAAAATATATTTAAAAAAAGAAAAAAAAATCATAATCCCCAATGTTGGAGATGAGGCCTGGTGGGAGGTGACTAAATCTTAGGGACAGATTTATCATGAATGGTTTAGCCCCTTCCCCTTGGTGATGTTTTCATCATAGTGAGTAAGTTCTCATGAAACCGGGTCATTCAAAACTGTGTGGCACCTCTGCCCCTACTCTTTCTCTCTTGCTCCTGTTCTCGCTATGTGATGTATCTATTTCCCTTTTGCCTTCTTCCATGATTGGAAGCCTCCTGAGGCCTCCTCAGAAGCAGATGCCACTATGCTTCCTATACAGGGTGCAGAACCATAAGCTAATGAAACTTCTTTTCTTATAAATGACCAGCTTCAGGTATTTCTTCAGAGCAGTGCAAGAACAGCCTAAAACGGGGTCCTTGTAACAAAAAGTGGAATCTAAATCTGATATCCTAGCACCAACTTCATCATAGATTTTGAAAGACCGTATGCTCCCCTTTCTCGGGGGGAAGTAGAGACATCTGACATCGTCCAGCCTCACCTTAGAACAAGTGTCCCCGAAAGACTTTCTTTGGTCTCCTTTCCCCCTCCACAAAAAGCCTACGGTGATTAAAAAGATTCCCACGTCTATTTTCAAATTATGTCAGAAAAGTAGATTAAAGGTTTTATGCTTAGGAAAACGAGGATAAATATTCAAACATAAATTATGGCAGTATTAATAATTGCACATTTGTGCTAAGTAACTAGAAAATTATTTGAGCATTAATTCCATTTACATATGTTCATTCAGATTTGTATCCCTGAAGCATGCAAGTATTTGGGGTTTGAAACATTTAATCACTTAGTAAGCAGCCCTCAATGGGATTGCCATTTATTTATTGTCTTTATTGATTTTCCTACACAGAAGGATGCTTGTGGTGTACAGCAACTGACTGCTGAGTTGAAAGAACTCTATCTTTTCTAGTGCAGAACAAAAGCTTCTATTTTTTTTCCTTGGGTTTTTTTTTTTTTTAAAGAGCAACCTGTTTTCTTTAGATCATCCCAGCTCGGAGCCAGAATGCTGCTGCTTCCTTCGTTTGCTAGATATTCTTCTCCCATTAGTATGGTATTTTATTGTTCCTAGACAGACACATTGAGTAGTACTTGATTTTCTGTTCAGGCCAAATTTTCAGACTTAGTCCTTGCCTGGAGTGTGGTGGAGACCTTAGCATCCCAGAAGCATGTTTGGTTCTTAGTTGATACGTAGGATGGATCCCCAACAGGTTCTTCATTGATACAGGACACTCCCCTACAGCACGATAACTGGAAAAAAACTGAGAATCCAATTCATTGGTCTGGACATGTCATCTTCCTTCATCTGTTTTTAAAGAAATCTCCTTGGTGATTTTATAATAAATTTTTCATTAATAAGCGGAACTAAAATAAGCACAGCTGCCCCAGTGGCTAATGCGTCTTAAGGGCTTGGCATGGACAAATGGATACCAGCACCAGCCTCTCTCCTCATCTTCTCAACAGCAGGTCCATGGGGTGGAGGCTACTAGTTAGGCTGATACATGACATTGATGCTTTTGTCATTTAAAATAGTTGAAGAATAATAATTTTAGATGTTTCATTCTAATTTTATCTCCGTTTTACAGATGAGGACTTTGGATATTGGCAAGGTTAAGTAACGTGCACAGTCCACACTCACCATTGGTAAAGGCAGGACTCAGACCTTGGTCTGAGGGACTTCACACATATTCCTAACCATGACACCAGCCACCTTTCATCCACTTCAGCTGACATCTGTCTGGCTTGAGGCCGAAAGAGGGGACACCTTGCAGTCTGCCCGAGCAGCAGCCATTTGAACCTCCCCCTGGTGCCCTGAGGCTCAAGAACACTTGGAGAGATAGAAGTGGGAGTTGGCTTGATTCATGAAGGAGGAGAGTGATGGCTTACAAGGTACCACTCGTTTTCTGGAGTTTGGAAATCCACTTGCATCTTCATGGAAGCCAGGCACAAAAATGGCCACTGAGGTGTTCCCACCTCTCCGACCCTGAGTCCACCCTGCTTTCATTTCTGTCCCAGGTCTCTGTGCTTTCAAGAGGATGCATCCTGAGGTCATTCATTCAACAGCGTAGTCATGGGACTGACCCTTCCCAGTGGAAGCCCTACCTCTGGGGCCCCACTCACCTGGAGCTAGGGGAAAAGTGCAGGGCGGGAAGTCACTCCAGGTAACAGAGGACAGAGCCAGGTGACCAGAGGGAGGAGGAAAAGCCAGTCCAGGTGCTCCCCATAATGAGGCTGGATCTCACAATATCTTAGCAGAGACAGATCCAGAGAGAAGGGTCTGGCCTGCAGGAACCAGAATTCCAGATAGGAGGCCAGGCCCTGACAAAGGCAGACTCCAGCAAGGGGGACACTGAGGCCTGAGAGCAGGCATCAGAACTGTTTGGGGTTCCCCAAACCCCAACTCAAACCAGCCTAAGCAAAAAAGAGATTTGCAATTTCAGGGCTAACCCCTCAAGGAGGTAGAGCATAACTCCCCACCCCTTAAACGTCAGCTACACTTTATCACTTTCTTCCAAAGGCTAGAGAATAGAAAGAGACAGAAAAGTACCTCTATGGTGAAAGAATTTGGCAAAGAAAGGTGATCAGGGTTAGCATTGAGACAGAAAAAACTGACATTCCAAAGCTGGTCTGGCTCTCAGATAGATCACACAATTTTCCAATTATACACGGTCTCATAGAATACCAAACTCAAAGTTATTCTGAGACTGATAAAATGAGACAAAGCAAGGCTACTCTATAATTTTGTCTAAGCGCAGACAACAACAAGGTCATTATGCCACCCAGAAAATACCAAACACCCCGTCTGTCACCCAAAATAAGTGACTGCTACCTCTTTACCAATTCTAGCTTTTTCCTTGTGCTGGTCTCCCCCTCCCTATAGATAAGATTTTGATAGCTATATCCATCTATATATAGGTAGGTTGATATAGATAAGGATCAGCATGCCTTTGGCTAGAGGTTTTACTATATCCATCCTTGGAAGAGAAATAATAAAAAAAATTAAAAAGAAGCAGCTAGTTCAAAATCCAAATTCCTATTTAATGGATATAAAATGTCCAGGTTGCACCAAGATTAACAGGATTTCCATCCATCCTTAGACAGTAGTTCTTTGTGTAGGCTGTTCAACAGGGTTGTGCCAGCCTGCAGGGGGAAAAGCAGACCAAAAGAAGGATGCTCATTTACCAGAAAGCAACGCTAATCACCCACACAACTTCCTGACTTTGTTTTTGTTGCAGAAAACCTTATCAGTTCAGTAATTCTAGTGAATCTAACAAGATGATGTAATTATGTTTGATTCTGTAAGGTACAGAGCAGTGATCTCCTATTTTGGTATCGGTTTTCCAATAACATTTTGATGACTGTGGGGGAGGGGGAGCTTGCCCCAGTTTCGCCTCCTGGTAGATAAGATTTATTGAGATACCCGATCATATAATTGCCCTGCTTTCTGACAGCATACAACCTAGAAGAAACCTCCGCTTCCTTAGACCCACCCCCAAATCACCCAACCAAAGCCAAAATCCTGTAATAGTTTCTTTCTAACATCCTCCCACTGAGACACCCTACAGCTCCCCATGGTGTGTGTTCTCCCTCACTGCAAGGAGAAAGAAACCCAGCTTGTCTACCTATAGTGTGTCCCTGGGGGTCTGTTACTGAAGGGCATTCACAGCAGCGATGATAAATCCTGTACCTTTGATATCATGTGGGATGAGAATTGCGCTTAATCTCTGTGGTTGCTCTGCCTCTCCAAGACCCATAACCCCAGTCTAACCACGAGAAAACGATCAGACAAACCAGAATCAAGGGACATTCGATGAAATACCTGACCATTACCTTTCAAAACTGTCAAGGTCAACGAAAGCAAGGAAAGTCTGAACAACTGTCATAGCCCAGAGAGGTCTAAGGATGCCTGATGACTAAATGTGGTATTCTGGATGGGGTCCTGGAGCAGAAAAGGGACATTAGGGAAAAACTCATAAAATAGGAATAGTGTATAGAGTTTAATTAAATTTTTTTTTCAGATAGAGTTGGCTTCAGGGTACAATTAAAATGATGTTCATATCATTGTGTCTCTCCATTTCCCATGTTCCCGTGTTGGTCTTTCTCAGGCAGAGGTACCCCACATAGAACAATGTGACTGCTGTAGCTCAGGTCTGTGTGCTCCCTTTGAGCTTGAGAACCCAGGGAATAGGTTCTCAGATCGACCTGGCCTCATCTTGTGCTCCGAGTGGCCAACCAAGGTCATATGTTTCTTCCTGGGCTCAGAGGTCAGCTCCACTCAAACCTCATGGGCCCAGCAAGACTATTAGGGACTGAGGGAGAGCTCGTTCCCCAGAAGAAGGGATGCTTGGCAGCAAAAGCACATATCCAGTAGACTGGCCCTACCTCTTAACTCACCAGGAATGCTTTGGCAGGCATCTCATTTACATGCAATCCAACCTTTGCCCAGTGATGAAAGTGAGCTGAAGGGTAGATACAAGTGGCCTTGAGAAAGCCACAGCACAATTGCTTCCCTCCCTCCACACCCCTGCCATTCCCTTATTTGTGGAGTGGGAGGGTATCTAACCACATAGAACCAAGGGATTTGCAATGCATTTCTCAATTTCTTGAACTGCTGAATGAGGTGTCATTTGTCCAGGTGCGTGGAACATAGCACCGCTCAGTGAAAGCTAGCTTAATCTCAGCCTTTCCTATTCATAGCCAAAGAATTACCATGAGTAATTCTACCTCTTTACGAAGAGTTAAGCAATTATTATAAGAAGGCCACTGTAGTGCCTTTATAGAACTGCATTTCTGCCATGAGTAACAGTGAAGAATCTTTTATGCTATTAACCTGTGTAAATTTTAGATTTTTAAAAATAGTAAGTTATATAGGTCACTGCACTCTACCTGTAACTAATTGCAGCATTAGCTATCAAATTCTCATTGTTGGTTAATTTATCTTCAAAGACTCAAGAATGCAATTCAAGGTAATTACTACCTGTATGCCATGCTTCATTTATGGCCTCTGTGAGTCATGAATCTTCTTTCTATAACTGAAAACATTTAATGCAATTAATTCAAGAGGTCTGCCACATACGCCGTATAACCAAACTTAGCATAAATTGTATAAATGTGTGTTGTATTTTATGATCGCGTCCTGGAATTCTCACAGGAAATATGACATCTCCTAGTAACACTGGTTGGATTAAGGGAGGGAATAGAGAATTGTGTTATTCTTTCTTCATGTTAATGAAGGTTTCATTAATTTTTTCCCCTTAAACGAAGACTGGAAACCCTTGAAATATCTTTGCAATGCATTTCTCAATTTTTGGAACTGCTGAATTATATAAACACACCTTGCTTCTATTTGATTTTGATTGCTTTCTTGGCCTAGTTTCCCTGCAAGCATTTGGTCTGATTGAATAATTTTTAGTTGTGTTTTCTTGCTGTGTCTGTGCTAGTCTGCTAACGGTTGGTGTTTGCAGCATTGTTACAATCTACCGACTTTATCTTTTGCTGGATTTTTAAAGGGGTATTTTATTGCCTGTCATTACCATTCATAGTAGCTTCTGGGCACTGTCATTCCGGCAGCTGAATGCAGATCCCAGCGTGCCACTCACCGGGCCCTCTGTTCTTAGAGAGAACCTCAGCGCCTCCCCAAAGAGCCACATCATCATTCCTCCAGCTCTGCTTCTTGGCATATTTTTGATTTTTCATTTTAGATGAGTTGTTCGAGTTTCAATTGGAGAGATAATGCCATTTAAGATGAGGATAACTCCGTGATGCCTCAGATGATTTCATTGCAGCCTTTGCCTAGACTGCAACATGGCCAATAATGCCACGCCTTGCATATGGGTGGCCGTTGTGGCACTTCAGACATTCTCTAGTAACAGGACCTCGATGCTGAGAGACAAAATCTGCATCCTCACCTGTCAGATAAGGTGACAATGTCTTTTCGCAAAGCATGTATTGGCATCTTTCTGCACAAGTGGTCTTAATTTGGGTCTTCATGGTGGAATATTTATTGTCTCTCTGTTATGCAAGGAGACAGCCCAAAGAGTGAGTGTGGTCACCAGACCATGCTCTACACGTTAGAACAAAGGACCCCAGAAGCACATCTGCCCCAGACTCAACCAGATGGGCTTTGCTGTCCAGACAACATAGGTGGAGACCTCACATTTCGAGGTGAGTTCCTCAAACATCTATTTAACCCCCAATATGCACCAACCACAGAGCTGTTTGTGGCACAGAAATAAGAAAAGGATCTGTTGTTAAGGAACTGATATTCTAACCTATTTGCTTGTAAATGGGCATTTCTGTCCTCATTCATTCATTCAAGAAGCATGTGTTGGGTGATTGCTATAGACCAGGAACCAGGCTAGGTATTACAGATACAGAGGTGAACAGGCAGATAAGACACTATCCCTGCCCTCATGGAGTTGACAGTAGAATTCTATTTCAAGGTTGGGAAAAAACACAGCAGAAACTAGTTTAACTTACAGCAATAACCACACAGCTGGCATGTAATTGGAAAGAGTAACTTACTGGGGAGGAATCAAAATGGCTCCTCCATACCTCTGACAACTAGTGACCATGAGCCCATCCCTGCTGCTTCAATGGCTCATAGGAAGTATAAATGTGACTCTCTCTCTCTCTCTCTTTTTCTCTCTCTCTCTCATTTAGAAAATATACCTGGCTTTCTTTTTACATGTCTTCAAGTGAAGAAACTGTTGAATTACTATTCTGCCACCATATCTTGGGAGGGCCTGGATATGGTTTTATTTTGTGACAAAGCATTGCTCACTATATGAATGGATAGAAGACCAAACACTTTCCCAGTTGTTTTAAGACAGATTGGGGTAGAAATCAGCAAAAATATTTTCTGGAACTCATGTAAATTGATTGTTTACCTCCAGATTAATTTAAGGTGCAATAGGACTTTTGGGCCAAAATTAACATTTTATTATAATTACTGCTCTTTAAAGGGGAAAGTGCATATGATCACAAAGGGAAATAATTCACTGGAGTTGTTTCTATTGTTGCTTTCCTTTAAGGTAATGGTTCTCGACCGGGGGCAATTTTGCTTTCCAGGAGACATTTGGCAATGTCTAGAGACCTTTTTGGTTGTCACAACGGAGGGAGGATGTGCTACTGGAGTCCAGAGGGTGGAGGCCAGGGATGCTGCTGAAAATCCTACCACGCACAGGACAGGTGCACCACAAAGACTTATCTGACCCAAAATGTCAGTGGTGCCAAGGTTGACAAGTCCTGCTTGGAAAATAATTTAACTGTAGAGACATTGCCATGTGCCATGTGCAGGTGGAGTTGCCAAAACCAGATGAATTTTGTGAAAACAAGTCTGGCCTTCTCCTCCCGCTCCCTGATTACCTTCTTTGTCTATTTACCCATCATTTAGTTCCCTTGTGCTGCAAAGCTTTTTGTGTTTTTTTATGGACTCAATGCTTAACTATATGAGCTTTTCATTACCCATTCTAAAATCGTGACTGGTTGTAATGTAAATTGTATAACACATCTTTCTGCAGCTTCAGATTCTGCAACTTAAACCTCCTAGGCTGCTTATCTGTCTCCCACCACCTACCTGCGTTTTATGCACTGCACTTGGCATTCTTGATTTTTCCTTTCATATTAATTTCAATGGTGCCCAGAGGGTACCTCTCACCATATAATAGGTTGCTTTGTGAACAATTCCAGTAAGAGAACCATTCTGCCCAAACAGTGAGATACTCTGGAATGTAAAAAACATATCCTCAGTGTATCATTCACATTTCTAGCAGACGAGTGTATTCTGCAATTGTACTGAAATGTAAATGAAGATGAATTATTTGTTTCTCCTTTCACTTTAAAAAGGCCCCCACTATTGCAGATAATACTCTCAGCCACACAAAATGGTTAGAACTGGAAAAGTTACCCACTGGACATGGATGGATATTTATTTTGTACTTAAATCTGCAAATCATTAAGTGTCCCTTGTCCTGAGATCATTATTTTCCTCATAATAGACTTCTGTTGCATTCACATTGTTCCAGCTTTTGATTGACCATTTGGAATATGACAGTTGCTTGTCGCATTTCATTTGGCTGCAGTTTCCCCTAGTTCATTTTTGCAGTTATCCCTGGAGCGTACTTTGCTTTATGTGATGTCTAAAGAAGCTTGCCTCTGTCTTTTCAGAAATCTTTGTCCTAATGAGAAAACTAAAAAGACTTTCTGAAAATGTTGATTTTTTTTAATGCGATGCCGTTACTTGGCAGGGAACGTGGAACACGGAACACTTCAGATTTTCAACGATGCTGGATTTGAGCTGTTCACTTGAAAATAAAGTCTGTTGCATCACAAGTGCTGGTTGGCATCGCTGTCCTCCTATCAGTGGATTAAGAAAAGGCACAGCGAAAAACTAGTTTAAAATCACCAGTCGGATATTTTACAGGTGGGTCTTTAAGGATTGTCTGCTCAATATCTCACCCGAGCGCCTGCGTGCCGCTGATTCTTCCTCTGAACTGTGTTGCATCTTCCCATCCCCAGGCGAGGTCCAGCACGATCACTCACACGGCTGCTGCTAGGCTGGCTCTGCCCGTTATTCTTCCATCCTGGCACCATGCTTCTAATTTATCCTGAATACATGGAGACTTGAGCACTGATGGGATAGATAAAAAAAACGACAGCAATCTTCTCTCCAAAAAAGCAACATAAGACTAGATAAAATGGTCAAAAATAATCATTTCAGAATGATTCTAGAAAATGACCAAAGGCAGACAACAAATTGAGATGTGTGTTTCGTTTTTTTTGAATCTACTGGGGCTTGGAAGGAACAGTGGGAGACTATGGAATTTTAGCTCAGGGCAGCGTGGTATAGTTTCACAATGGAATACTACTCAGAAATAAAAGCGATAAACTGTTGATACATGCAACAATGTGGATGAATCTTAAGATAATAATGCTGAGTCAAAGAAGCCAGACAAAAGTATGTATAGTGTGATTCGAATTATATGAAATTCTACAAAATATACACTAATCTATAATGACAGAAATAGATCAGGGGTTGCCTGGGGAACTGGGGTGGAGGGTGTGCCAAGAGAGGCAGGAAAGAAGGATTATGAAGGGGCAGGAGGAGAGCTTTGGGGATGGGGATGTATTCATTATCTTGATTGTGATGATAAATTCTCCGGTGTACACATATAGCAAAATTTATCAAATTATACACTTTAAACCATGTGCAGTTTTTGTATATGGATTGTACCAAAATAAAGTTTTTTAAAGGGATGCTAATCAATGGATTATACTACCTGTAGCTTGCCTACACCTCATCTCCTTCCTCAAAACAGTTAACCTACAGGTACCTAGTAGCTATTCCAAAACTGCTCCTCGAACTTGTGAATGAGTAAGAGAATGAACAAACGCACCCACTTATCAACCTATTCTATGTCCTCAAATAAATTCCTCAATATTATCATTTCCCTTTGAAGAATGGGAGAGTGGAGTTTACCCTTTTGGGGCAATTTTCTTGGATAGGTAGACATTGATCTCAATATCAGAACACTTAAACTATGGAGCACTAAGTAGCTTTTAAATTTATAGCTGTAAAATTTGTGGCAAACACAGATAGGGTGTTACACTCATAATTAGAGATATTTATTTTGCTGTCTGGAGGTTTCCAAGAATTGCTTCTGTCTCCAGACCTATTTCTTAAATCAATAAATTGATGTATTTTAGACTATACTTCACATAAAGTGAACCCACATGATTTGTGCTTTTATAATATTATTGTAGTTACCTATCAGAATTTAAGATTCTCTTCTGGATATTCTCTTAAAAATAACTGATTATGATGGTTATAAAAACTAGAACTCTAGAACAAATAACTATCAAGCCTATGAAATATTTATAAACCGCCTTTATTGTGGGTCTTTCCTACTGAATCCTAATAAGCATTGTGTGGTCATTTGTTCAGCTTCTTGCTGATATTGGGCTCCTGTTCTTTGAAGAGCAGTGGATGATTTGTGTCCCAGGGTGATTTATAAGGCAGCTATTAAGCAATCAATAGCATTTTGCTTTTTCAAACAGTTCCTTAGCTTAGTTAGTTTCATGAAGTATCACTTTCAAATGACAGAAGCAGCATCCTCCTCTAGGAAAGATCTAGGTCAGAATTAAATTGCATTGAAATGTTTTACTTGTCAATACTCCAATGATGGTTAAGTTGAAGCCCTGGGTCAAATGAGGGGTGGTCCACCTTGGGAAAAGAGGAAGAACCTTGACCCATGACCTGGCTTCAAATCCTGGCTCCTCAACTTCTTGGCCATGTGACCTTGAGCAGATTCCCATCTGTTTCCCAACTGGTATAGAAAACAGATATAGATTAGTGCCGGGCGCGGTGGCTCATGCCTGTAATCCCAGCACTTTGGGAGGCTGAGGCATGGGGATCACCTGAGGTTGGGAGTTTGAGACCAGACTGACCAACATGGAGAAGCTCCGTCTCTACTAAAAATACAAAAGTTGCCGGGCGTGGTGGCGCATGCCTATAATCCCAACTACTCGGGAGGCTGAGACAGGAGAATTGCTTGAACCTGGGAGGCGGAGGTTGCAGTGAGCTGAGATCGTGCCATTGTACTCTAGCCTGGGCAACAAGAGTGAAATTGTAAAAAAAAAAAAAACAAAAAAAAGAAAGAAAGAAAGAAAAAGAAAAAGAAAAAAGAGAAGAAAAGAAAATAGATATAGATTATAAATGTCCTTGCAAAGTTCTTCTGAGGATAAAATAATAGTTACTTTTTAAAAGCACCTAGCACGGTGTTTAGCATATAGTAGACACTCAGTAAATGTTAGCTTATTTGCATAGACTCTTTAATTTCCGTTTCGAGTAGTGAATCCAAGTCTTAGCTCTGCTAAGCCGGGCCCCAGTTTTAGCATCTGACAAATGGGAATAATAATTTTGTCTTCGGGATCAAAGCTTGGTAACTTACACTGAAGAGCTTTGCCAATGGCAGAGTATACATTAATATAAGATGGTCATTATCTCTCAAAGCTTGGCCAGGCATAGTATTTGCTGGAGATGGGAAAGGACGGTAACTAAATTTCAATGGCCTCATTGGGCAGGATCCCATGCTGAATGGACAAGCCTAAATACAGATTTTCACCAAAATTATATTCATCTCTTGGTTTGGGTATGGGTCTATGCTAGGCACTGGGACACACTGGTGAGCAAGACCTTGTCTGTCTGGCTCAGATAAGGCAACGCTGGAGCCCAGGCAGTGGTGGTGGATGAGGGCCAGTCAGCTCCACTCCCTAATTCTGTTGGTCCTGCTTCTAAACATCCATTCTGTTATTTCCATCTCCAGCAACTCCCTAGTAAAATTGCATGTCTTTACATCTTTGCTACATGTATACATACACACATATTTGTACACGTGGCACTTCTCACTTATTTCTAAATAACAATCAAAAGTAATACGGACCAAATTAAAAGAATGCATTTTTGTTCCCACTTCCAAAGATTTTCTTTTCCTACCCCTTACTGCTAATTTTAAATGTTAACATAGTACAGACAGCAAGGGTGGCCACTGAGATTTCTGCTTTGGGGACTTTATTGAGATTTTTATTTTCTGCATAATTCATGTTTTGTTTTTGTGAATGCTTTATGAATGTTTGAAGAGAATGTGTATTCCCTATTTTAGTTTAGAAAATTCTATGTTAGAATGATTAGGTAAAACTTATAAATTGTGCTATTCCAATGTCTGATGGGCTTACTTATTTTTGTGTCTACTCAATCTGTAGGTTTCTCGGAAGTGTCTTCTTCTGTCATGATATCCTCTAATCTTGTTTTTTCATAAAACCTCTCCTGTCTGCTTTCCTTTACTCAGGAAACCACTAACATTTCTTTTTCTTCCCAATGCTATAGAGTTGATATTAAAAAAAAAATCCTACTATATCTAGGGTTTAATGACAGGAGGAAGAATTAGGTTCCTAAGCCCAGTTAGCCCTACCCTTCTATTATTACTACACGTGTTCAAAAACTAGCATGGCAAAAAGTATCTGCGTTGGGAGAGAGGAAGTCTGGGCAAGAATTCTGGGAGTGCTGCAGCCACAGAAGGTCTACTGCACACAGTGTGATCGTGGAGGGCAGACCACAGGGGACACAGCATGGTTACTATCCTAAGTCTACGTTTAGCAGCTTTGTCACCATTTAAGTCTTTCTCTGCTTTGTTTTCCATCTGTAAAATGGGGATAGCAATAGAACGGCCTTATAGGGCTTTTGTAGGACCGAATGAAACAATGGATGCAAAGCACTGTTCGACAGAGCACCGGTCGATAGACAGGGTGGCGCACACTGGGGCATTTCAGGGACTGTGAGCTTCCCCAAGACTACAAGCATGAGAGGCAAGGCTGAGCTTTGAAATCTCTTCCCATCTGCCTAGCGCAGCACTGGATACAATTAGGCACTTAGTAGATATGTTTGATTATTAAGCTGAGTAGAACTATGGTGCTTACACTTGAGAAATTTCCACTGTAATTGCGAAAAGAGAACAAATGAAAACTCCAATTCCCAAGAACACAAATTAGACTTACATAGATAGGCACAAATACATCTCACCAATTGCAGGCTGAGGAGTTACTGGAGCTACTCGAATCATTGAAACGTAAGGGGATTGATTCCATAAACTCACCTGCAACCTAGAATCAGTTTTAGGCCCCTTTGAAATATCATAATGAAAGAAAGCCTTCACATAGAACGCAATTTAGTGTGTTTATTATTTAAACATTTTTGTGAGTGTGAGAGAGAAGCAGTGACTTGATAAAGATACTAAAAATGTTTCAGTAAACATATTAGAACACTCATCATGAACTAATACCCACTGCATGTCACTAAAGGTGGCTTTTTTAGCCAATATTTCTTAAAAATTTTTTTTCCTGTTGTCTTATACCAGGCCACTTACCACATTCCTATTACCTGTGTGGAGACATTTGAGTCTGTGACCCTTTCAGAATATCCCATTGCTTTTAGAACTTGTTTAACCATTCCGTACGTATATTCATCTTACCTAAATTTGAGGATACATTTGATTTAAAAAACAAAAACAAAAACAAAAAAAACCCAAAAAAACACCTTTTGAATCAATTGCAATCAATAACAAGGGTAATCAAGATGGGTAACTCATTCCACTTTGGGGTGAAAATGAAATGTGAATATAATGTAAGAGTAAAAGCACTATTTATATAGTGCTCAGCATATGCCAGGCATATATATTAACACATTGGCAATTATTATTATTATTATTATTATTATTATTATTATTATTTGAGACCGAATCTCGCTCTATCACCCAGGCTGGAATGAAATGGCGCAATCTCGGCTCACTGCAACCTCCACACATTGACAATTATCAATCTATCTATCTGCTAACTTAGCCCTTTCAAAGAAGCTGTGTGAGATAAGTAGTGGTAGAGGTGGGATTGGAACAGAAATAACAGGTCACTGGTTCTCCGCTCTTTCTTACCTACTGGGCCAACCATGTTGCCATTTGGAAGAAATTGGAGTGGTTTTCTTGTCATAACTCAAGTCATAACTCGTAAACTGGTTTGAATTTGGGGCAGCACTGGGATTCTCGGCAGCATAATTGTAAAACAGACATGCCCAGTGATTATTTCAGATGAGTGAAAATTTGAAATGGAGATTTATATTGACATTTTAACTGCATCGTAACTGACTTTCAGAATTATTCATTCTACTTTCTAGTGGTGGTTTCCTTTGGAAAGAGAGTCTGGCTTTTCTCCCATTTCCTTATTTATAAGAGGCAACTAGCATCTGCCCACTCCCTGTGATGATGTGAGGAATAATTACACATTGTGTGCTTGGTTTTGAAGAGCACTATGTTAGAGACATGCTCTTCATTAATTATGCATCGGCCTTTATTGCATGCTTTATACTCCTTCTGAGACTATATTCTTGACTTCTTTCACTGATGTTGTAACAAACACAGTGGAATTAGTTTTCTTTGATCATTGCCTGTAGTGATCAAAAAAATTCTTTCCTGAAATATTTCTCAAGGGACACTTGTCAGAGATGGGACAGCATACCAGACTGGCTGGAGGTGCACTGGCTTCCTTGAATGAGTTAGAAGCCCGGTCAAAGGCGCCCAGTCATCATTGGGGGAGAGAGATGTTTCTTAAAGAGAACCTTCTGGCAACCCCAAACAACATGGCTGGGGGGGCAACCACCCCAGCTCAGATTCTGGGAGCTTTGAGTATCTGGCCAGGGTGACGGGAACCAGCAGAGACAAATCAGACGTCTGGTGGGGAGCAGTCATTTTTCCAGAATATCTGACCATAAGCCCCAGGGAGGATCCGGGCAGGATGCAAACCCTGTGGAAGGAGTTTAGCAAGAGCTAGATGAGGCAAATGGGTGGGGCTTCCTTCCATCCTAGTGGGAGGAACAAACTGCAACAAAGTAGGGAAAACTGAGAAGCCAGATGAAAGACCCTGGGCCAACCAAAGTGACTGGGGGAAAGGGTGCAGTGGCTCAGGAGCTGCAGGAATCCAGAGTTCATCCCAGGTGCAAAGGGCTCTAGGGCTGGGAACCAGGAAGGACCCTTAATACCATGGGGTCAGTGGAGGCAAGGAGCTGCAAGGCGGGTCCTAGAGGCCAGGAAATGGGGGCTGCACATACCCTACCTCTAGCAGGGCGGTTTAGAAAGTGAGGCATGCCACCACATGGTGCAACTCCAGGGCCTCCATTTGCACTGCAAAGTGGGTGAATTTCGTCCACCTCTCCCTCCCACCCCACCCCTTAACCACTGTAGACTCCACAGTCTGCAAGGCTTCGGGCAACGTTCCTGAGCCTTGGTTCTTGTTAGGGGAAACCATCTGCAGATCTAACTGCCAGGAACCAGGGGAGTGGGAGAGGAGGCAGCAGCATCCATTCAGCCCTGGGGGCTGCTGGTTCCGATCGGCCCGACGCCATATTCCTCAGCTATCACGGTATCTGACCATATAGTAAAGAAGAAAGAACCACATATAGAGGAAGAACAGTGAATATTTAAGGCATAGAAAAGGAGATATAAAAAGATGTCATGCTGTGTGGACATGGTTTTCCCATGGACGGAATTAGCTTATACTGTACTGATTTCTGCTACAACTCTATCTTTGTTATCTTTGTTATACCAATATAACAGAGGTGTAAAGGACATTTGTTATCGTGATTCCATTTATTCTGTAGTTAGACTTTCATTTTATTTTTAAAATAAGTCCTTGAACATGAATGGTCATAGAAAATTTACTGTTCTATAATTGCATATAATCCCCAAACTTCATCCAAAAACAATTCTTGGGTAGCAGAAAACTGTCATATT
Source organism: Homo sapiens (assembly GCF_000001405.40). Classification (NCBI taxonomy): domain Eukaryota; kingdom Metazoa; phylum Chordata; class Mammalia; order Primates; family Hominidae; genus Homo; species Homo sapiens. The sequence goes on along the minus strand of NC_000010.11, from coordinate 125,461,542 downwards.
CAATTGTGTGTCTTCATAGCAACAACCATGCGCTGGGTTGAGGGGGGAAGCAATTTCATTTGCTTCATTTTCATACAGAGGAGAAGTCCAATTGTGCTTTTGTAATTAAGTCCCCTCACATCAAGAGAAAAGACTATGTCTTTGAAAGGTGCATTGAACCCAGATGGAAAAGTTAATCAAAATAAAAAGCAATGATTGTCTTGTGTTTATTAATGAGATAAATATTTAACAAAATATCCCTGTTTTTCATCTTTCTATTAAAAATGTGGCAATTTGAAAGCATTTTTGGACATAATCGCACATTAAGAGCCTAAGCTACTAATTGGATTAAATTTTCCAAACTTCTCAATATTTTTACCCATATTGTCACAGGCTCATTGAGTGACAACAATTTTATCAAAGCCCTTTTATGCCTGTCTTGGGATCAGCTTTATCTGAATATTAGGGTCCTAAGACGGACTAGGAAATCATAGGGTATCTTGATGTCAGATCTCATCAATTTTAATTTGGAGTTTTACAACACACAAGGTTTGGGCAAGATCTTTTTATCCGCTTGTACTTCTGCCAGAAATCATCCCTCTCTTGTCACTGTCAGCCTCAGCTGGCCCAGAAATTCTGTTGTTTGGAACTTGACCCAGCTTAGTGGGGCCACCAAAGGGCTGAGCCACTACAGCATGAGACTGACCAATTCACTCCTTATTTGAGCCTCTACACGTCTTTATATCTCTTTTCCTAACATGGCTGTTTTTTGCTTTTTCATCTGGGAAGCACCATGGCCCAGTGGCAAGAATATAGACTTTGAAGTCCTATCAGCTGGTATTTAAATCGTATTTTCGTTCAGAAATTATATTAGTCAGGGTTTTCCAGAGAAACAGAACAAATAGAGAGTTCAAAATCTGACAGGTTAGGCAGGGAAGACTTGCAGTTGAGTTCTGAGGCCATTTAGCCAGCAAAATCCCTTCTTGCTCAGGGGTGTTCAGTCTTTGTGCTATTCAGGCCTTCAACTGATTGGACGAGGCCCACCCACATTATGGAGGGCAATCAGCTTTACTCAAAGTCCACCAATTAAAATGTTAACCTCATCCAAAAAACACCTATACAGAAAAAGTCAGAATCATGTTCAATCAAATATCTGGGTACTGTGTCCCAAGTCAGAATTGGACTTGGGCCGTAACCAACCAGTACCCCTGGGCCAGTGCCTGTTTCTCCTGTTCCCTGTGTGACCCGAGGCAACTCACTCAGTCTCTGTGAGCCTCAGTTTCCTCATCTGTAAAATGGAAATACCAATATCTGCATTGCAGAGTCATTGGAAGACTTATATTAGACAACTGGCTCCAAGCTGAAACTTAGAGCTAAAATACATCTGAGCACCTTTTCTTCTGTCTCAGGGCATGTATGTGTATGTGCTGTACCTTCCCCAGGTGGCAGAGATTTCTGTTATAGTTGTTGTAGTTATTTAGGTTCCTGCTGAACTCACTTTTTATTAAACAAATCATTTTGGGTGCATACTATAGGCCGGCACTGTTCTGGGCTGGAGACCTAGTTGTGAATAAAACAAAGCAGACCTTCACTCTCTGGAGTATATAGTCTAGTGCAGGGTGGACAAGACAAACAATAAACAAGTCCTGCCTAGGACCAGCCCAGAACCAGTGTGAGACTTCGTAGCAAAAGCACTGAAGTGGTGACCGCTCCTTTCTGTGAAATGTGATGAAACACAAAGGCAGTATTAAACCACACTATCCATGTACAGCCATTCAATAAGTTCTGGTTTCTCACACAATAACCAGTTTGATGCTTTTTTAAAAAGCGCCACAAATATAATCCTTGAACATGTTTCTTTCTCTGATGGCCTTGTTTTTGCTGGCACTGGATGTCACTTCCCTCGGCTCCCAGCATGTGGGTCATTGCCCTATTCCATGGGCTCATGGCACTGGCCACATCATCACTAAGTAACTATGTAATCCTTTGTTTCATGTCCTTGTCCCACGATGGATGCCTGTGACCCAGGAAGCCAGAAATGGCCTCTCTTGTCCCCTTGTGTCTCCAGTGCCCAGCACGCCCAGGCCTTGACTGAAACTCAGCTGATGCTTGTTGTCATAGAACGATCTTCTCGATTGTTTCAAGTTCATCTCCCCACTAGGTGTAGGCCCCTTGGAAGGAGAACCATGCATTTTCATCCTTACCTCTAGAAATTAGCTCAGGACTTGCCACACAGTACATATCTACTAAAATGTTTCCTATAAAATACATGAATGAGTGAATGCTTTCTCCTTTGATCACACAGCAAGTCACTACAGAACTGTGAAAAAGGAATACATTAATCTTGTGTTCTTTCAGTTTGACCAGAATAGAAAATTTTAATCTCCTCAGAATTTAATAGTTTTCAAGTCTCCTTAACCATACGAAATTGTGGGAGGCTGCACACTGGGTTTTCATCACAGTTCAGATCACTGTGCTCCGTGTAAAATGAAATTTGTATTTCTTCATCAGTAAGTGGCCTTAGGCTCTCAAAAGAAGAACATGGCATTTGTCACTGGAGACACTATAATTCCACATCTGAGCAGAACTATTTCTCTCCTCTCTGAAGGAAGTCTTTGAAAAGAAGTCATTGAAATTATTGACCTCACAAATACACAAAGCTACCCTAGACTTAACCCTCATGACTGGGCACATGAAGCACGTACCCTCTATTGTCTGGAAAGTCTCCCAGGATGTAAATATCTTCCAGCTGTGGGCCCTCCAGAGAGTAGGCCTCCTTCAGCTGCAGAATTGTCTTCTCTGCCTACTGTCTCCAGCATCAAAATACAACCTCCAGGACATCTTGAACAAATAAATTACTGGGAACTTCAGTGTGTTCTTTAACGACTACTTGCTTGAGAGAGGCTGACAGTTTTGAACTGGTGCACTTCCAAGTGACCTCGTCAGACGTTTCACCATGATAGTAGATGACGCTCTAAGCAGCCCAGCATCCCTGGAGCCGGCATAGGAATCACAGGTGACATGGAGTTGACACACCTTAAGAGATCCCACAGGCACTGAAAATTACTCTTCTGAAGATTTTCCTTTTAGGTTTTTCTGAGATTTTGTAGAACTCTGGCTTTCCCTTATCTGAGAAGTTAATATTGCTCATGGCCAGAAGTTATAATAGGATGATAAAGTGAGTGTTTTTGTTTTTTGTTTTTTGTTTTAAAGATTCTTGGGTGCCTTTGCTGATTTTCTCGATGTGGGACTTGACATTCGAGATCACATAGGAAGAGCAGGGGTAATGAAAAAATAGACAGTGTCTCCATACCACACTTGGGAAAACTCACACCTTGTTTCTGGTTATAAAAGGAAAAATCCTCATACTCATTGATCATCCCCAGAAGGTAGAGACGCCAGAAACTTCTCACTTCGGCTTGAGGACTGAAACATCTTGACTTATTCCCATTTGGGTTTAATTAGCATTTTCAACCAAAAGAAACTGATCAGATTGAAAAGAAAGACAAGGTGGACTCGTCATTCCTTAAGTCTTTCTTCTTTTCCCCTTGATTACAAGGTTAAACTACAAATTTACCCAGTTGCCAGCTAATCCTGCTATTGTTCTTCTGGGACACCCATACTGGAGACCCAGCAGAGGAGGTGCACAGTCAGAATGATGATAACAACACATCTCCAAATGCAAGAGAGGGCGTCAAGGAGCTGCATGTGCTCGGCTGTGTCTCTCCGAGGCTGTGACTACCTACGCCAGGCACTCTATGGGCTATTTGGATGGTTCTTAGTTTCATAACACGTGGTAGAGTGATTTGCAATCTTAATTCCTCCTACCTTTTTTAGTGCCGAGTAGGGGACACAATAGCAATCCTGTACCATTGCTTTAAAGTCACCTAAATAAAATATGTATGGCCTTCCTGTTACAGCACTTCTAAAACACTCTGTAACGGTCGAGGGCAATTTAAAAATAAATCATTGTTCAAACAGTCTTAGTTCTGGAAGGAAGTGCTACACCAGGAACGGAGGTTGACTTTCAAGAGCATATTTCAATGCTGTGGAATCCCATGGTATCATAGCTTGTTACTAGGCTGGTGCTGGACACAGAGTGGGCACTCAATAAATACTTGTGGAGTTGGCATTGATCAGATCAGATAGATGGTGGGTCACAACCTGCCCTGTGGCATCTGCTGTGCACAGAGAGAGCATCCAATACAGCTCTCCCAGGAGGAGGGGCAGAGGCAGCCCATCATCAGGGCAAGGTTCAGTCGGTCTCCTATGCTGGATTTTCTCTAGCAAATATTCCCCACCCATTGGAGCTACACGAATTAAGGATTTTAAATGCCAATAGAATAATTATGTATATTATACTTGAATAATGGACAAATTTTTTTTTTTTTTTTTTTTTGAGACAGAGTCTGACTCTGTTGCCCAGGCTGGAGTGCAGTGGTGTGATCTTGGGTCACTGAAACCTCTACCTTCTGGGTTCAAGTGATTCTCCTGCCTTGGCCTCCCAAGCAGCTGGGACTACAGGTGCGTGCTACCACACACCTAATTTTTTGTATTTTTAGTAGAGATGGGGTTTTGACAAATTGGCCAGGCTGGTCTCAAATTCCTGACCTCAAGTGATCCACCCACCTCGGCCTCCCAAAGTGCTAGGATTACAGGTGTGAGCCACTGCACCTGGCCTATTCTTTTTTAATTTTTATTTTAAGTTTAGGGGTACAAGTGCAGGTTTGTTACATAGGTAAACTTGTGTCATGGGGGTTTGTTGTACAGGTTATTTCATCACTCAGATATTAAGCCTAGTGCCCATTAGTTATTTTTCCTGATCCTCTCCTTCGTCCCACCCTCCACCCTCCACAAGGCCCCAGCCTGTGTTGTTCCCTCTATGTGTCCATGAGTTCTCACCATTTAGCTCCCACTTATAAGTGAGAATATTCAGCACTACTCTTATTTGCTAAAAAACTATTACTGACTACAGAATTCATGTTACATTGTGCCATTTTGTGGAACACAAAAGGGGTTATATTTTTATGAACATGAGTGACCTTGTATACTGCTTGAGAAAGTCAATCTCCTGTCCAGGATGCATAAAATTAATATACCTTAAGGGAGAAAGATATTAGTGTCTAACTCAGACAATGCAGGAAATCTGGCCAGTTGAATATAATATCCAAAAACCAGATACAGTTTCATAAACAAAATATAAAAAACATGCTTCTAACATTCAGATGTGACACAAAATAGCATATGCTGGCTGTGTTTTTATTTAATTTGTCTTGGGTAAAGATGAGTTTAAAGCTAAATGGAGTGGGGATGGAGAGAAGCAATTAAGGAAAATTAACATATTAAAAAGTGCCTACAATGAGTATATTAAAATACACTATTCACTAGCAAAATTTAGTGGGGCTGCATTTGCTTCTGAAGATCTTACCATCACCAGAAAGGAATTCTTTCTCGCTTAATCTATTTTCTGCTGCCTGACTTTACCCGAGCAGTTCTGACTTATTCTACTGATCAAACAGGCTGAGCAAGATAATTATCTATGCATGGATGCTTTGGAGTAAAAGGCATCTCAGGAGTAGTTCAACTTTCTAATTTTTACAAAACAAAAGGAGCAAAAAAAGGGGGAAAGGAGCAACAGCGCTTAATACACAACTAATGAAATGCTAATATGCACAAATGAGTTTTGAAAAGAACACAAATATTGCTTTGAAATTAATGATACCTCTCCCATTGTCTTAAAAAATGGAAGATTGAAACCTGTATCGCGATGTTTACTCTGTTTAATTTTCAATTGTTTCTTTGATGTTTCAGATAGAAAGGTTTGCACCTGCAAAGAAAAAGGCTTTGAACAGATTGCAAACACTCTGCAAACACTTCATCAGGAATGTTAGTTGTCAGCCTCCCCCTAGCACAAGGGAGCCCTGATGATATCTTTGTGTGCCTTTGACTCCTTTTGATTAATAAATGCAAACAATTTTTCTCAGTAACCTCTGTTGCAATCTATGCATGACAATTAGGGACAACCTCTGGTGAAGGGATGCACTGAAGTCTGTTTTTGCTTCCTCTGCTGCAAAATAAATAGTTGATGTTTAATGCTTTTTGACAATTAGAGAATGAAATCTCTGCAGCTTTGCAATTTCAGCAACTGTTTATTATTTCCATTCCCTGCAATGAAGGATCGATGTTTATGACAATTTTAACTCCACTCTGGATGGACAATTTGATTATTTCTTTCCCAGAGTTTCATGTCCTATGATTGAATTCCTGGGTGCAAATATCATTGGCTTTTCACAAAATGAATTTGTGATGTTTCCATCAAAACAATCTATTGAATGGGCATTATAAGGAAGCCAAGTGTGACTCCCATGGAATATTCCATCATTGCTCTCCAGGGTAGAGACAGCTGCCACAGCTTGTGAAGGGAGTCAAGTTTGGTTCTGATCTAAGCACTATGGCCTTCCATCAAGGATGGGCTGGCAGTGCCTTAGCGAGTTACATCCTTGTTGTAGGCACTAGGGTGTAGCCAGCCTTCTGGAATCACAGTGACTAGATTTTTCTGCTGCTAGGCAGCCTTTGCTAAATGTGGAGATGGTAGAGGAAGGACAGGATTGTAGCACTGCACAACTCCAGGAGGCGCCATCCTCATGGAATCTAAGCTGGATGGTGACCTGAAACTCTACTATATTTTCAGTGTTCTGGCATGTTTGTGGTCACAGAACAACCCAAGGAGTCACAGTGTGCCAAGAGCCCAAGCTTTGGTGACTGACTGACAGGTTCTACACTTACGGGGCTGTGATCTTGGGTGTCTGATGTGCCCATGGCTTCTGCCAGTTGTCCATTATCTTTCTATCACTTAGTGATTTACCTATTCAATACACTATTTATTGGGCCCTTACAATAAACAAATCGTTCAGGGGCAACTGTGCAGAGCAGGTGCCCGTGAAGAAAAGAGGATGGTTTGGCAGGAGATGGCCAGGCAGTGGGTTAAGGAGTAGATCAAGGCCCACTCAGGAGCCAACAGGAGGGTGGTCTGAGTGGAGGCCAATGGGGGCCAACAGGTGGGTGGCCTGAGTGCTGGGAGGTAGCACTGCTCAGAGCGGGAGGTGGGAGGCAGAGCTGCCCTGTGGCCAAAGGATCTTTGGATCAGGCTAGTCCAGGAAGAGTGATGGGCTGGAAAATAGCAAGGCCAGAGGGGTGGGGAGAAGACAAGCAAGGGATCTGAGGGGATGCATTAGCCTCAAAGAACAGGGGCAGGACGGGAGCCAACAGTCTAAGAGGCAAAGTCTGGAGAAAGAAGCTTCCTGAGATGTAGGTGGGGCAAGAAGGCTGGGGGATAGAGTTTTGTGTCGCTTGAATAAGCTGATCTCACAGGCTGACAGAATTGCTGGGGACCTGCGGAAGCTGGGGCATTTGGCAAACTACCATAATCACTGGACTGCTACTCCATCTTGAAACCAGGGACAATAATACCTACCTGCAGGTGGGTCAGGAGGCTTTAATGAAATAGTGTCTATGAAGCAACTGGAACAGAGTATGTGGTAACAACTGGCAGATGCAATGATTGCTACGATGATAACTAATCTCTGCTGGACATAGCGTTTACCTGAGGATCTCACTTGGCTGAATATCATACTTTCCCCTCCATATCTGTGGTCTTTAAGTTTTTGTTTGTGTCTTAATGATTTGGTTCCTGTATATTTGTTACTATAAGTCATCTGAAATAATCTTTAGAAATGGATGAGGGTACGTTATAACATTATAAATAAATATAGTTATCTGGGATAATAAGTGGATCTCATGTTCTCCAGACGAATTCATTCATTTATCTTATTTTCAAGGTGCTTTCTATTCAGAAGAGGATAAAATACCTTGGAGAGAAAAAAGATGGAAGAGAGAAGAATTTCAATTTTGGATTATTATTTTTAGCTGGACAAATTGAGAGGAAAAAGTTCTCAAATTTTATGTGAAAGAAGATTTATGAGATATGAATGAACTGCTGTCATTAGATACCGCCTTATTATACGCCAGCTGGTCATCAGCATGGAGGAGTTCAATGTGAAGAGCGATTGCAGGGAATAAATTCTCCATTCTTCACCCATGGAGCTGATGTTCTGGACCTGTCAACACTTTGCCCTAATCCACTGGTGCATTCTGACCTGAGGTGGTCGGGCACCAGGACCCCAGGAGGCTGTGGGAAGTGAGGGGCCAGCCTACTGGAGCCCACGTGGGACCAGGTGGAGCCTGCAACACGCAGTCCTCTCCCAGACAGCAGATTGGGGGTTAGTATCTGAGAGTAGCAGCCTGCAAGCCTGGACTTGCATCCCGTCTGCCACTTACTTTCTACCTGCATGAAGTTAAAGACTTTTAGCCTCTCTCAGCCTCAGTTTGCTTATCTATAAAGTGAGTGAAAATTATGCCCATATCAAAGGGCTTTACGGGTTAACAGTACTTGTTGAGCACCTTGCACTTAGCCTGGCATACAGTTAATATGTAGTAAATTATTATTTTTCAAAATAGCAAAGCTAGTACTCTTGAATTTGGCCCAGTTGATACCAAGTTCTAATCAATGATATTATAAGCCATGAATATGCTTGTGGAAAATAAACTCTGAAGAATTTGGATCAATAGAGTGAAGGGAAAAGTTGAATCGTTATGGGGTTGATGCAAGCCTAAAAGTTGTCTTCAATCTGAACTGGTAAGCAATGCTTACCAATTTAGCAGACTAAAGTCTGTTCTCACACTGCTGATAAAGACATACCCAAGACTGGGTAATTTATAAATAAAAAGAGTTTAATGGACTCACAGTTCCATGTGGCTGGGGAAGCCTCACAATCATGGCAGAAGGCAATAGGCACATCTTACATGGTGGCAAACGAGAGAGATTGAGGGCCAAGTGAAAGGGATTTCCCCTTATAAAACCATTAGATCTTGTGAGACTTATTCACTGCCACAAGAAGAGTATGGGGGAAACCAGCCCCATGATTCAATTATCTTCCACTGGGTCCCTCCCACAACACGTGGGAGTCATGGGAGCTACAATTCAAGATGAGATTTGGGTGGGGACACAGACAAGCCAAGCCATATCAAATGCCCACCTTGCCTTCTGCAGAAGCTGACTGCTCAGGGCCAGCTGGCTTTGGCTCCTGCAGGTTTGGTCTCAGAGCAGGCAGCAACAATGGTGGGCTTTGAACTCTGGCTGGGCAATTCTTTCTTGAGATTGGGACAAGCTGAATGGGAAAGTCACCATGCTTTTGTACGAGATCTTCTCCTCTCCTCAGGGAGAGAAGCACCCCACTCTAACCCACATAGGAAGAGCCAATATCTCATCTTATCCTCAGGATAACTCCTGAGGGAGTGGGGAGGAACTGTTATTATTCCCATATCACAGATGAAATGACTCAGACAGGCTCAAAGTCACAGAAGAGCTGAGTGGTAGCATGGGGTGAGCCCACAGGCAGTTTGACTGAAGAGATGACACCCTCAGCCAGTGTCCTTCCCCTCTGGGTACGGAGCCTGTAAAGGTGTACCCTGAAGATACAGAGGAAGGTAGCACACCAAAGAAGACTTTCCACAGAGACTGATTTTATTTCATATTTATGGATGCTAATGTAGAGAGAAATAATATTAAATCCATAGCAATAGATTAAAATACTCTTAGAGAAGGCAGGTAATTAAGGAGCAAGGGTGAAAAAGGCTTGATTATTTAAAAGAAAAATCGTGAGGATGAAAGATCTTCTCGGAGCAGCCATCAGAAGAGTAAGGAAAATCTGTTCTTGGGGTAGGAACAGGGTGGGCAGCATGGTGAATGTGTTGATTTGGGACACACCAGTAACAGAAGGGTCTGTGGTCATTACAGATTGAGGCCGCCATCGGCTCCTAGTGTGAACTTGTTATCGGAGTATTTTATAGTCCACCTGACCAAAAAGAACAACTGGACTGTGAAATGATAGAGCAAATAAAAAAAGCCGTAAAAGAGCCAGACTGATAGTAATGGGAGATTTTAAGTACCTGAGCACAGAGCAGAGTGCATTAAGTGGGTGAAATAAAGCTTGAAGTGTGTGTGGAGGAGGCGGTGGGGAGGGGAGAGTGGGAGGTGAGAGGAGGCTGGCGAGGAGGGAGGCGAGTTCTCCGGAGGGGACTGTCTAACTCAGCACCTAACATATCATAGAATGTAGAAGGGGTAATTAAAACGAGCATCTGCATTAGTGCATTGGCTCCTGGCCGGGTCAGCCCTATTCTTTCTCCTGGTCTGTGCATCCAAGGAAAGTCTTCCACATCCAGATTACTACATCATCGCATTGTTCAAATTGCACTGTTTAGTGTATTTGTTTAAAATTTAAATTGCATTTCTGGATTATAGTTTTAAAACATGTTTCTGAATAAATCTCAAAATGAGACTTTCTGTACTAGTAAATAAATACATGTATTTTATAAACCACTTTATTATAATCACTTATGAGTAAAATCACATTTTATTTAATCGCTTCAAGACAACTGCCTGGCCCGGGTTGCTTCAGGTGAGTGATGTGTCAAGTCCCCCTGACTTGCTCCAAGGGGCCATGGCTTCTGGAGAGAACACCAAACCCTCACACTCACAGAGCAAGACGTGGCATAGGAAGCCCAAGCACAAATCTACGAAGATCTGCAAATCAATGTGCATGGGTTATGCTGGCACTGATTCAACGCAGATAACGAGGGAATTCGGCAAGAGGAAAGCCACTGTCATTTCCTCCATCTTCAGGATGATGTTTGAGCCAGGCTATCCAGGCCCAGGTATAGGCCTGATCCACATTCTCAGGCTGAGGGCTGAGAAGCTGAGTACAAAACCATTTGCCAGCCTGAAGGTCCGGAGAATGGGAAGGTGTGGTTAAAGCATTCACCCAGTGATGGCCTAGAATGCAGTGTGTTAAGAGGGCTGATTATCTGAGGGAGTAATCGAGAGATGCTCAATTCTGAGCTTGCAGATGCAAGAAGTAAAATGGATGGGGGGCAATCCAGGGTCCAAACCACACAGGAGCAACTAGGCAAGGTGCAGGAGGCAGGGGTCTCCTTGGAGACAGGCCTCACCTCTGCAGGTGTCCGACATCCCCTCTTTACCAAGGGCATAATCACTGAACTCAAGGTTGTGACGGAATGAAGCCTCCCACTCTCTTCCCCCTCGTGCAGGCTAGTTGCCTTTGTGGCTGAGGCATTTTCGTTCTAGTGCACTCAACTCCAAATGAAAAGGCAAAAAAAGAAAAAAAGTGAATAATGGCATAGAGTTCCCTCACAATGCAAAAATAAAACCCTGGCAAAATATTATTCTAGCTCTTTGTTCTGAGATTATGCTTTCCATTTTTGGGATGTTAATAATAGGCTCTGGAGGGAGTTTTTTTCTGGGCCCAATAGCAATGTTATAAAATTAAACATCCATGTGAGTGAACTGAAGTCATTATCTTGCAGAGTAGAGGAAAGCCTCTTCGATTCCAGAGCACCCTCAGACAGAGCACCTCAAGTCAGTTCTAATAATCGTTCCTCCAAAATCATAGCTCCACTTAAGGGTTAGGCATTCGCCAACGTGTTGAAGCTTCGTCTCTCTAAATCACATCCCCAGTAAGCATCTTTCCTGGTGGCTCCTCGGGGTCTTGTGAAGCCAAAGAAAGCAGCATGGGGAGTTTTGGGATGGACGCCCACATCACCGTGGTGTCAGCCTGAGGCCTTCCCAGGCCACGGCCTGTGGTCCTCCCAGACCTTCATCCCCTTCTCGTGCTGGGTGATGAACCCATGGGCTGAAGATAGAGGCTGTGATGAGATGCAGGGAAAAGTGCACCTCTGAGAAGGAGCCAAAGAGTGCCCTGAGAAATCTCCAGATTGGAGACCCAAGCACACTAAAGAGCTTCTAAGCCCTTGAAAAGGACTCAGGGAAAGGCCCTGGCACACCGCTGTGCCTCACACTTGTCCACGCAGCTTCTAGGCCGCGCAAAAGGGCTCCTTCCTCCATTGGGTGACACATGGATTCATTCAGAAGTGTCCCGGCTTTGCTATTCAGTAGCTGTGAAGTCTTAGGCAACTTACTGAATCTCTCTGTTCCTTCATTTCTTTTGAGGGTAATAGTTGTACCTGCCTCACAGGGTTGGGAGAGTTAGATGAATTCATGTGAAACACTTGGAGTGGAGTTTAATAAATAGTCAGTGTTAACCATGACCACAGTGGATACGGTGATTGTATCAGCAGGGGTCCTGTTGGGGAAACAGAACCATTTTTTTTTAATAGAAAGAATCTAATGCAAGAAACTGCTTAAACAAACATTGGGGAACAGAATAAGTTAAGGAACATAACTGCCAGGAAGCAGCCGCCATCCAGCCAGGGTTGGGAAACATCGAGATGATTCTATATCACCTTATTGTTGTGTTGTGCGCATACCGTTTTCATTCTCTACTATACTATATTGTTATTATATTATATAACCTGGACCCTTGGAGGAGAGACCCCACAGAGAAGAGACTCAGACCTCTGAGCCCTGAGGGAGCACAATGAGAACTTCTAGAAATGTGAAAAGAAAAGAAGAGAAGAGAAACGGAAAGAGAAGAGAAGAGAAGAAAAGAAAAGAAAAGAAAAGAAAAGAAAACAAAACAAAACAAAACAAAACAAAAGAAAAAAACCCTAGAAACAATTAGGGAAAAAGCAAAAACATTGCTGGGGAAACTCCAGCAGGAAGAGCCAGCAAAAGGAAAGGAAAAATCTCTTCTTGCTCCTCCTGCCTCCTGCCCGGTCTCTCTCTAGCGCCCCCTCTGGGGACCAGCTAGCGGTGGCGAGCTGGAGTTTGCAGAGTCCGGAAGGCTGGGTTTGGGGCTTAGAGCCAGAGCTTCATCACAGGCCCAGTGGGGTGGGGATGATGGGGACAATGAACTAGGTGACAGCATGGAACACCCCAGAAAAGGTCTCTGCCCTCATGCAGTTTAAGGCTACTGAGATGGGCAGACACAGAAAAATACACGCAGAGATAAATATGTAATTGCACATTGTTTAAAGCTCTGAGAAGGACATGAATAGTGTGACATATTTGGATGGGGTGACCTGGGGAGGGCTCTGTGAAACATCTGTCTAAGCTGAGATGTGAAGTACAGCGGGAAGGGCTCTGCCTAGAGAACAGGAGGACGAAGGTGAAGGTGGGGAAGTGCTCCCTTCTAAGCAGAAGGAACAGCACAAACAAGTGGCCAGAGGTGGGAAAAATTTGGTGTCGTGGCGGAACTGGATGTCCGGCTGGGTTTAGATGGAGCTGACAGCAGGTATGGGGCTCCTGTCCCACTCACCCTGTGTCCTAGCCTGCCAAAGGCAAACCGTGTAGCTTCTCGGAGCTTCAGTTTCCCACCTTTACAACATAGGACGGTATCTGCCCCACTCTCGTCCCAGAGATACTGTGTGTGCAAGTGAAATAATGGCTAGGAGTACATTTCCGAAGCATTACAGAAACGCCAAATAGCGTTGCCATCATCTAGAGCTCAGGTCACTCTGGTGGCTCATCGTAGCTCTGCTGTGGCACTGACAGAACGCATTAGTGTGGTCTTCTGGGGTGGAAGGTTCTGGTTTGGCATTAGCCTCACTCTCACTGTTGTAAGCTGTCCACTAATACATATTAAAAGGTCCCATTGGTTGACGAAGGGAAGTTTATGTTGTTGGTTCTCAGTTTCCACAATCGCGAATCTTATGCATAAAACAAATATTTGTGGCAGCTCTGGCCCCAGAGCCCTATATTTATTTCCTTGGTGCAGGCTTGTCTTTGCCACATTTCTGCCAAGAAAGACACGTTGAGTATGAAGATGGAGCACCTCACTTGACTCCATGGTGGCATGTCTGTTCTTGGGGTCACGATTCATTCATTCATTCATTCACTCATTCATTCAATAAATGCTTGAGCACCTATTATGTGCCAGGACAAATTCTGAATTATGGTTCTCTCTGAATACATCTTACAGTGTTTATACTTTAAAATATTTTCTTGGATTCATATTTATAAAACTCTAGAAACCCACCTATCAAGACAAATTTGGGGGCCAATTGCTGAAGTTTAATCTTGCCACCATAGGTGGATATGTCGGATCATCTCCAGCACGTGGTTAGGAGCAGCCTCTAGGCTCTCGGGGCTTCGCTGCTTATTGCTGAGCTACGTCTGTTCCCATACAGACGAGTTTTGTTTTGCAGCATCTCGTGAAGGCTGGTTGCTCTGGGGAGAATGTCCAGTGGCCAGGGGTTGGGTGGTACCTGTGAATTCTTGGTCCCAGACTAACTAGTTTTAAGCCAGGAAGGAGAGCTGGAAGTTGAGAACAGGTTATGCTGGGAAAGCCATTTCCTGGATTCTGCCAAGGATTGAAACTAGAGGACTCAGGCCACATCCCTAGGAGAAAGCCAAGACAGAGAAGAAGGGACAGGGTCCCACTCCTCCCTTGACTCTCCATGGCATGGGTCCCAGCACGGCAGTCAGCACTGGGAGCTCAAGAGAGGACGTTAGAGCCAAACACGTGAACACCAGTTCGCCATCCTGGGAACCATAATTTAATGAGGGGTGTTTATTTTATTTACTGCTATGTCTTAGGCCTTTCCTGGCAAGCCCATGAGTATCTTAATGTGCCAGCGGTCCCTGCCTGAGTACCTCCTGACATTCAATGCATCCTAGTGACATCTTTTCCAGCAGCCACCAGCTACTGAATTGTTTTAATGAACCATTCCGTTTCACCCACCTTACCTGAGTTGTAACCAAGAGGCAGGTTTAGCTCATCGCTTTGGCTTGGTGCAGGCAAGACAGCTCTGTGCTGCTCTTTGGTTTCCTGAATCTGTGGTTGGTGCATCTGCAGATTAGCTAATGGATGGTGCTCTGTCTTGCCAAATGTTAATGGTGTAAAATGTGATCATTTTGCTGACAAATGCAAACAGGTTTCATTCTGACTTGCAGTAGAAATAATCCCTCAATTTTGCAACCTGGGAACAATAGATTTTGTTGATATTGATTACTCCACTTCTAGCTTCTTCCAGTGATACAGTGATTCTTTCTATTGCAGCTCTCAGGTGATATGTGTGTGATGTTCTCTCATTAGCACCCTAATGACAGATATGATGAATTCCATGTCGGTATTGCACCATCTTATAACCGAAAATGAATTTGCTAGGGCAGTTGCTGAAAACACATTGTCTGTCTTACTCTTTCCTGCTTGCGAAGTTGCTGTTCCCTCTCCCAAAGTCATGAAAAGCTCAGCATCTCTGATGCCATGTCACACCCTGGTGCATTTCTTTACAGTTCAGTACAACTCCCTGAGGAACTGGCTTTTAGTATTGACCTTGGGTTAATATTAATAGTCTGGGAGTTTTTCCAGAGAATGTCACTTTACATATATCTCCACTTCTGCAAATATATGCAAAATGTAGCCCCCCGTGCCTCTCATTATGACGTTTCTCCCCAAATTTTAGTAAAAAAAAACTTTAAATTTTTATAGGAATTTGGCATACAATTCCACACCGAAGAAGCCCATTGGTAGGACTCTGCTGATGGCTTCTAAATTAATAATGTAAGAATTCATTAATTTATATTGCATTTCCACTACTATCATAGGCCATGGAGAGATAAGAGTGAGCCAAAACACTCCTCAGGGAACCCGTGGTCTTGTGAAAAAGAGAATGATTGCAGAAACTAAAGGGCAACAAACCGTGGTAAGGGCTCGAAAGGAATAGGGAGCTCTAAGAACTTCTAACCCAGAACTCTACCTAGGCTTGAGGGCAGGGAAGGCTGCCCTGAGGGGATTTCATGTGAGCTAAGTTCTGGAGGATGCTTCAGAGGCCTGAAGTGCGCGCAGAACATCCCAGGTAGAAGATGTGCAAAGACCTAGGAAGAGTCCGGGGAGCGTGAGGGGTAGGGAAGGCTGGGTGGGACCCAGTGGCTGTGGGGAGGTGGAGAGGGGAGAATCACACAAGGCCCACCAGTCCTGGTGAGCATTCAGATCTTTATCCTAAACACCGTGGGAAGCCAGAGAAGGGACAGGTTGTGGATGGAGATGTGATCAGATTTCCATTTTGAAAACAATCCCCCAGGCTTTGGCTGGAGAATGGGTTGAGAGAGTTCAAGATTGGAGGTGGGCAGCCTAGTTGGGAGGTTTTCTTAGGAGTCCAAGAATGAAATGGTGGATGATGGCAGCTTGGATTTGGGGTTGGCAGGAAGATGTAGATGGACTGGGGAGACATTTAGGGGCTGGATGGGCAGACCTTGGTAGTGGATGGATGGGAGCGGAAATGTCAAGGATGGCTCTGAAGTTCTTTGCTTGTGCAGATGGGTGGCTGGTGCACCAATTTACTGACACAGGCCATGTGGAAAGGGGACCTGGTCACAGCGAAGGGTCATGAGTCTGAGATGCCTTGAAGATACCTCAATGCATCCTTTGGTTTTCTTCATGCCATTCTGAATCTTAAGTTAGTCCAACTAGCGTTATCCACATCCGCCTACTACACAGCGGTGGGCTGCTGCAGCCAAGATTCTGGTAGCCAGGGTTGAAAACAGCAGGCGAGAATTCCCAGTGTCTAAATAGCCACACGCTGGATGGCAGGGGGCAGGATTGAGCTCTGTGCTACCCACACACAGGGAAGGACGGAAGGGCACTCACTGAGGCAGGTTTCTCTCCCAAGGAAGGTGCCATCCCCAAGGAAGAGGCCTGCAGCGTGGGGAGGTAAGTTTTCTTTGGGGCTATTGGCTGAGGGTCAAGCTATGTTCTCTAGCAGGTTTTCGTCCACAATAAAGCTGGTATTTGATCGACTTCTGTCTGCCTCGCGCCATTCTGCACTCGTCCCATTACTCTCCAATAATGCTCAACTGCTTTTCATTCTGGCTCACCTCAGATCGTTTCCAGCCTGAGGATGCTTTACGTTACCCAACATGCCCCGGGAGATTCCAGCAGCAACTCTCAGGCCTTCTCCCTATGGCCACTCTCCTTCTTGTGCCTGGCTGGCCTCCTCACCCTTGTGCCCACACTAGAACACAGACACCCTCCCTTTCCAACCTCCTCCCTTCGGATTGGGCACATTCTTCATAGTCAGAGACTTCTCTCATTTCTTCCCAACCTGGATGCCCTCACACTTTTCTCTTGCCTCATACGGAGAATTCTTTAGCTCGAGTTGTCCCCTCTGCCTGGAATGTGCCACCCCACTCCCCTGTCCGGCCCACCCTCCTCATCTCTGAATCTGCCTTGGCACTGCTTCCTTCAGGGTCCTCAGTGGCCACTGCTACCCCTCCTCTGCCCAGGGTGGTCACGTGCCTGCCCCTTGCACATGGCCCTGCCATTGCTCTCCCATATTGGTCTCTGAGGCCCTGTTTATGTATCTGCCCCTACCACCCACTGCCAAGGGTCAGGAGAGGGTCTGCCTCACCAGCGCCTGCCCTGTGCCAGACCCATGGGAAACAAGCAGTAAGTGTTTGTGGAGAAACTGAAAGTAGTAGTTGTTGGAGGTACAGAAACAAGAAGTGTGCATTTTAATGGAATTGCCTCACCTCCCATTGATGCTGGAGCAGGTGTTTCCTAACTCCCAGTCACCCAGTGTGTCTAGCACCTAAGAGACAGCAGGGCAGCTAAGAGACACCAGGGCAGCAATGGCGGGATGGGGAGGAGGAATGTGGACAAGACCAGGGCAGGAGCGGGAAGGGAGCTCTACCCCAGACAACTCCTCCTTGGGATTTCCAGGCGACTCGGCCAAGCGAAAGGCAGAAACAAGAAAACATGGAAAGGATGGCCACTTGTAAGTGGGATGATAACAAACATATGTATCAGAAACATTAGTACTTTCAAAGCGCTAAGCTTTTTGCAAGCATCGTGTCATTTAATCCTCAGGACAACTCTGTGAGATGTTGAAGCTTTTATTATCCCCATTGTACAGATGAGGCACAGAGAGGTTAAGTAACTTACCCATGGTTACCCAGCTAGGAAGTAGAAGAGGTGGATTCAAACCCAGGCTGCCTGGGACAAGAACCTGCACTCCAGTACATCAGGAAAGGCAGCAGCTAAGACATGTTTTTAAATGGGAAAATGCTTCCCTCCAAGACTGGTAGCCCAGTGTTATTAATATCAGATTATAACAATGCACTGAGCTTTCATTGGAAAGGCTGACGTGGTTCCCAAAAAATGTAAGCAAAGGCAGGCAGATCACAGATTGCCTTTCCTGGAGAGAGGCCGAGGGGTATAGAAAAGGTGAAAGGAAAGTTAAGTACTTTGTGAGCCTGGACAGGGGACGGGGGTGGAGTTTAGGCAGAACAAGGCGCGTTTTTTTCCGTATGAGGCAAGAGAAAAGTATGAGGGCATCCAAGTTGAGAAGAAATGTGAGAAGTCTCTGACTATGAAGAATGTGCCTGGACCAAAAGGAGGAGGTTGGAAAGGGAGGGTGTCTATGTTCTAGTATGGGCACAAGGGTGAGGAGCCCAGCCAGCCACAGGGAGGAGAGTGGTCATACGGAGAAGACCTGAGAGTTGGTGCTGGCATCTCCCAGGGCACGCGGGGTAACATAAAGCATCCTCTGTCCTGATCCTCCGGCCTGCTTCCATTCATACATGACTTTAACCACCAGCCAGGGTGCTGGGCCCAGTGACACGGCGGTGACAAGGCAGGGAAGGCAAGGTCCTGCCCAGGTGAACCTCATAGTCCAGACCCTGAATGATGTCCACATGTGGTAAGTGCCACAGTACATTAGCGTGGCAGTTCCTGCAGTGAGTTAGACACTGTAAAGACCCTTCATGTTACAGACCAGGAAACATGAAAGTTGAGTTACCTGCCCAAGTTCACAGAGCTAATGACCCTCTGGCAAGAGGTCGACGTAGTGTCCAACATGCACATAGGGCTTGGAGACGCATTTTGAGCCACTGTGCTGAACCGCCTCCCTGTCTAGACAGTGGCAGACCACCACGTTCAAACTCACCCCACTGTGAAGGCTGCCAGAGACCACAGCCAATGAAAGGCAAGGCAGAGACTGGAATCACCTTGCGGGACAGTGAGGCCGACGTGATTAAATGCCAAGATGATGACAAGACCGTGAAGTTTGCCCAACAGTGGAGAAGAACCATCACGAAATTCAGAAGTTTTCTTTGGAATTAGATGATCTTCATGCTACAGTATCATTAGGAAAAGAAGAAAACAGAAACATTAATTTCCCAACTTCTTACTTAGATACGTAAGGGGAAAGTGCTTGAGCAGAGGCTGGTGGAGGCAGAGTGACAGCTTGGCTAGCAAAGGGGAGGAAAGGCTGAGTGCACGGCACACAGTCACAGCATTGGAACGGTGTTTAGTTCCAGGGCAGTGGAAGAAATGGAGGAAAAGGTACCAAGAAATGAGAAAATGTTCCTTTACCAAGGGCGAATAGGGATCTGTTGTGGAGAAGGTCCCGGTCAAGGCAGACGGGACATTCTGGTAGGAGAGGAGAGGAGAGTAACACAACCATGGCATGGGGTGGCCGGTGAATTACACATTTCTCAGAAGAAAACCAGACAGATCTGAGGATTGTCTGAAAATATGGCACAGGTGAAGGGTTGTATTTTGATTGACGCACACGCAAAATACGCAATTAACTGAGAAACTTCAAGAGTCAATAAAAGTGAAGGGTGAAAGGAACCCTAGTCGCAATCAGGGTGTGACCATGCCATGCAAAGTGAGGGACAACACAACACAACACAACACGGTGCGAAAGCTCCCACCGTCCCCACAAAACCAAACATAAAAACAACCCTTTCTAAAAAGGTATGGAATAGTGGGTATGTCATATTAGGCAGGGGACATAGATAAGAAAACTCAAATTCGTAGTTAAGCTTTAAAGTCAGAGTGACCACAGCTGAGCAACTCACTGGGCGAAAGCATTTCACACCCTCCTTAGGGAAAGGAGGAGATGACGCGACCAAGGTCACACTGCCAGTAAGACGAGAACCTGGATTCTTCCGCTCCAAAGTGAGTTTGTCAACCAGTTTTCTACTGTGCCTTTTGAGCTGGGTGACTTTGAAATTTGATATTTAAAAGACAGTAGCTTCAAAGTAGCTAGGACAGGAAAAAAAGCTTGGAATTTTTTTTTTTTATTCTAGTAAAACATTTGAAATATATTCCATTTAAAGCATTTTTATGTGCACCGTTCAGTGTCATTAAGTACATTCACATTGTTTTGCAGCCAGCGCCAGTATCCATCTCCAGAATTTGTCATCATCCCAAACAGAAACTCTGACACATCAAAAAGCATCTGTCCCTTCCCCTCCCCCTAGTCTCTGGTAACCTCTATTCCACTTTGCAGCTGCACTGTTCGACATTCCCAACAGCAATGCACAGGGTCCCGGTTTCAGCACATGCTTGCCAACCCTTGCTGTTTCCTGGGGGTGTTATTGTGTTGTTGTTGTTGTTGTTTTATTTTATGTTTTGAGGCAGGGTCTCTCTCTCTCTGTCACACTCATGCTGGAGTGCAGTGGCATGATCATGGCTCACTGCAGCCTCGGCCTCCTGAGCTCAAGCAATCCTCCCACCTCAGCCTCTGGAGTAGCTGGGACTGCAGGTGCGCACCACCATGCCCGGCTAATTTTTGTATTTTTTGTAGGGACAAGATTTTACCATGTTACCCAGGCTGGTCTCGAACTCCTGGGCTCAAGTGATCCCCTTACCTTGGCCTCCCAAAGTGCTGGGACTATAGGCATGAGCCACTGTGCCTGGCCCTGGTTTTTGTTGTTGTTGCTGTTTTTTGTTTTGTTTTGTTTTTAAGACAGTGTCTCACTCTGTTGTCCAGGCTGGAGTGCAGTAGCATGATCATGGCTCACTGCAGCCTCAACCTCCTGGGTTGAAACAATCCTCCTGCCTCAGTTTCCTGAGTAGTAGGGCTATAAGTGTGCACCACCCCGCTTGGCTAATTTTTTTTTGGTTTTTGTAGAGACAGGATTTCGCCATGTTGTCCAGGCTGGTCTTAAACTCCTGGGCTCAAGTGATCCTTCCACTGCAGCCTCCCAAAGTGTTGAGATTACAGGCGTGAGCAACCTTGCCGGCTGGGGTGTTTTGATAATAGCCATGCTAATGGTGTGAAGTGCTAACTCATTGTGGGAAAGCGTGGAATTTATGTCTTTTAAAATCATTAAATAATTTTTTTAATTTAGACTGTGTTACATTCAATTTCAGTCTGAGAATCTGGATAATTCATGTTACCAGAAAATCTAGAAGAAATAGCTAGCCTTGGGCAGTGTTTCAGTTTACAAAGTACTTTCAAATACACGGTTTGTGTACTTGCAAGACGCAATAAAGTGTGAGACTGGAGAGATAGATGGAATGACTATTATTGTTGTTGTTATTGTTCTCATTTTAAAGACGAGGAAACTGAGGTTTTAAGAGTTCACAATAATTTCCCAACATGATATACCTAGTAAGCATTATAGCCAAGATTCACCCTCATGGCTGTTCTACTGACTGTCAGATTCCTTCCCCTACAACACACTGTCATTAAGTCCCAACCTCTAAACAAACCCTAGAAATATGGTTTGTACATATGGTACTATGTAAATATTTACATATGACTTATGTGTGCACGTGAGTACACCCCCCAACCCCCACCCCCCCACACACACACACACAATGCACCTATTCAGGGCCTAGGGTAGGCTTTTAGATATAAAGTAGTAACCCACCTCTCTCTCCCTGAATTGGTCAAGATATTCCATTAGAGAATCACATGTAAGCCAGTTCTGAAATAAACTCAAATAGAACATCTGCGATGATGCGTATGGGAGAGGCCATGTGTAAAGCATATTTATGCTTCATCAAAGCCATCTCTATAAGATAGTGTCAATTAAAGCATGTACAGACACCAACTATGATTACTCATTTATTTTTTTATTTTACTTTTTATTGTGAAAATTTTCAAACATACACAGAAGCAGGGAGAACAGTGTCATAAACCCTCTCATAGCCATCTTCTAGCATCTGCCATTATTAGCACTCTGTCATTCTTTCGTCTAGTCTCCTTTCATTAATTTTAATTCTGCTTATCTTTTCTGGAGTCTTTAAAATAAAATTCCAGATATCATATGGTTTCACATATATGAATGTCCACATGTATCTCTAAAAAATAAGGACTTTTAAAAAAAAGTAGCCCAATACAATGATCACACTAAACAATTTTTCTTTCCTTTTTCAACTTTTATTCTAGGTTCAAAGGTGTGTGTGCAGGTTTGTTACGTGAGTAAATTGCATGTCATAGGTGTTTTGTGTACAAATGATTTTGTCACTGAGGTAGTGAGCATAGTACCCGATAGGTAGTTATTTTTTCTTTTTCTTTTCTTTTTTTTTTTTTTTTTTTGAGATGGAGTCTTGCTCTGTCTCTCAGGGGAGTGCAGTGGCACGATCTCAGCTCACTGCAACCTCTGCTTCCTGGATGCAAGCGATTCTTATGCCTCGGCCTCCTGAGTAGCTGAGACTACAGGTGCCCACCACCACACCCGGCTAATTTTTGTATTTTTAGTAGAGACAGGGTTTCACCATGTTGGCCAGGCTAGTTTTGAACTCCTGATTTTCGGTGATCCACCAGCCTCGGCCGCCCAAAGTGCTGGGATTACAGGCGTGAGCCACCGCGTCCAGCCCCAATAGGGAGTTTTTTGACCTTACTCTCCTCCCACACTCCACCCTCAAGTAGTCCCTGATGTCTATTGTTCCCCACTTTGTGTCCATGCGTACTTAGTGATTAGCTCTCACTTGTAAGTGAGAACATGCAGTATTTGGTTTTCTACTCTTGTGTAAATTTGTTTAGGATAATGGCCTCCAGCTGCATCCATGTTGCTGCAAAGGACAGCCAGGATTTTATTCTTTTTTATGGCTGCATAGTATTCCATGGCATATATGTGCCACATTTTCTTTATCCAGTCCACCGTTGATGCCCATCTAGGCTGATTCCATGTCTTTGCTATTGTGAATAGCGCTGTGATGAATATATAAGTGCATGTGTCTTTTTTGCAGAATGATTTATATTCCTTTGGGTATATACCCAGGAATGGGATTGCTGGGTCAAATGATAATTCTAAGTTCTTTGAGAAATCTCCAAATCACTTTCCACAGTGGCTGAACTAATTTTCATTCCCACCAGGAGCGTATAAGCATTCCCTTTTCTCTGCAACCTCGTCAACATCTGTTATTTTCTGACTTTTTAGTAATAGCCATTCTGACAGGTGTGAGGTAGTATCTCATGGTGGTTTTGATTTGCATTTCTCTAATAATTAGTGATATTGAGCATTTTTTCATGTGCTTGTTGGCCATGTGTATGTCTTCTTTTGAGAAGTCTCTGTTCATTTATTAAGTCACCAGATTACAGATACCACCAGGCCACCCAGTTTAAAACAGGGACAGGCAAACAGAGCATGGCTGCAGCACAACATGAAAGTTTGCTAAGTCAGAGCTACTCTGAGTCCAGCATTTTTCCCATCTGTCATTCCCTCCTTGCCACTGACCACCCTCTCCTCTCCTTTCCCCTGAAAGAATGGGCTTGTACTAACGGGCAGCCAACAAATTAGGAAGCCGGTGACAAAGCTAAAAGAAAGGGAAATAAAAGGGAAAAGGACAGTTACTGTCATTTTGTAGGCATTTTCTGAAGTACTGTACTTTCCAATGGATTACGGGTCCTGAGTGAATTCTGAGTTATTTCTTCTTAGTCCTTAGTTCTTGCCAGGTTTCTCATTTGAGGATCCCTGCTGATTTCAGCAGTATTGGCTAGAACTGAGGGTTAATTTAGCCTCAGTGCCACTGGATCCTGCAAATTCAGGAAGAATTTTCTTTAGTTCGCCATACCTGATTTATAAGGGCTCTACTTTGCTTCCAGGAGTGTGATAAATATTAATTAATTTTCAGTAATCTTACTTAACAGTTTTATAGTAGCTTCATAAAGCATAATTAAGATAACAGACCAAAGACTATATCAATACTAGGTATTATTATCTTGCATCATTAATTTTCAAAAATACGGTGTCTAAGCAATACCTTAATCATCCAGATAAGTAGAATTCCATCATAGCATTCTCCAAGGGACACTTTCCAAGGGATAAGCAGAGTCAGCAGGTTTCTGGATTGGGGAGCAGGGGTTGGGGAGGGAATTAGTGAGCATCTGCTCATCGTCAGCACTTCTTGTAAATATAGAACACCCAATAATCAGATAGAGAGACTGAGACTCGGAGGCCACTTGCCCCAGGATTATCAATGAGTAAGTAGTAGAAGCATAAGTTGAACCTATTTCCCACTTTCTAGAACACCAGATTTTAAGCTCCTGGCAAACAATGCCTTTTCCTATAGTGTGCTCCCATCCAGAGGCCCCGGGAGCCTGTCTCTGGGGAGAAATATAAGGAAGTAGGAAACTCACAAACATGAAGAGTATTTATTTATCTCAGTGTGCAAGAATGGAGTATGATTTAATGATTCTCCTCAAGGGTAGAAAAGGTTGTTTTACAGATGGTTATGAGCTTTGCTTCATTGACCCTGTGGGAAGTAAAAGAGAAGAGGATGAGAGAAGATGGAAGCATTAGGAATTTGGATTAGATAAGGAGGAACTTGTAGATGATGATGATGGATGGAAAGGGAACTGGGTACCACAGGAAGTTCAAATGTCCCGCTGTACACTGTTAAAATAAAATAGTCTCATTGGGTTGGTCCTGCCTGAAGGTGTCATGCTAGACAGCAAGGAAAAGATGCAGGTATACAACTCATTCTAAGCCCCCATGGTTTATTTATTTTTTAATTTTGAAGATTTGTGGGTACATAGTAGGTGTGTATATTTATGGGGCACATGAGGTGTTTTGATACAGGTATACAATGAGAAATCATCACATCATGGAGAATGGGGTATCCTTCCCCCCAGGCATTGATCCTTTGTGTTACAAACAATCCAATCTAAGCCACGGTTTATAAGGGTTGTAGCTGTTGGTAGGAGAAAGGAAAGAGCAGTCACCACTGCTACACATGATTATGGGAGATCCTGGGGAAAACCCCCTCTGACATCCCAAAGTCATGGTGGGATTAACAGAATCTGACCCACGTCTTCTGATCTTAAGCAAAAATCTACCTATCCCTTTCCAGGCTGTGTATATACAGCAAGGAAGAATGAATAATTTTTTTGTAAATATCCTGCCTAAGTCCTTATTTGTCCAGAAATTATTCTTGACTTTGGGAGGCACAATAGAGGTATAATTTGTATGCAATAAAATTCACCCATCTTAGGTTCTGTGAGTTGGGCACAGGTACACAGTTGTATAAGCTCCACCCAATTCTGACGTAGAACACTTCATCACTCCAAAGTCCTCTCATGCTCTGATGCAGCCTATCCTCTCCCCTAACCCTGGCCCCTGGCCACCTACTTTTGTCACTATAGTTTGCCTTTCCTAGAATCTCATAAATGGAATACTCATCATGCAATCTTCTGTGCCTGTCTTCTTTCATTTAGCATGATGTTTTTGAGATTTATCCGTGTTGTTTTCTGTATCCATAAGTTGTCCCTTTTCATTACTGAGTAATATTCCACACCAAATGGATAAACCACAATGTGTTTATCCCTTAACCCTATGATAGACACTTGGGTCGTTTCTAGTTTTGGGCTATTATGAAGAATGCTGCTGTGAACATTCATGTACAAATCTTTGTGTAGACATATTTCATTTCTCTTAGGTAGATACCTAGAAAGAGTATTGTTAAACTCATATGGAAAGTATATGTTTAACTTCAGTAAAACTCTCAAACTGGTTTACAAAGTGGCTGTACCATTTTGTATTTTCACCAGCAATATATTAGAGTTCCACTTGCTCTATCCCCACCAATACTAGTTGATATCATCAGTGTGTTGTTTTGATGCTCAAATGGTTGATTAATGGCCTCTCACTAAGGTTCTGATTTGTTTCTGTGAACATTTTCTCATTTGCTTCTTGGTCATTTGTAGATCTCCTTTTGTGAAGTGTCTGTTCAAACCTTTTGCTCTTTTTTAAAAAAATGGGTTGTCTTAATTTTGGCTTGTGTAGTTGTAAGAGTTCTTTCTATATCCTGGACACCAGCTCTTTGTCAGATATGTGTTTTGTAAATATATGTATTCTCTCAGACTGTGGCTCACCTATTCATTTTCATAACTCTGTTGAAGAGCAGAAGTTTTTCATTTTTTTGTGTTCTAAGAAATCTTTTTTAGCTGATGGTCAAAAAGTTTTCCTCTCATGCTGACATACAGAAGTTTTCTAGTTTTAAGCTCATACAGTTAAGTCTACAATCTATTATAAATTAATTTTTATGTATGGTGGGAGGTAAGGGTTAGAGTTCATTTTTTCTATATGGCTAATGAATTGTTCCAGTACCAGTTATTCAAAAGACCAAAATTTCAGGCTGGGGACTGTGGCTCACACCTGTAATCCCAGGACTTTGGGAGGCCAAGGTGGGCAGATCGCCTGACATCAGGAGTTCGAGACCAGTCTGGCCTACATGTTGAAACCCCATCTCTACTTAAAATTTAAAAAAAAAAAAAAGCCATTTGTGGTGGTACACTTCTGTAATCCCAGCTACTCAGGAGTCTGAGGCAGCAGAATCACTTGAACCCAGGAGGCAGAGGTTGCAGTGAGCTGAGATCATGCCACTGCACTCCAGCCTGGGCAACAGAGTAAGACTCTGTCAAAAAAAAAAACCCCAAAATTTCACGTTGAGTTACCTTGGTCCCTTTATGGAAAACAATTAACCATATAAATGAATCTTGGTCTATATGTCTATCCTTATGCCAACATCACACTATTTTATTACTGCGACTCTATAGTAGTAGGCCTTGGATCCAGTAGTTTGAGTCCTCCAACTTTGTTCTTATTTAAAAAATTGTTTTGGCCAATCTAGGTCCTTTGAATTTTCATATAAATTTCAGAATCAGCTTGTCAATTTCTATAAAAAAGGCCTGTTGAGAGTTTGATCAGAATTACCTTGAATCTAGAGATCAATTTTAGGAAAACTTAGTATCTTCACAATATTGAATCTTCCAGTCCCTATGCATGTTACAGCTCTTCTTTTCATTATATTTTAAAACTTTTCAATATTTTGTAGTGTCCAGGTCTTGTACATATTTTGTTAATACTTCATATTTTTGATGTTTCTATAAATGGTATTTTAAAATTACATTTTTCAGTTGTTCATTGCCAGTACATACAAATGTCATTGACTTTTGTATACTAACCTTGTATTTTGGGATCTTGCTAAACTCATTGATTAGTTCTAGTGCTTTATGGAGATTCCTCAAGATTTTTGTGTATATAACCATGCTTTCTGAGAATAAAGACAGTTTTATGTCTTCCTTTCTAACCTGTATGACTTTTTTGTTATCTGTTGCAAACTTTAGTATTTCTAGTACAAAGCTGAATTGGTGAGAGTGGACATTCTTGACCTATTTCTAATCCTAGAGAGGAAAATGTTCACTATTTTACCTCTAGTTTGCAGAGAGTTTTCAGGAACAAGTTTTATCTGCCTTTTCTGCTTCTGTTGATATAACCATATGGTTTTCTCCTTATTCCATTAATATTGTAATTTTTAGTGATTAATTTTCTAACAATAAACCAACCTTGCATTCCTGGTATATGCATTTTCTTATACTGTATTTGATTTTATAATACTGTTTACCCCTAAACAATGCAGAGCTTAGGGGTGCTGACCCCCAGGCAGTAAAAAACTTGCATATAACTTTTGACTCCTCCAAAACTCAATAGCCTACTCTTGACCAGAAGCCTTACTATAACATAGTCAATTAACCTGTATTTTGTATGTTATAGATAAGCCAGACAAAATAAAATGTTATTCAGATAACATAACAAAGAAAATATATTTACTATTCATTAAATGGAAGTAGCTCATCATAAAGGTCTTCATCCTTATAATTTCTATGTTGAGTGGGCTGAGGAGGAGAAAATAGAGAAGGGGTTGTTCTTGCTGACTCAGGGGTGGCAGAGGCAAAAGAAAATTCACAGGTTAAGTGGACCTGTACAGTTCAAACCCATGTTGTTCAAGGGTCATCTATATTTTGTTAAGGATTTTTGCTTGTGTTCATGCATGATATTGGTTCATAGATTCCTTTTTCTCTCCTGATGTCTTCATTTGGCATTGATATTAGAGTGCTACTGGACTCATAAAGTAAGTTGGGAATGTTTCCTCTTTCTCTATTTTCTGAAAAATTTTCTATAGAATTGGTATTATTTCTTTCTTAAATATTTGATACAAGTCATCACTGAAGTCATTAATATCTAGAATTTTCATTGCAGTAATGATTTTTAATTGAGAATTCATTTTTATATTAATATAGGACTATTGATATTTTTATTTCTTAATGAGTTTATTTTGATAACATTGTCTTTCAAGAAACTTGTAGGCTGGATGTGGTGGCTCATGCCTGTAATCCCACAATTCGGGAGGCCGAAGGGGGCAGATCACTTGAGGTCAGGAGTTTGAGACCAGCCTGGCCAACATGGTGAAACTCTGTCTCTACTAAAAATACAACTAAATTAGACAGATGTGCTGGTGCGCGCTTGTAATCCCAGCTACTCGGGAGGCTGAGGTGGGAGAATTGCTTGAGCCCAGGAGTTGGAGGTTGCAGTGAGCTGAGATCACACCACTGCACTCCAAAAAACAAATTTGTATATTTTGTCTAAGTTATCACGTGCATTGCACTGAGTTTTTCATAATAACTCCTAATTGTTTCCCTAATGCCTGTAGAATTGTTGTATTCCTGTCTCTTCTCTCATTCATAATATTGGCACATTCTGCTTTCTGTCTTTCTAGGTAGAACTTTATTGAATTTATTGACTTTTCAAAGAAAAGCCTTTTGGTTTCAGTTATTTTCTCTACGATTTTTGTTTTCTATTTCACTGAATTTTACTTTTTATTATCTCTTTTCTATTTACTTTGGGTTTAATTTGCTCTTCTATTTCTAGCTTTTAAAGATGGAAACTCAGATTATTGATTTGAGAACTTTTTTCTTTTCTAATACAAGCATTTATGGCTATTCATTTCCCTCTAAGCGCTTCTTTAGCTGCCTGTCATAAATTGTGAGAAATTGTGTTTTCATTTTTATTCAATTGAAAAAGAAGTTCTACTTTCTTCTGAAATTTCTTTCTTTACCTATATGTTATTTAGAAGTGTTTGTTTAATTTCCACATACTTGGAGACATTCCAGAGATACAGTCTATTGCTGATTGCTAGTTTAATTCTGTTGTGGTCAGAGAACACATGTATTGTTTCAATCTTTTAAAATGTACTGAGACTTGTTTAATGGCCCAGCATATGGTTTATTTTAATGTTCCATGTGTCATTGAAAATAATGTGTTTTCTGCTCTTATTGGATGGAACAAATCTCAACTAAGTCCAACTGGTTGATAGTGTTGATCAAATCTTCCATATATTTACTGATTTTTTGAAATCAATAATGAAATATGAGTATTGAAATTTCCAACTATAATTGTAGATTTTTTCTATTTATCCTTTTAGTTTTGTCCATTTTGTTCACGTATTTTGCAACCCTGTTATTACACAGACCTACATTTATAACTGATTTATCTTCCTACAATATAACCCCATTGCCATTATGAATTATCCATCTTGGTCTCTAGCAATTCTCTTTGACTTAATGTTTATTTCATCTGACATTACTATAGTCACTCCAGCTTTCTTATGCCAACTGTTTGAATGGTATATTGGTCAGAGTGTGATTTAAAAACAACAGCAACAGCAAGAACCACTACATGATACAGAATATGCAATTTAATTGGGATTTGACCTTATGTAATTATGGGAGATGGTTAAACAGTTTATGTCTGTTTGTTGCTTCTGCATTTAGACATAAACTGGCTCAGACATCAGAGAAGCTGAAGGGGACCTGGCAGGAGCTGAAGGAGCTGCAGACCTGGCTGCTGCCTGCCCCATCGACAAGGTGAGACAGTAAATTAATGACAGTTCATGAACTACAACAGTGCCTAGTGCCCTTGCACCCACCTGCCAAGTGTTTGAAGAATACGCTTGCATAGCCCAGGCATCAGCAATTAGACACAGTTTGCATTCAGATTCTGGGACTCGTCTTTGTGGTCCTCTAAACTTCCAGTTGCCCTGCTAAGTTCAAGTTCTTCCCTCTGATGCCTCAGGCCAGTTAGGCTTCTGCTTACTGCTGCCCAAGCTCTGAGTAGGTCTGGAACACACATATTCAAAGACGCAGCACATTTCACCAGGACCAGTCTGTCTTTCAAGGTGGGCCCTGCCCCCTGGTTTCTGCCTGTTTTTTGGCTAGGCTTTTTGGGGTCTGTATGCACGTGCAAACATTAGTAATCATTCAGAGGTTTCAGCAGAGTTTGGATCTCAGCCTTTCTGTGGGTCCTTCGTTTCTAAGGTGTCCCCCATAGATGTCTAGCTGCTCTGCTCTTCTGGCCTCTATGTCTGCCACCATGAGTAATGAGAAGATATCCTACCAGTAGGCTGTGGTCTTCTGATGTCAGAGGCATTGAGACCGGGTGACTCCAAGAGCCCTTCCAGTTCTAAGAAATCCCTAAATAAACTCTAAAATAACATGTATGCCCTTGGAATCAGGAAAGATCTCATGCTATTCTATTCCCTGATGTCTTAAAGACAGCCTAACCCTACGTGATCTCACTTCTGATTGAAAGGTTCTGACTTGTAGTCACTTAGTTTTCAAACTACTCATAGTCCAAATGCATGTTATTTAAGTTACCAAGTTCTGTTAAGAAGACTATGGAGGTGAGAGGAAGAGATTGGCCAGAAGAACCTTTAGGTTTCACCACATAATCCCAATTCCTTGGATATTTACCATCTCAACTGTATGTGCCACGTAATTCATCTGTTGTTTTTGGTCTCTGATATTCAACAACACCCACTTATTTTCCACAAAAGAAACTCAGTCTTGAAATTCTGTATGTAAATATTTTTCTCATGGCCACTGGTCAGTCAACTTTACAAGTGAACTGAGAGCAGCAGATTATTTTCATAAACAATACAAACCCAGGAATCCTGTTCAGAAGAACATATTGCTGTGATGCACTGAGCTTTTTTTTGTTTTGTTTTGTTTTGTTCTGTTTTGTCTTTGAGACAGAGTCTCACTCTGTTGCCGGGGTGGAGTGCAGTGGGCAGTCTCAGCTCACTGCAACCTCAGCCTCATGGGTTCACATCATTCTCCTGCCTCAGCCTCCTGAGTAGGTTGTTCCCTGAGATTACATGTGCACACCACCATTTCCGGCTAATTTTTGTATTTTTAGTAGAGACGGGGTTTTGCCATGCTGGCCAGGCTGGTCTTGAACTCCTGATCATAGGTGATCCTCCTGCCGAGGCCTCCCAAAGTGCTAGGATTACAGGCATGAGCCACTGTGCCTGGCCTGAACTTTTGTATTTTTATATGGAGCAAGAACTTCTCCATCCACAAAACTTCATTGTTACATTCGCTAGAAGAGGATGAAAATATCTTTCTGTAGTTGTGTTGAATCTAATTGTTTATAAACAAATATACCTGCAAGCAATCAATCCTGAGTACTTCTTGCTTGTTTGATAATTTATTGATATATATGTCTATGTCAGGAACTCATAACTCAAAAATTCCCAAACAATTCACCAGGCCAGCCACCAAGTCTTCTCAAATGTGTTGAGATGACCTGTTCTGTGGGCCATTGAAGGCAGATTTATGCTTAGGTTTCCTTGGCTGAGAATGAGTGGAAAGGAAGGTGGGAAGGAGAAGAGGGAGGACAGAAATGCATGAGACTCGCCTCCTCTTCAACAGGTTCTCCGCAGAAGAGACTTTATGATAAATGTAAAAATATCACAGTAATCTCCAATAGGCAGTACATGGGCTTTAAAAAGGTAGGGGAGGGAGAGAAGGTTTTATTTTCAATTATAAAGCATCTTTTGCAAGTGAATGCATTTTAATACTTTCCTTGACTTAGCCAATAATCTAGGCCCATAGCTCTTTATTGGGAATATGGTTCCTTCAAAATCATGCATTAGTGCTAGATGTAAACATGTTAGGTTACATTGCAAAAGTCTGTAGTATCACAAGAGCATAATAGTACATCCACATAATGAAATATTATGCAACTGTCAAAAACAATGAAGAAAAGCTATACCTACTGACTGGGGAAAAGATACCTTTTTAAGGGATAAAAGCTGTTTGCAGAACAATACACGTAACATACCCCTAATTTATTTATATATTTTTACTGAAGTGTATGTGCCTATTTTTTCATATCCTTTCAGAAGAATACCTGGAAGGATATGCTTCAAACTGTTGGTGGTGGTTCTCTCTCAGGTGTGAAATTAAAGAAATTGAAAAGGCAAGAATACTGCTTTTCTTTATATTCCAAGTGCAGGATTGTGATAATTTTTTTTCTTTCTGATGTATATTTTTATTATTATTTATTTATTTAATTTTTTGAGACATTGTCTCACTCTGTCACCCAGGCTGGAGTGCAGTGGCATGATCTCAGTTCACTGCAAGCTCCACCTCCTGGGTTCACACCATTCTTCTGCCTCAGCCTCCCGACTAGCTGGGACTACAGGTGTCCGCCACCACGCCCGGCTAATTTTTTGTATTTTTAGTAGAGATGGGGTTTCACCGTGTTAGCCAGGATGGTCTCAATCTCCTGACCTTGTGATCCACCCACCTTGGCTTCCCAAAGTGCTGAGATTACAGGCGTGAGCCACCACGCCTGGCCTATTTTTAGGTATTTTTTTAAAAAATTTTTCTGGAGGAAGAAAATAATGGGAAGAAAAGATCCCTGAGCCCAAAGAATTTGCTGACATCACCTGCGTTTTCCTGAGACTGCACATCACGGTATGTCTGACTTCCCACATGTTTGCATGTGTCTCTGGGTTGCCCACTTTCCCCTGGGCATTTGACTCTGCATAAGTCGGTACACACACACACACAGAGCTGGAACCTGTCTGCTGGGGTTGCCTGAGCAGGCGCTCCTTCAACAGGCCTTCTTTAAGTGTCTGTTATGAGCAGAACCCCACTGTGGGACATCTGAGTCTTGGAGAGTTGGACCCTGCCTTCCAGAGCTCCCAGTACCAGCCTTCCCAGGGAGGTGGACAATCCGCGTTCACATGTGTAACAGAGGGGAAGTAGGGCTGTGTCAGGAAGATGGTCTGCCCGCCTGTCTGGGCAGATGAGGAGCTCCACTGAGGACACGATGTTTTAAGTGGGCCTTTGAAATGAGTTGGACCTCGTCACGTGAGAGTAGAAGGGGAGGACACGATATTTTAAGTGGGCCTTTGAAATGAGTTGGACCTCGTCACGTGAGAGTAGAAGGGGAGGGCACACCAGGCCTAGAGGCAACAGGTGGGCCAGAGGTGGCATGTGATATGGCATCTTTAGGGCAGGTCACGCGTGATGTGGCATGTCCAGGGCATGATGAGAGGCTCATTCCAGGATCCCAGGCTGCATGGTGGGATGTGGTCAGAAATGATGTCCTGAAGCCAACAGGCATCTAAAGTGGGAGGAGCAAAATGGTCACACGTACATTGTAGAAAGGAAGCTCTGACGCAGTGACATGCGGTCAGGAGTGGCAGAGGCAAGTGACAGGCAGACCTGAAGACGGCCTCAGCCACAGCCATGGGTGTAAAGGGTGGGGGGCTGGGGATCTCTTTGAATAATCCAGGTGTGAGGGGGACAAAAGAGGAGGATGGGTCTTGCTTGGGAGGCAGAGGAAATGGGGACACCTTTAGTCAAGATATAGCCAGGGATTCCCAGCCTCAGCACTACTGGCTTTTGGGGCTGGGTAATTGTGCACTGTGGGTCTGTCTTGGTACTGTGGGATGTGTAGCATCAACCACTGAATGCCAGGAGCATTCCTTAATCCCTGTTGTGATGACCAGAAATAACCAGACATTGACAAATGTCCCTTGGGAGGTAGAATCACCCCCAGTTAAGAATGAATGGTGTCAGCAAAAAGAAGTCCCAGGTGGGGAGTTGAAGGTGACAGGTGGAGATTTGGGCACCATCAGCACACAGGTCGCTGGAGATGGATGAGATCACTTGGATAAGACAAGCAAAGGAGAGTCCTGGGAGCCTGAACATTTAAGAGACAAGTTAAAAAGGTGTACCAGTGAGTGGGCTAGAGAAGAAATACCAGACAGGCAGGCATAGAACCAGAGGAGCATGGTGCCTGGAAGCTGAATGGGAGCTGGTGGACATAGAGTTGTCAATAAGGCAGGAGTGGGGCTATGGACTGAATTGTGTCCCTTCAAGCCCATATGCTGAAGCCCCCACCCCCAATGTGACTGTATTTGGAGATAGGGTCTCTAAGGTCAAATGGGGTCCTAGGGATGGGGCCCAAATCCAGTGGACTGGTGCCCTTATAGGAAGAAGAACAGACACCAAGAGTGTTCATGCACAGAGGAAAGGCCATGTGAAGACACAGCAAGAAGGTGGCTGTCTGCAAGCCAGGAAGAGAGCCCTCACCAGAAACCAAACTCACCATCATCTTCCAGCCTTCAGAATGATGAGAAAATAAATGTCTGTCATTTAAGCCAGTCCGTGCTATCCTGTACGGCAGCCTGAGGTGATTAAGACAGATCACAATTAGTCTGGGCTTCTGGATTTAAATATCGGGAGTGGCCAGTGATCTAAAGATAGCCAGTGTCCATGGAGCTGAGGAGAGGAATGGAGGTGCACAGAGAGATGGCATGGAGAAAACTCAAGCAGGCTGGATGGCAAAGGAAGGAGGAAGGCAAAAGTTTGGAGTCATCAGGGAGAAGTAGAGTGGAGGAAAGATTTTTTTAGTATAGAGAAGGCTTGGTCTTTTTATTTTCTTGCAACTCAGTGAGGATTCTCAAGATAACTGTCCAGGCTTTTAATCTACTGGCAATGTGTACTGAGGCCTTGATGTGTCCCGATGTTATTTCCTGTGATTTTAAAAGTCCTTAAAATTGCTTTCTAAGAAAAAATGGAATATATATTCATTTGCAAAAGGTTGGTAAAGAAAATGTAGAGAAGAAAATAAAATACACCAACAATCTCAGTGGTGAAGACATCATTTTCATTGTTATCATATGGGAGGATTTTCTCCCGGTCTTTTTTTCCTTTGTACTTTTAACACTAAATTGGGATCATGCAATATATAGAGTTTTGAATTCTGCTTTCTTAAGCTGAGCATTGAGTGATAGGTATTTCTTGTTAAATATTTTTGAACGTTTAAATAAAAACCGTAAAAAGCAAATGTGGGGAGCAAATCAGTGAGGGTGGGTGCATGTGAGTATGTCCTTTTCTTTGAAAATGGCAGAGCCTCTCTCTGTTAGGCAATCTGAGAGTTTTGATTTTTAATAACTACATGCAAGTCCAGCACGTGAAAGTGACATGATTTAATCATGTCCCTATTTTAGGAAGTTAGACTGTTTCCAAATTTTGGGCACTGTGAAAACACAGTGATAAATACCCCTGTACATAAATCTTGGCGTGTATCATTAATTCTGTCCTTCCATTTTCATCCTGGTTATGAATCAGCTGGTTCCGAGAAGGCATCACTACACATTTTTTTTTTCAGTTTCATCTTCAAAAATGATTGTCAATCCTTCATGCCACAAATCCTCAGACTGCATGTCAGAGAGAGACCCTGCCATTCTAAGAGAGACAATGTGCTCACACCAATGGCACCGTCACTGATTTACTCCTTGCATTTCTTTTTTATGGTTTTTAATTAAATTTTCATCATGGGGGACTTGAATTAGAACCTTATCTAGAAAACCAAAACTTTGTAAAGAACGTGGGGGCATCTTGGCCAGGTGAGGTACCTCATGCTTGTAATCCCAGCACTTTGGGAAGCTGAGGCAGGTGGATCACTTGAGGCCAGAAGTTTGAGACCAGCCTGGCCAAGGTGGTAAAACCCTGTCTCTACTAAAAATGCCAAAAATTAGCCAGATGTGGTGGTACGCACCTGTAATCCCAGCTACTTGGGAGGCTGAGGCACGAGAATAGCTTAAACCTAGTAGTTGGAGGTTGCAGTGAGCCAAGATCATACCACTGCACTCCAGCCTGGGAGACAGAGCAAGACCCTGTCGAAAAAAAAAAAAAAAAAAAAAGAATGTTGGAGCATCTAAATCTCCTTCATAAATTTCTGATCAATTGGAGGGAGTTAGAGCATCCATGGGCTGTGTTCCTCTTTGTGCCCCTGGCTTGAGGACACCACCCCTACTGCTGCCCGATGCCCATCTGCAGGCTGTTTATTGTTTTGTTACCAGACAGGGAAGGAGGGGACAGATCCTAGCTGGGTACACACACACACACACACACACACACACGATGCTTACACTTCCATGGCAGTGTGGCAGGTAGATTAAAGAACAGCAAGAAGACACCCCCTACACATACACACATGTACACCCCTCAAATGAGTTCCAAGGCACTGGCCAAGAACTCAGAACTCGAGGAGGGTGCATGGCTCCATGGAGCAGAAGCAGGTGCACCAGTCACAGCAAAGCTTTTGTTTCCTTGTTCGTTTTGTTTGTTTGCTTGTGTTTGTTTTGGGTTTTTGGCTTTTCTTTTTTGCCTCATTTCCTGCATGGCACAGCTGGGTCCTGCCAGAGTTGCAGGGAAAATAGAGGAATTCCTGCTATTCTTCTGCCTTCTTGTACACAGGTTTCTACCATGTATGGAGAGAAATTACACATTATTTCCATGCAGTTCGATTTCAGAGAGTGTCACACAAGTGGGGTCCTCCTGGTTCTCAAATCAAAGTCAGCAGTGGCAAGGGCACAGACTCATTGGGAAAGGGGAAGGGTGAGGCTTGGGGGACCCTAAGCTGTGTCTCAGCCTCTGGCAGATGTCACGGTTCATGGGCCCTCGTCCTCCTGGGCCACCCTGACCTTTTGTTTCCTCTTCCCTGCATGGTTCCCAAACTGAGCTTGGTCAGAGGATCTTCCAGATCTCTTATACACGTGCGAGTGCACAACACACACACACACACGTGTGCACACATACACGTGGCGTGATCACAGCTCACTGACTGCAGCCTCAATCTCCTGGGCTCAAGCAATCCTCCTGCCTCAGCCTCCCAAGTAGCTGGGACCACAGATGTGTGCCATCATCACGCCTGGTTTATTTTTTCAATTTTTGGTAGAGAAGAGAATTTGTCGTGTTGCCCAGGCTGGTCTCGAACTCCTCAGCTCAAGTGATCCTCCCGCCTCGGCCTCCCAAAGTGCTGGAATTACAGGTGTGCACCACCACATCCAGCCCACTAACCCCATTTCTAAGAGGTTTTGTGACTGAGGGATGAGCCAGGGATATTTATCCCAAACAAGCACAGGCTCTTTACCCGGTCAAGCCCCAGAAAAGTCCCCATCAGCCCTGACCCTGGACATTGCTTTCTTCATTATTTGCTTCTGTTTGGAGATCAAATTAAAAACTACTATTAATAAGAGCTAACATTTGGCAAGGACTTCTATGTCCCAGATGCTGGGCTAATCACTTTAAATGTGTTATCTCATTTAATGTTTACCAAAAAAACCCTTATGATGTAGATATTATTATCATGATCCCCATTTGAGAAACTGAGAGGTGAAGCCACTCGTTCAAGGTCACGCAGTGAGGAAAGTGCTGAGTTGGGATGAAAATTCGTGGGAGAGCTTGCCATCGAAGCCACTGGGTTTTGTCTCCTAGCCATCTGTTATTTCGTGTCCATCACCTATTTACTCTGTGCCCAGGAACCTCACCCTTCTGGGGGAAGTTTCCTCCGTTCTGGGGGATGCCACCTCTGCCATGCCCAGTCTATGAACTTCTAGCCGCAGCCCCTAGCTCTGGGGTGAGCACATAACCTAGAATTAAGTCGACTAGAATGGGGCCCAGTTGGTGCCAACAGGACACTCGTGGGCTTCCTCTAGGCTGTTCTGTCCCCTTAGACTTGAAAGGAGAAGCACGAAGTCCTGGGAGCTGCCAGCTGCCTCTGAGGACCCTCGGGGAGTTAACCTCAGAGTCCTCACCTGTGAGCGACAGAGCAGAGGAGAAAAGGAAGAGATCAACCAGGTCCTGGTCACAAACCTGGACCCCAGATCAAAAGCAGCCTAAAATAAGTTTCACCCTGACCTGTTGAGTAACATGCACCAATAGATTCCCTTTAAGTTTGACGGCAGTTTGAGTTGCATTCTCTGTGCGTTACAGCTTGGAGCCTTGACCGGCTGGTGGGTCTTCTCAGCTCTTCCATTCTTCCACGAACCACTCCTGTGACAACACTTGGGAAGTGGCTTGCCTTCTCTGAGACTAGGTGCCCCACTCTGCCCCACTCCAATGCAGGGTGACAGCACACCCCACTCTGCTGGCTGCTCGCAGGAGTGAAATCCAAAGGCAAGAGAGCAGAAGGTAGTTTTTCTCCAATTAGAACAAATCCTCATGAGGTGTTGAGCTTAATTCTTCTAATAGTATTACTCAAATACGTGCAAACTATAAATTAGGTATAACCTCCTTATGCTGATAGATCTCATATATCTATAAAAACCAAGAGAAACTTAAAGATTCAATAGAAAGCCATAAAACCTATAAATGCTCAATTAAAAGCAGGAATTTAATGTAACAGATAATGCTGTGCCAGAACTAAAACATCCTCTCACAATGTGACTCTCGTGCCCGCTGGTCCCGTTCACATCCCTGGAGTTCCGTGAGTGTGTACTCTTGCGTGTCTCATGGTGAGACCCAGTCCTCATCCTTCTCAACCACAGCAGCTTTTCCCAGTTTAGCTCCCAGAATCCTGTGTTTGTCCGGCATTCCTTGGCGTCATTTTAGGTTTCTTGCTAAATGCATTCTTTTCATGGACAGTCCTCTACTCTTTGCTTGTGATTTACTCAGAAATCAACACAATTCTAGCCACGTTACAAGGATGTCGCATGGCAATATTTGGTTACAGGGAAAGGTTCCACAATATGCTGACAATGATTTTTAGAAGAGTATTGTCAGAATAAAAGAACAAGATTTTAAAATTATTGTTGAGACATAGAGGAGTTCCAAGACACGTCCTTGAATCCCAGTTTGGAAAACACGGGGAAAGTGGTGAAGAAGATACAGCTTGGCCGGGCACGGTTGCTCACGCCTGTAATCCCAGCACTTTGGGAGGCCGAGGCTAGCGGATCACAAGGTCAGGAGATTGAGACCATCCTGGCTAACATGGCTCTTTACCTGGTCAAGCCCCAGAATAGTCCCCATCAGCCCTGACCCTGTCTCTACTAAAAATACAAAAAATTAGCCAGGCGTGGTGGTGCGTGCCGGTAATCCCAGCTACCAGGGAGGCTGAGGCAGGAGAATCACTTGAACCCAGGAGGAGGAGATTGCAGTGAGCTGAGATCACGCCACTGCACTTCAGCCTGGGTGACTCCGTCTCAAAAAAAGAACAAAAAAGAAGAAGATGGAGCTTGAGAGGCCAGAGTTTGAGCCCAACCACTTAAAGCTCTTGAGCTCTGGGCAAGTTATTTACCTTCCTGAGCCTCAGTTTTCCTTTTCTTTTCTTTTCTTTTTTTTTTTTTTTTTTGGAGACAGGGTCTTGATCTGTCACCCAGGCTGGTGGCTCACTGCAACCTCCACCTCCTGGGTTCAAGCGATTCTCCTACCTCAGTCTCCCAAGTAACTGGGATTACAGGCACCCGGCACCATATCCAGCTAATTTTTATATTTTTAGTAGAGATGGGGTTTCGCCATGTTGGCCAGGCTGGTCTTGAACTCCTGACCTCAAGCGATCCACCCACTTCGTCCTCCCAAAGTGCTGGGATTACAGGCGTGACCCACCACGCCCGGCCCTAAGCCTTAGTTTTTCTGTCTGTAAATTGGGAATGATAAAAGTATCACCTCATAAGGTTGATAAGCCACAGTAAATGAGTTAATAAACTGGAACACATAGTGGGTTGAAGAGTGTTCCCCCCAAAATCCATTCCACTCAAAACGTGTGAATGTGACTTTTTTTGGCAATAAGGTCTTAACAGGTATAATCCACTTAAGATGAGGTCATACTGGATTAGGGCATGCTAAAGACTGGTGTCTTTATAAGAAGTGGGAAACTTTGACATAGATACAGAAACACACACACACAGGGAGAATACCATGTGATGAGACAGGAAGGATTGGATGGAGCTTCCGCAATCCATGGAATGCCAGGGACTGCTGGCAACCACGAGAAGCTAGGAATAGGCGCGGAATACAGTCTGCCTCAGGGCCTCCAAGAACAAACCAACCCTGCTGACACCTCAGTTTTGCACTTCTGGCCTTCAGAATGTGAACTAATACATGTCTGTTGGTTTAAGGCACCCAGTTTGTAGCACTTTGGTGCAGCAGTCCTAGGAAACTAGTAGAGGTAAGCCCATTTAACACAGTGCCTGACGTGTACAGCAAGCACTTAATAAGTGATAGCTTTTTATTAGTAGACAAGAGCCTCAAGCATTTTAAGAAGTACATGATGATAGTACATGATGATATACAAATGAAAGTTTTTATTAGCCTCTTTTTCCTTTAATTTCAGCCCATGAGTCTAACCCATCGTCAACCTCATCCAATATCATGTAGCATTTTATGGTTTACAAAGCTTCTCCCTGTGGATTATTTCAGTTACTTCTCACAGAAACCCTCTGAGATAGATTAAAAAACAAACAATTCTTGCACATGGGCCAAGGAATCTCTTAGAGCTAATTGGCTGAATGCAATGTGGTATATCAGATTGGATCCTGGAAGAAAAAAAGATTATTAGTAGGAAAACTGGCAAAATCCAATTAAAGTCTGTGACTTGGTTCATAGTAATGGACTAAGGATAATTTCTTAATTCTGACTAACGGAACGCGTTTCTGTGAGATGTTGACAATAGGGGAAACTGGGTGAGCAGTGTACGGAAACTCTCTGCACCATGTTTGCAACTTTTCTTTTCCTTGCAAAGTATCCAAAATTAAAAGTTGATCTTTTAAAAAGCTAATTGGAAATACTTTCCAGCTGATTTGAATACGTTGCTGGAGTATCACTGAGAAACCCTGGCAGATAAAAATATCTGATATATAGGGAGTTGTGTCTACCCTCGCCTTTGCTTCCATATTTTTTCTTTAAAAAAGTTATAGTTAATTTTTCCACTATGATAAAAGCTCAATATAGGACATTTGGAAGACATATAATATTGAAAGGACAGAAAAATATATCACCTATGGTCCTGCCACTTCAAAACCCCCCTCCATGAGTATTTTGGTATATCTCCCCTCCATTTCTTAAAGTTTGGTTTTATGTATACACACGGTAGGTATACAGTATGCGGTCATCCTGTGTCCTGGTTACGTAGTTATCACATTCTAGTTATCTAGAAATTCACATTCATGCTGGGGGAGGGCAACTTTAAACTCCCAGCCATGAGTCTTAGTGGGTACCCAGCACTTCCCTGCCCATGACCTCTCCTCCCTACTGAAATCACCTTCCTGCCCCTGTCCCCACACCCACATGCAGGCCCGCGTGAGCTCTCCCGTCTCACCTGTACCCATACCTCAGTGGGAGAACAGAAGTGATCTGAGAAACACTCTCGTCTCCCATGACCAATGTCCCCAGCCCAGCGGCTCCCACCCCACGCCCTCTGTGTCCTTGTGTGGCCTGCGGAGGGAGCACCTTTCTCCCAGGGGAGCATCATCACCCCACTGCTCTCTGGATTCTGTCCTCTCTTGCTTTCTCAGGAAATTGTTCCTCCCCCTGCCTCTTGAATCACCCACGTCTCCCCCTTCACTCCCAACAGCAGAAAAAGGCCACCCTAGATCTTCACTTGGGGGACGAAGGCCTCCCTAGAGCCCACGGCCCTCTTTAGGTATCACCCCTTTTCTCCGCTCCCGTCACCCATAGGACTCTTTGATGGAACTGACTCCAGCCACTGCCTCTGTTTCCTAGCCTGCTCCAGCCAGGCTCCTGATTTGCCGTCAGGAGATACCAGTCCCTCGTCCCCATGTTGAGAAGGCCAGTACTCCTGTCCTCGTACCTCCCTCATCTCCTGGCTGCCCAGCACCCAGCTCACTGCTGCATCCTCCTTCATTTTCATCTAAGTCTCAGCCCCCTCTGTACCTCCCCTTCTATCAGACCTCAGAATCTGGTCCCTGCTCTCCTTCCCGCCCCCCTCAATCCTGTCCCGCTGACCCCTGGACAGGAGCCACACCGCCCCCTGTCTCCTCCTGGAGTGAGTCCCCTTTGTCCCCACCCCAGGACATCTGCTCCAGCTCCTCCCTCTGCCTGGAGTGCTCCTCCCTCTGCCTGGAGTGCTCCTCCCACTGGCATTCCCACAGGTGTTCCCATCTGGCAAATCCGACCTTGGCGTAAAGGTCACTCCACGGAAGCTGTCTCCATGGCAGGGGCTGCTCTCCACCATCGCCTCTGCAGAGCTTTTGCACCACCAGTCATTTCTTCTGCTGACTCATTTGCTTGCTTATAGCCGGTCTACCCCAATTCCCACTCTCCCACTGATGGCTGCATCCCATCCGAGCTTGGAGGGCATCTGCCATGGGCACAACTCCATCTCCTGGGCCTGTGAGAATGCCTGGTATGTGGTAGGTGCTCAAGAAATATTTGTTGAATAAATGAATGAATGGTGCATATACGATTTTATACTCTGTTCTTTTTTTTCTTGCT
The DNA here is from genome assembly GCF_000001405.40 of Homo sapiens. Lineage (NCBI taxonomy): Eukaryota > Metazoa > Chordata > Mammalia > Primates > Hominidae > Homo > Homo sapiens. Next base: position 125,418,969 of record NC_000010.11, on the reverse strand, counting down.
AAATGTGATGCTGAACCACTTCCACTCTTTCAAATATCTTTTCCAAGGGCTGGATTGTAGTCTATGCTAAGGTCTGGATGTGGGTATCCCCTAAAATTCTTATGTTGAACTCCTAACCCCCAAAGTGATGGAATTAGGCGATGGGGACTTTGGGAGGTGATCAGGTCATGAGGGTGAAGCCCTTATGATTGAGATTAGTGCCCTTATAAATGGGACTCCTGAGAGCTCTCTTGCCCCCATTCTACCATGTAAGGACACAGCAAGAAGCCAGCATTCTGCAACCCAGAAGAAGACCCTCACCAGTACCTGGCCGTGTTGACATCCTGACCTCAGACTTCCAGCCTCCAGAATTACAAGAAATAAATTTCTGTTGTTTGTCAGCCATCCAATATATGGTATTTTGTTATAGCTGTCCAAACAGACTAAGATGGTCTATGTAGTTGAGACGCTAAAATCTATTTAACCCTTTTCCTATTGTGGACATTTAACTTAATTAAGACTTTTTCCTCTGAAAGATAACCTAGCAGTGAACATCTCTACATACAACACTTTTTATCCATTCAGATTGTGTCCTTAGGAGTGAGCTCGTGAAATAAATATACTAGTCAAAAGGACTTTTTGTTCTTTAGGGAAAAACCACTTTGTCCACTTTGTCTGTAATTGTTCGTTATTAAATGATGCTGGTGTATATACAGTGATAGAGAGTCCTTTGTCCCACCTGGTGCTGTGGGCAGCAAGAAGGGACAGGAAGAGTGGCATCTGCCGTCAGAGGCAGCAAAGGCTACTCTGTAGGAAAAACAGTGCAGAGACGCATGGCAGAACAGAACCACTGCCTAATGTGACTATTGTACGTGCTGAAGGGTCTGTTGGCTTGGAAGTGGCTTCTAGAGGCTGGGTAGCCTTCCAGGGAGGTCATCATGTCTCCTCTGGTTTTCCTGGAAGCATAAGCTTCCACTTTTTTATAGCATGCTATAGTTTATAAATCAATTCCTTCGTATTATCTTGGGTAGTTCTCAGACGTGACCCTGGCCCCCATGAGATTTTTGGGGGATGGGACATTCATGTTCTCACTTGCAGACTAAAGCTGGGAGCAATGTGCCCAGGATCACACAGCCAGACCCCAAATCCAGAAGCTCTGACTCCGAACCCAGTGCCATGGCCCTGTGCCAGTCCCACCCTGCACAGTCGGTGCTCAGCTGCATTTCTGTGTTTGTTACCATGTCACACAAAAATAGCAGGCTGGCTGAGCTCCAGAGTCGGAGGGTGTGTTAGAGGTAGGCTGATGTAGAATACTGGCAATGGAGCTCACACAAGTTCATATCAAGCGCACCTCAAAGACATAGGCCAGCATCCTCCAGGAAGCTGAAGCTGGGACCTGACCAGAGACCACCCTCTGGAGAGATGAACCTTGAGTACACCAAGGATGCCATGGACAGAGATGACAAACAGGGCTGAAGTCAAGTCAGAAGTCTTGAGGACACTTCCAGTGGCAGCATTCACGTGAGCCCAGGTGCTTCCCTCTCAGGCCACTCTGTGCTTCTGCCTGATGAGGTGGGGCCGTAGGCTGTGTTTCAGTGAAAAGCTGTGCATTCATGAAACAGTAAAGCTGGAAGGAGCTCAGAGGTCATCTCGTCCTACCCATTTCCATGCATAGAACTGCAGCCCCCAGTCTTTTTGGCAACAGGGACCAGTTTCATGGAATTCAATTTTTCCACAGCAAGGGGTGCCGGGATATGATGGTTTTGGTTTTCAGGTGAATCTGTTCCACCTCAGATCATCAGGAGTTAGATTCTCATAAGGAGCTTGCAACCTAGATCCCTCCCATGTGCAGTTCGTGGTAGGGTTCACACTCTTATGAGAATCTAATGCCTGATGAGCTGACGGGAGATGGAGCTCAGGCGGTAATGCTCGCTCACCCACTGCTCACCTCCTGCTGTGCAGCTCAGTTCCTAACAGGCCGCGGACCAGTACTGGTCCACGGCCCGGTGGTCTGGGACTCCTGGTATAGAAAATGAAACCATGTTCAGAGAAGTGAATTTCCCAAGACCACACAGCAAGTTAGTAAGGAAGCCCCGGCAATATTTTCCTCCACTGTAGCATACAGCCTCTCATCTATGCAGGATTATTAGAGAAATGCAGCTTTATTATTTTCAAGCACTTAGAGTTACATTGAAAAAAAATCTCCTGTCCAAAGCTCTTAAAGAAAGGACTTTAATGAATAGACATGTTTTATAGACAAACAAGACTTTTCTTCCAAGGGCACTTGAAAGTAATTTACATGTCTTCTCTGCTATCTTCCTTTTCCTCTGAATTTTCTTAGCACACTCTCTCCAGGAATGGACCACGGTGAGCTTCCACCTGGTCACTGTTGAGAATATCACAAATCCCAAATCCCAAATGATGGGATCTCGTGACTGAGGATCTGCTGCACAACAAGCTACTGGATTTCACTGCTCAGTGGCATGATGACAAATAACTATGCAGGAAAACGTGCAGCATTTCCCAAGCAATCAGGAACTTGACCAGGGCAGAAATGGGGAGACAGGACTGATTGGCAGAAGGGGGGTAAGGTTTTACTTTTTCCACCTGTGCAGATCAAAGGGCAGCTGATTGTTTTTACCCCACCCAAATGTTCCATCAACAGCATGGGGTGAAGAGGGGAGTGGGCAGCAGCAACACACAGTCTACAGGGGAATGTTCCAGAAGTTGGTGATGGTGTGCACATGTGCTGTATGTACATGTGTGTACATGCATATGTGTGCATATGTGCATGTGTGCAAAAAGGTGTGTGTACATGCATGTGTGCATATGTACATGTGTGTGCATGTGTGTGTACATGTCCATACACTTGTGTGTGTGCATGTGTGTACAAAGATGTGTGTGTGCACACGTGTGTATGGGGGTGTGTTGGGAGAGCATCAAAGCCTCTTCCTTCTTCCCTGTAGCCCTATGGCTCTCCTGCTGTCCTTTTAGACCTGTGCACGCATTTTGATCATACTGTCAGGATGGAGGCTACATAGTACTTTGTTAATAATTCTTGTAAAAGTTCTTTTTAAGACACTTGCACTGATGTTGCAAGAATTTATTCCTCTCAGCAATTAGATGCCATGATTAGACGATCTTTTATGTTACATTAGAGCAATCCTTAAACAGCAAATCAGATCCCTAGCTCATCAACCTTCTTGCGATAAGGAAGTCTTAAGGAAGACAACCATTTTTAACTTAAAAGAAAAGAAAAAAAGGCAGGTCAGCCCAGGAAAGCCTGAAGGAGACCAGCAGTGGGTTTTAAATCTCCCTTCTCCACTTCCGAACATGCTTGCTTGTTTCTAAGGATGGAGAGTTATTTTGAGCCAAAATTATTAAAATCATAAAGAGACAAAAAGTGAAACTAGCAGAGTCTTTGGCATGGTGGGTCGGGTTTGGAAATTTTTTTTTGTCTTCTTTCCATTCATTCGATCCAAAATGACAGCCTTGAAAATTCCTCTGTGAAGGTCACCACGTGCTAAAACATGACAACGCCCATAATGCAAAATTACAGATAGGGGTGTGTGCGTGCGTGTGTGTGCGTGTGTGTGTGTGTGTGTGTGTGGTCTTCTTTAAAAAAAAAAACTGGTAATGAAGTTGTAAATGTAGAATTTCTTTCATTACCTATTCATTAAAGATATGACATGAAAACAGAGTTGCCATGGTAATGGCTTTGTGGATTCTGAGTACATAATAAGAATTTCGTTGTTTACACTACAGCACAGATAACTGACGGGTGTTATTGTAGCCAGTGAAGTCTTATTTAGCTTCCTGAATGCTGTGAGGGCAGAAGGGCCGTGCAGCCGTCCTCACCACGCCTGTGTGCGGGCAGAGGCTTCATAATCGCCAAGGCACACACTTTCGATAGGAAGTGCATGCTGAGCTGTGCCTTCTCAACACTCTTAAACTTAAATATTGAACGTTCTAGACAAAAAAAAAAAGCCTATCCTGAAGGCTCTGAAATATTTCCACTTAATGTTTAACATGAGTCCATTTGACTTAAAGAAGAGATTTTCTCTGCTAATATTTGGACTACGCAACGAGACTGCCTTGGTTCAGATCTTGACTCTTAAACTTGTTAGCTGTATGACCTCGGCCAAGTTACTGAACCTCTCCCTAATTCTTGGCTTTCTTACCTGTGAAATGGGGGCAGTAGACATAAGCAATGCAGACACAATATACAAACACCACTTGTTGTGAGGATACACACTCGGTGCCTGCCTGGCCCCTATAAAGTGCCCCCTGCCCTTGATGTGGTGGGATTGTCTCACAGAGCATCTTCCAGCTTCCTTTTGACTTTAATGAGTTATGAGCTTATCCCTCTCTTTGTAAGGCCACGTTCCCCCATCATGGTCCAGTGCCTGGCACAGAGTAGGTACCCCACAAAAGAACAGTTTCATTTACGAAAAAATAAATTATTAAAACCCACTACGTGACCTCAATTCAGGAAATGAAGGTTTTTAAAAATTATTATTATTCTTTAGTTTTCTTTGGGGATGAGAGTAGCATAGGAAGGCCAAGATAATTTTTTAAGTCAATGCTTAAGAATGTAGGGAATGCCTGACCCTAGGTTGAAAATGAGAGTGCTTAAGGACTGAGATGCAATGCAGTTTTTTAAACATCCTGCTGCCAACTATACCTGGCCACCTTATGCTAGGGTGAAGAGCATAAGGCACCTAGGATACAAAATTTAATGTAGGCTGGGCGTGGTGGCTCATGCCTGTAATCCCAGTACTGTAGGAGACCGAGTTGGGTGGATCACTTGAGCTCAGAAGTTGGAGACCAGCCTGGCCAACATGGCAAAACCCCGTCTCTACTAAAAATACAAAAATTAGCTGGGCGTGGTGGTGGGTACCTGTAATCCCAGCTACTCAGGAGGCTGAGGCGGTAGAATTGCTTGAACCTGGGATGCGGAGGTTGCAGTGAGCTGAGGTGGCACCACTGCACTCCAGCCTGGGTGACAGAGCAAGACTCTGTCTCAAAAAAAAAAAAAGATTAATGTGACACTCACTCTTAGGGCCATTTACTGGCTATTATTATCCTTTACACACCTCACACCTCTCACCCTTGTCCCGTTCTGTGTCCTGGAATGGCTGGTGGGGTTGGATTCTATGTTCATCAGCTCCAGGCTATGAGGCAAAGCTTTCTTGGACCCATCATATGAGGTCCTTTTTCTTTTCTTTTTTTTTTTTTTGAGACGGATTCTCTCTCTGTCACCCAGGCTGGATGGAGTGCAGTGGCTCACTGCAAGCTCCGCCTCCTGGGTTCACGCCATTCTCCTGCCTCAGCCTCCCAAGTAGCTGGAACTACAGGTGCCCGCCACCACGCCCAGCTAATTTTTTTGTATTTTTAGTAGAGATGGGGTTTCACCGTGTTAGCCAGGATGGTCTTGATCTCCTGACCTCGTGATCCACCCGCCTCGGCCTCCCAAAGTGTTGGGATTACAGGCATGAGCCACCACACCTGGCATGAGGTCCTTTTTCTATACTTCTGAGGGAAAAATAAAACAGGACAAGAATGCTTCCTAACACAGCAGACGGAGATATAACCGGTGACACTGGCTGCTACACTTTGCAAACAGAGTGATACCAGGTGGGTCTTATTTATAAGACAGACATTAATCCAGTTCTGCATGACAGTAGCACAATTTACTCAAAACATGCCAGGAAGTCTTCTAGCCCATTAAAATAAGTGTTCCACAGTCTTCATCTGTACTGCAAATCCTGATTGCTGGCGTCTAGATGAGAGAAAGAGATTCAACCATGAAGACATGCTTGACATAGACTATGATTATATAACAAGAATTTTAATTGCCAGAAGTATTCCTGGAGTAATTATACAAGTGAGGGGGAAAGGGTATAGGGAAAGAGAGAGAGAAACAGACACAAGTCATCTTCCCCTGCCTGTTGTTTTACACAGTAGAGGGGCTGTACTCACCACCTTCCTGAGATGCCCAACTAAACCAGGAAATGCCTCGACCCCTCATCATGCAGGAAGGCAAGCTGGAACCGGAAAGCCGGCTCCAAAATTTATATGAAAATGCAAGGGACCTAGAATACCCAAAGCAACTTTGAAAAAGAAGAACAGAGTTGGAGGGTCTACACTGTCTGATTACAAGACTTATTAAAAAGCCACAGTAATCAAGACAGTGTGATATTGCCATGAAGACAGACACAGAGATCAATGAACAGAATAGAGTCCAGAAATCAACCCACACATAGATGGTCAATTTTGTTTTCACCCAGAGTGCCAAGCCAACTTAGTGGGAAAGAGACAGTCTTTTCAGTAAAAGGTGTTGGAATAAATGAATTTCCATATGCAAAAAAAAAAAAAACCTCAACCTTTACCTCACAGCATATACAAGAATTAACATGAAATGGATCTTTTGCCTAAATGTAAGAGGTAAAAAATTATAAAACTCCCACAGAAAACATAGGTGCAAATCCTGATGACATATGTATAGCAAAGATGTCTTCAATACAACAAAAATAAATTTTAAAAAGCACAAGCTATAAAATAAAAAAATTAGTACATTGACTTCATTAAAATTTAAAATTTTTTGGCCAGCTGGGGTGGCTCACACCTATAATCCTCGCACTTTGAGAAGCCGATGTGGTGGATGATTTGAGGCCAGAAATTCAAGACCAACCTGGCCAACGTAGCAAGACCCCCATCTCGTTTATTTAATAAGATAAAATAATAGTAAAATAAAATTAAAATAAAACATTTTTCTTCTTCAAAAGACACTGTTTTGAAAATAAAAAGGCAAGTCACAGACTGGAAGAAAATATTTGTAAAAATTTATCTGACAAAGAACTTGTTCCTAGAATATAGAGAGAACTTTTACAACTGAGTAATAAGAGGAAACACAACCCAATTTAAAAATGGGAAAAATATTTAAACAGACACTTTACCAAAGAAGATATACTATGACAAGAAGCACAGAAAAAGTGCTTAACATTACTCAGTTAGGGAAAGACAGAGGAAAACCACAATGTGATGTCACTATGCATCATCAGAATGGCTAAAGTGAAACAGACTGACCATACCAAAAGCTGGTGAGGATTTGGAGGCACTGGAATGAATCCTCACATGCTGTTAGTTGGTATGTAAGATGATACAACTACTTTTGAAAACATTTTGTCCGTTTTTTTTTTCTTTTTCTTTTTTTTTTTTTTGAGACGGAGTCTCACTCTGTCTCCCAGACTGGAGAGCAGTGACACGATCTTGGCTCACTGCAACCTCCGCCCCTCAGGTTCAAGTGATTCTCCTGCCTCAGCCTCCTGAGTAGCTGGGTTTACAGGTGCCTGCCACCGAACCCAGCTAATTTTTGTACTTTTAGTAAAGACAGGGTTTCACCATCTTAGCCAGGCTGGTCTTGAACTCCTGACCTCGTGATCCACCCACCTTGGCCTCCCAACGTGCTAGGATTACAGGCGTGAGCCACCGCACCCTGCCTGTCAGTTCCTTAAAAAGTGAAACATAGATCTACCATATGACCCAGCCATTACGTTTGTAGTATTTATTCATAAGAAATGAAAGCCTATGGTCATAAAAAGACTGTACACGAATGTTTATAGCAGCTTTGCTTATAATAATCAAAAGCTAGACAAAAATACAAATATCCATCAACAGGAGGATGTATAAACAAATTGTGGTATATCTGTGTGATGGAATCAGCACTACAATGGAATGATCTACTGATACAGCAACATAGATGAATCTCAAAATAACTATTTTGAGTGAAAGCAGCAAGACAAAAAGTACATAATGCGTACATCTGTTTATACAAAATTCCATGAAATGTGTATTCATCTATCGTGACAGAAAGCAGATCTGTCTGGGGATGAGGAGGGCAGTGAGGGTTGCGAAGAAGTGTTTATGTTCGTTGTGTTGACTGTGGTGATGGTTTCATCCCCTCCTTGGTGGTGGAAGACCAGCAGCTTGTGCCCCGGCCCAGCTGACAACCAGTTGTGTTTACGACACCATCAGGAAGCTATTGGTGTGATGATGGCTCTGAAATTCCTGCCCCAGGGCAGGACCATCAGCCTTTCCCCCTCTGCTCTAGTCTCCATCCAAAACTCCTCCCTGAGTCTGATCCTTCGGTATCTGGGTGCTGGTGGCTCTCTGCATATGCCCTGTCTATGCATAGTGGTCATAGCAACAAGGAAAACTCAAGTGTGACTGAGATTTGGTACTTTCTATTTAATATAATGATTCAAAAACATTAAGTAACAATAAAGAATCATTGACTGTTATCTTACAGATCAAGGAGAACTCCCATATCTCTTACCTCATGTAATTACCAATCATTAAATGGCCTGTACAAGACTATATCATTAGGAAATGGCAGAGCAAGGGTTCAGCGCCAAGTCTGCACTGTCAGTCTTGTATCAGTGTTTTCCAAACCTTCGTGAATTTTGTGCACCACCTATCCAATTAATTAATTAATCTTTTTCTTTCAATTGATTACCCTTCATAAAACAATACATCGATTTTCAAGTTTCGTGTCACTCTGTAAATGGAAAATAAGTATTCCTTGACCAAAATAAGAAAAAAAAACTATAAAAACAAATACAGTGGGCACAAGACAATGTTATTAACAGCTAGCTTGATGCTGTCCTTTGCAGAAGGTTCTGAGCCAGAGGATGGCATTAGATGGGTGTCAAAGGCTAACGCCCAACTGGGACTTTGGCCCTGGCTGCAGTCAGAATTATTTGAAGGGGATTGAAGAGGGAGTAACTTTCCCCACTGTGTGAGTCCATCAGTAGCTAGGGCTCATCTCTATGCAACCTAAAGTCATCTTATTAGCTTCACACATTACACTCAGCTACTTCTCCAGTTGTCACAGAACCCCACGAGCAGGGGAAGACCACCTGTCATTAATATTCCCATCTTACTTGCTCTATGCACAGGTTAGGCAGTACAGCCAGTTGAAAGTTGGCTTTGCCTTGTGCAGTCTCACATCTGAGCCGTGTCTATAACTAGTCCTGAGTCATGGCCTCAGCTGACATCTGTACGAGAGAAGAACAAGACAGAGTACCATGTGTGGCTTCCCTGAGGGTGGCACACATTTCATGTGCAATGTGCTGAGGCCACGTGCCAGCAGTGAGCAGGGTCTTGCACTGTACCCCTCTTGAACCCACCTGGGTCCTCCAGACCGTGCCTTTCTGTGGATTCATGCAAATAACACAGGCCTATTCAAGCCTGGACATTTGTTATCTTCCAGATTCTTCTTGAAGAAATTGCCCCCAAATACATAAAGTAAAAATTCCATGAAGCTCAAAAAGAGCAAATAGCTACATTGTCTTCAAGTGCTAGTTGTTTTATTAATTTTCCCCAAATGCTCTGAGTATCTCACTGACAGATTTTGAGAGAAGAATTTGCCTCATTTTCTTGTTGGTCATCCCACCTCAGTGTCCAAAATGCCCAGCATTGTGTGAAGGGTAAGGCCAGGGCAAGTCCCTAACAGACAAAATGGGGTGTCACCTCAGAGCCTCCCCAGTGTGTCCCGATTGTCTTAGTTTCTCTCACAACCCCGCCCCCCAACTCACACACTCAGCTCAGTGGCCCAGGTTGTGTGGCTTCCTGCTGTGTGGACACCTGGAAGAAAGCAAAGCACACAGGGGCAGTTCCTGGTCATTCTCTGGCCAGCCTGAAAGGGCTGTCTTGGACGTGGCTTCTGTCTCAGGTAGTGAGTGGGGTGATTTCTTTGCCAGAAAGCCCTTCAGCACAAAGCCTGAGTGGCCAGCTCCTGCCTTGCTGTGAATAAACTTCACCACTGAGGCTCCGAACAGCAGCCACAGAGGAAACCGTTTCCAGGCATTTTCAAGGTCGGAAAGGAAAGTGAGGAACATAAATATGGAGCAGGCATTGCTGGAGTAGAGCAGACACTGGCATCAAACAACTGGAAGCAGAGATTAGCTACACACTGCTGGGCACCAGCCACAGGCATCCCCTGTTACGGGTTTTTCTCTGCAGAGCTCTCTGGAGCTGGCTGGTGTCCTCACAGTTTTTGGGTGGGGCCAGGAGCAAGATGTGATTTCTCAAAAAATCTGTTTTTTGTTAGACGTTATCTGGCCCCAAGTCTCAGGGTTCAAATCACCCAGAGGCAGGATTTTAGATTCCTAGACCTTGAACAAAGTCTCAGAGAAGGAAAGCCACTCCCCAAAGCTGGGTCCAGCAAACTACCTCTGCCCACAGTGGACAGGATCAGTTCCTTTCATGATTACTTCCCCTGGCAAAGGCTGCTTCTCCCCTCTGGTCAACTCTGGTTCCTCTGGGACCATCAGTAAAGAATTGGCTCCCAGGTCTTCAAACCCTTCTGTAGGGCAAAGTCACTGCCTTAGACAAGTGAGGTTTGGAAAGGCCAGGAGTCCTGATACTTCTTATTCTATTTTAATGAGATTATATTCCAGCTCACTAAGTTAATAGCTCTGTGTGGATGAAAGGGTGCTGGGGAGGGTAGCAGGGAGTCCAGCCTTCTGGGTCCTAGACACACCCATCTCTGTGGCCATGGCCAAGTCATTTGTCTTCTCAGAGTCTTGGTTTACTCATTTATGAAAAACAAGAATAAAATTACTCCTTTGAAGAGGCAGAGAAAGATGGCTGAATAGAACCTTCCAGCAATTGTCCCATCTAGCAGGAACACCAAATTGAACAACTATTTACACAAGAAAATACCTTCATAAGAACGAAAAATCAGATGAGGAATCACAGTACCTGGGTTTAACATCACATTAAGGAAAGTGGCACTGAAGAGGGAAGAAAAGACCGTCTTGAACTGCCAGCACCACCCCTCTCCCATCCCTCTGCAGCAGCAGTGGCCGCATGGCATGGAGAGAGAATCTATGTGCTTGGTGAAGGGAAAGCACAGTGATTGTGGTACTTTGTATTGGAACTTAGTGCTGCCCTGTAACAGCAGAAAGCAACACAGAGAAGAAATCAGCTGTAGTCTTGGAGGGAGCATTAAGACCAGCCCTAGCCAGAAGAGAATCACATCTCCAAGTGGTCAGGAACCTGAGTTCCGGCTAGCCCCACCACTGTGGGCTAAAGTGTTATGGGGTTCTAAATAAATTTGAAAGGCAGTCTAAGCCACAAGGATTACAATTTCTGGACAAGTCCTGGTGCTGTGCTGGGCTGGAGCCAGTGGACTTGGGGTGTACACAACCTAGTGAGACATGAACTGGGGTGGACAGGGGAGTCCTTGCATCATCACTTCCCCAACCTCAGGCAGTGCAGCTCACAGCTTTGGGAGAGACTCCTACCTTCCATTTCAGGAAAGGAGAGGGGAGAGTAAGGAGGAGTTTATCTTACAAATTGAATATCAGTTTAGCCACAGTAGAATAGGGCACCAGGCAGAGTCCTGAGGTCCCCATTCCAGGTCCTAGCTCCCAAATGACATTTCTAGACACACCCTGGGCCAGAAGGGAACTTGCTTCCTTGAAGGGAAGGACTCAGTCCTGGCAGGAATTATCATCTGCCAACTAAAAAGCCCTTGGGCCTTGAATAAACATCAGTGGTTGCTAGGCAGTACTGAACAGGCATTGGGCCATGCTGACTTCAGGTGTGATTCAGCACATCCCAAGCTGCGGTGCCACAGGGAGAGATTCCTCCTGCTTACGGAAAAAAGAGGGAAGAGTGGGAAGTATACTCTCTTGCAGCTTGGGTGCCAGCTCAGCCACAGTAGAATAGAGCATCAAGTAGATTCCTAAGGTCCTCAATTCCAGGCCATAGCTTCTGGATGGCATCTCTGGATCTGCCCAGGGTAGGAGGAACTTGCCACAATGAAGTAAAGGACACAAGCCTGGCAGGATTCACTACCTGCTGACTGTAAAGCCCTTGGGCCTCGAGTGAACATATGCAATAGCCAGGCAGTAGTCACCCAAGGCCTTGGGCAAGACCCAGTGCTGTGCTGGTTTCAGGTCTGACCTGGTGCCTTCCCAGCAGTGTTAGCCACAGGGATGCTTGTGTCACTCCTTCCCCAGCTCCAGGAAGCTCAGCACAGAGAGAGAGACTTCATTTCCCTCTCTATGCTGAGAAAAATAAGGGGAAGTAAGGGAAGAGAACAAGAGTCTCTTCCCAGTAATCCAGGGAATTCTCCCAGATCTTAACCAAGACCACCAAAGTGGTACCTCTATAAGTCTGCAAGAGCCACACCATTACTGGGTTTGGGAAAGCCTTCCCAAGAAAGATGGGTACAAACAAACCCAGACTGTGAAGACGATAATAAACACTTAACTCCTCAATGCCCAGATACTGATGAACATCCACAAACATCAAGACCATCCAGGAAAACATGACCACACCAAACGAACTAAATAAGAGACCAATCCTAAGAGACAGAGATATATGACCTTTCAGACAGTGAATTCAAAATAGCTGTTTTGAGGGAGCTCAATGAAATTCAAGATAAGGCAGAGAAGAAATTGAGCATTCCATCAGATAAGTTTAACAAAGAGATTGAAATAATTAAAAAGAATCAAGCAGAAATTCTGGAGCTGAAAAATGCAATTGACATACCGAAGAATATATCAAAGTCTCTTAATAGTTGAATTTATCAAGCAGAAGAAAGAATTAGTGAGCTTGAAGACAAGCTATTAAAAAATACACAGTCAGAGGAGATAAAAGAAAAAAGAATAAAAAAGAATGAAGCACACCTGCAAGATCTAGAAAATAGCCTCATAAGGGAAAATCTAAGAGTTATTGGCCTTAAAGAGGAGGCAGAGAGAGAGAAAAAGATCAGGGTAGAAAATTTATCCAAAGAGATAATAACACAGAACTTCCAAAACCTACAGAAACATATCAATACTCAAGTACGAGAAGGTTATAGAACACCAAGCAGATTTAACCTAAATAAGACTACATCAAGCATTTACTAATCAAACTCCCAAAGGTCAAGTATAAAGAAAGGGTCCTAAAAGCAGCAAGAGAAAAGAAACAAATAACATACAAAGGATCTCCATATGTCTGGCAGTAGACTTCTCAGTGGAAACCTTACTGGCCAAGAAAGAGTGACACAACATATTTAAAGCACTAAAGGAGAAACAAAAATTTTTATTCTAGAATAGTATATCCAGCAAACATATCCTTCAAAAAGAAAGAGAAGACTTTCCCAGATAAATGAAAGCTAAGGGATTTCATCAACATCAGAACTGTCCTATATGATATTCTAAAGGGAGTTCTTCATTCTGAAAGAAAAGGATGTCAACAAGCAATAAGAAATCATCTGAAGGTACAAAACTCACTGGTAAAAGTAAGTATACAGAAAAACACAGAATATTATAACATTGTAATTATGGTGTGTAAAATACTCATATCTTGAGTAGAAAAACTAAAAGATGAAACTATAAAAAATGATAACTCAACAACTCCTGAAGACATCATATAGTAAGATATAACCAGAAACAACAAAAAGTTAAAAAGCAAGGAGGTGAAGTTAAATCCCAGAGTTGTATTAGTTTTCTCTTTGATCGTTTGTTTGTTTGTATTTGTAATCAGTATTGTCATCAGTTTAAAATAATAGGTTATCGTGACAAGAGTGATGGCTCATACCTGTAACCCCAGCACTTTGGGAGGCTAAGGCAGGTGGATTGCTTGAGGCCAGAAGTTGGAGACCAGCATGGCCAACATAATGAAACCCCATCTGTACTAAAAATACAAAAATTAACTAGTTGTGGTGGCACACACCTGTAGTCCCAGCTACTCAGGAGGCTGAGGCATAAGAATCACTTGAACCCAGGAGGCAGAGGTTGCAGTGAGTCAAGATGGTGCCACTTCACCATCTCACCTGGGCAACAGGGCATCATGTCACCATGATGTTGCATCATGTCACCATGATGTTGCATCATGTCACCATGATGTTGCATCATGTCACCATGATGTTGCATCATGTCACCTGGGTGACAGAGCAAGACCCTGCCTCAAATAATAATAACAATAAATGAAATAAAATAAAATAATAGGTTTTCAAATGTTATATGCAAGCCTCATGGTAACTGCAAATCAAAAAGCCTGCAGCAGATGCACAAAAATAAAAAGCAAGCAATTAAAACATGCCACCAGATAAAAAAAAAATCACCTTCAAGAAAAGTAAGACAGGAAGGAAGGGAGGGAAGACTACAAAACAACCAGAATACAAATAACAAAATGGCAGCATTGAGTCCTTCCTTATCAATAATTATAATGAATGTAAATGGACTAAACTCTTCAATCAAAAGACATAGAGTAGCTGAATGAATTTATACAAACAAAACCCAACAATCTGTTGCCTACAAGAAACACATTTCACCTATAAAGAAACACATTTCACCTATAAAGACACACATGGACTGGAAAAAAGGAGATGGTAAAAGATATTCCATGCCAGTGGAAACCAAAAAAAGCAGGATTAACTATATATCAGACAAAAAAGTTTCAAGACAAAAACTATAAGAAGAGACAAATAAGGTCATTATACAATGATAAAGGATTCAATTAAGCAAGAGGATATAAAAATTGTAAATACATATGCATCTGACACTGCCACACCCAGATACATAAAGTGAATATTATTAGTACCCCACTTTCATCATTGGACAGGTCAGCCAGACAGAAAATCAACAAAGAAACATCAGACTTAACCTGTGCTATAGACCAAATGGACCTAATAGATATGAACAGACTATGTCAGCCAATGGCTACAAAATATACATTCTTCTCTTTAGCACATGGATTATTATGAAGGACAGACCATATGTTAGGCCACAAAACAAGTCTTTAAAAATTCAGAAAAATTAAAATCATATCAAGTAACTTCCCTGACCACAATGGAATAAAACTTTAAGTCAATAACAAGAGGAACTGAAACTACACAGAAACATGAAAATTAAACAACATGCTCTGGAATAACCAGTGGATCAATGAAGCAATTAAGAACAAAATTTAAAATTTTCTTGAAACAAATGATAATGAAAACACAAAATACCAAAATCTGTGGGATACAGTGAAAGCAATATTAACAGGGAAGTTTTTACCTATAAGTGCCTACACTAAAAAAAAAAAAAAGAAAGAAAGAAAAACTTCAAAGAAGCAACCTAATGATGCAGTCTAAAGAAATAGAAAAACAAGAACAAACCAAACTCAAAATAAGTAGAAGAAAACAAAAATAAAGATCAGAGAAGAAATAAATTAACCTGAAACAAAAAAATACAAACGACCAATGAAATGAAAATTGGTTTTTGAAAAGATAAAGTCAACCAACCTTTAGCCAGGCTAAGGAAAAAAGAAAGAGAACCCAAATAAATAAAATCAGAGATAAAAAAGGAGACATTATAACTAATATTGCAGAAATTCAAAAAGGATCATTAGAGATTACTATGAGCAACTATATGCCAATAAATTGGAAACCCTAGAAGAAATGGAAATTCCTAGAAGTATACAACCTACCAAGGTTGAACCATGAAGAAATCTAAACCCTGAAAAGACCAATAACAAGTAATGAGATAGACATAATAAAATGCCTCCCAGAAAAGAAAAGCCCAGAACCTGAAGGCTTCGCTGCTGAATTTTACCAAACATTTAAAGGAGAACTAATACCAATCTTACTCTAACTGTTCCAAAAAAAATAGAGGAGAGAATACTTCCAAACTCATTCTACGAGGCCAGTATTACCCTGATACCAAAACCAACAAACGTGTGAATATATATACCTCATGAATAGTGATGCAAAAATCCTCAACAACAAACTGAATTAAACAATACATTAAAAAGATCATTCATCATGATCGAGTGAGTTTTATCCAAGGGATGAAAGGATGGTTCAACATACACAAATTAATCAATGTGACATATCATATCAACAGAACGAAAGACAAAAACCATATGATCATTTTGGTTGATCCTAAAAAAGCATTTGATAAAATTCAACATCACTTCATGATAAAATCCCTCAACAAACTGGGTATAGAAGAAACACGCTGAAACACAGTAAGAGCCACATAGGACAGACCCACTCCTAGTATCATACTGAATGGGGAAAAACTGAAAGCCTTTTCTCTAAGATCTGGAATAAGAAAAGGATCTCCACTTTCACCATTGTAATTCAACATAGTCCTCGAGGTCCTAGCTAGAACAATCAGACAAGAGAAAGAAATAAAGGGCATCCAAATTGGAAAGGAAGAAGTCAAATTACTTTTGTTTGCAGATAATATAATCTTATATTTGGAAAAACCTAAAGACTCCACCAAAAAAAAAAAACACTACTAGAACTAATAAACAAATTCAGTAAAGTTGCAGGATACAAAATCAACATACAAAAACCAGTAGCATTTCTATATGCCAACAGTGAACAATCTGAAAAAGAAATCAAGAAAGTAATCCCATTTACAATAGCTACAAATATAATAAAATACCTGGGAATTAACCAAAGAAGTGGAAGATCTCTAGAATGAAAACTATAAAACATTGATGCAAGAAATTGAAGGGGATACAAAAAAATGAAAGAACCAATATTGCTAAAATGTCTATACTAGTAAAAGCAATCTACAGATTCAATGCAATCTCTATCAAAATACCAATGGCATTCTTCACAGATACAGAAAAAAATAATCCTAAAATTTATATGAAACCACAAAAGACCCAGAATAGCCAGAGCCACTCTGAGCAAAAAGAACAAAACTGGAGGAATCACACTACCTGACTTCAAACTATATCACAGAGTTACAGTGACCAAAACAGCATGGTGCTGGCAAAAGGCAGTCACATAGACCAATGGAACAGAATAAAGAACCCAGAAATAAATCCATACATCCACAGTGAACTCATTTTCAATGAAGTTTCCAAGAACATACACCAAGGAAATGACAGTCTCTTAAATAAATGGTGCTGGGGAAACTGGATATTCATATGCAGAAGAATGAAACTAGACCCCTGTCTCTCACCAAATATAAAAATCAAATCAAAATGGATTAAAGACTTAAATCTAAGACCTCAAACTATGAAACTACTACAAGAAAACATTTGAGAAACTCTCCAAGACATTGGTCTGGGCAAAAACTTATTGAGTAATACCCCAAAAGCACAGACAACCAAAGCAGAATGGACAAATGGTATCACATCAAATTAAAAAGCTTCTTCACAGCAAAGGAAACAATCAACAAAGTGAGAAGACCACCCACAGAATAGGAGAAAAGATGTGCAAACTAGCTGACAAGGGATTAATAATCAGAATATATAAGGAGCCCAAACAACTTAATAGGAAAAAATGCAATAATAGAATTCAAAAATAGGCAAAAGAGCTGAATAGACATTTCTCAAAAGAGGACACACAAATGGCAAATAGATGTGTGGAGAGGTGCTGAACATCATTGATCATTGGTGAAATTAAAATAAAAACTGTAATGAGATATCATCGTACTCCAGTTAAAATAGTTTCTATTCAAAAGACAAGCAATAACGAATGCTGGTGAGAATGTGGAGAAAAGGGAACTCTTGTTCAATGTTCACAGGAATGTAAATTAGTATAACCACTATGGAGAACAGAATGGAAGTTCCTCAGAAAATGAAACATAGAGCTACCATATGATCCAACAATCTCTCTGCTAGGTATATGTCCAAAAGAAAGGAAATCAGCATATTAAAGTGATATCTGCACTCCTATGTTTTTTGCAGCACTCTCCCTAATAGCCAAGATTTGGAAGCAACCTAAGTGTCCATCAACAAATGGATAAAGAGAAGGTGCTACATATACACAATGGAGTACTATTCAGCCATAAAAAAGAATGAGATTCTGTCATTTGCAACAGCATGGATGGAACTGGAGGACATTACATTAAGTGAAATAAGCCAGGCACAGAAAGACAAACTTCACATATTCTCACTTATTTGTGGGAGCTAAAAATTAAAACAATTACGCTCAAGGAAATGACAGAAGAATGATGGGTACCAGAGGTTGGGAAGGGAAAGCAGGGGAGTGGGGGATGGATAATGGGTACAAAAATATAGTTAGATAGAATAAATAAGATCTAGTATTTGATAGCACAACAGCGTGATTACAGTCAACCAAAATTTATTGTACATTTTAAAATAGCTAAAAGAGTATAATTGAAATGTTTGTAACACAAAGAAATAAATGCTTGAGGTGATGGATACCTCATTTACCCTGATGTGATTAGTATGCATTGTATGCCTGTATCAAGAGATCTCATGTACCCCATAAATATATACACCTACTATATACTCCCCAAAATTAAATTTTTTTTTAAATTATTGCTTCTTCACTGGTTATTGTAGGCTCCAGTATTATTACAGCTAATTCTAAAGTATAACGTGCTATAGTGATGAGAGGTTGATAGCTCGTCCAGTTACATGAGTACCATGTAACAGCTCAGGGTGGTTAGAGGAAGGGAGAGAGCTGCTGGCCACTGGGATCTCCTGCCAGGTTAGTATGTGAGGCCAGCCGTGCTGGTGCCTTCAAGGAAAATGGGACACTAAAGTGCACACGACTTCATAAAATCCTCAGCAAATCCACAGTCCTTAGTTAAGCAAAATTTGTCCGCTTTCAGTTTTTCAAACAAAACACCATGGTGTCAATTGCTTGATTTAAAAGGATCAAAACAGGCTGGGTATGGTGACCCACTCCTGTAATCCCAGCACTTTGGGAAGCCAAGGTTGGTGGATCCCCTGAGGTCAGGAGTTTGAGACCACCCTGGCCAACATGGTGAAACCCCATCTCTCCTAAAAATAAATAAATAAAAACTAGCTGGGCATAGTGGCATGTGCCTGTAATCCCAGCTACTCAGGAGGCTGGGGCAGGAGAATTGCTTGAATCCAGGAGGTAGAGGTTGCAGTGAGCCGAGATCATGCCACTGCTCTCTAGTCTGGGTGACAGAGTGCGACTCTATCTCAAAAAAATAAAATAAAATAAAAGTAAATAAATAAAATAAAAGGATCAAAACAAAAACAAATCCCATCCTCTGCTACCCAGCCGACAACTCCTCTCTTATATCTAGGAGCCCCGTGCTGATCAGCAGCCTTTGATGCCCCAAGATGACCTGAGTGTCCCCAGGAGCCCCTGTGGTTCTCAACCTACTACTCTGCAATCCCTGAAATTATTGTACATTTTTAAGGGCATGCGCATATGCACGTTTTCATTAGGAAGGGAAGAGGGTTCCTAGCTTGCGTCTGATTTTCCAAGGGAACAATGACCCAAACAAAGTTAAGAGCCATCATTGCTCACTTTACTCTGCTTTCTAAGGGGAAGGGTGTGAAATAGCTATTTAGCCTGGAGAGGCGGGGTTCTGAAGGCTCAGGGACTCCTCTCCCCAGGTTAAAGGGTCATCCTGTGAAAAGCTGATCTCTGTCATTAAAAAGAATGTGGTCAGCATTGAGGAATGGATGTTATGGAGAGGGGGATTCCCTTCAAAACAAGGAAGGAACACCGTTTAAACAGTAAGAGTTGTACAACCTGCCTTGTAAGAGATAGGAGTGCTGGCCACATGGAAGGTTCCGGTTCAGTGGAATTTGGATAAGTACTTGCCAGGGATGTTCTAAAAAAATCCCTGCCTCAGGAGAACACTGAACTATAGAACTTCAGTGCCCATCCAATAAAACCTGAAGACTATGAAATCAACAGATAAAAAAAAAAAAGTGTTGAAAGTTTGTTTAAATTCCAACTGTTATATCCAACATTTATTAATGAAAGGCAAATAGATACGATCATTCCTCCAAATACAGATGATTTACTTATCTGTTTAAAATTTTTACAATTTTTTCTTTCCAATTTAATTTTTGAGGAGATTTCTTTCAATCTAACTTAACCTCTTTGGTAACTCTTCCCCTACACATTCACCAATGCAAATGATGGAAAAGAGTATCATTTTCCTAAATATAACTAAGTTTTGGGCACTGTATATTCTCACAGCCTTACCATTTTAGAGTTTAGAAGACAGGCTCAATTACTGGAGGTATACAGCATATAAAGGAACTTAAGTTCACATTATCTACTTGGTGTTGATAGGTTGCATTTTTACCTGTCAATTAGTCTCCTATAGCCCATTGATAACCATGTTAAATCTGACTTCATGAATAATTTGATCACTCCTGTTTTCCCTGAGAACCATAAATTGTAGTTATTTGGTATTATGTAAAATCATTTTCATGCAAGGTGAGCTTTAAAAATTCATGCCACACATTTCACACATGTTATTTCATAATGCTTAAATTTTTGAGAGGCAGGTATTACACTGGACAAATGAGAAAGTTATTTCAAGACCAAATTTTCAGTTCTGACCTCTAATTTGTATTCATAACTAATAGCAAGAGGTGAAATTCTACACAGTAGAATTAAAGTGTGGTTTGCTCCTAAACTAAAAACATATCAAAATCGATCTCCTTTCCACATTTCTTAGTCTAACCCATTCGAAGAGATTAGGGTTGTAGGCTATATTGATTGCTGGGATTTTCCCCTTGAACAGTTTAAATAATGCCTCTTTGTCTTTTATTTTTGCCGTACATTCTTTTAGTAAAATAACCAGGAAGTAAGCAGTCCTCAGGCAGGCTTCATGTGAAAGTCTTCTTTGGAGAAGGGAGCTTTGGCTGGGAGCTCCAGGGTCCCAGGAGAATGGCTCTGCTTCTTTGTATCTGACAAATAAGGCCAAAATGATAGATCTCTTGGCTTAAGGACATCTTACATATTTATGGACTGACATCTTTCTCCATCAAGATTCATGATCTAGATTTTCAGCTGCCAAGAGGGACCTCGGCCATTGTTCTACCAAGTGGTGCATTAATACGACCTTTTCATTGTTCAAATTCAGAGAGCAGAGTGAATAAAAATCAGTGGCATGCAGATATATAGTTGGAAGACAACAACAATGACAAAATCTTCCTCCTTCCGATTTCAAATACAGCATGTCAGAGAACCTATTTCACCTAAAAAACTTTAGCACAATTTGGGAACGGTTTTATAAACAGCATTTTAATTTATGATCCAATGTTTCCTGAAGCCCGGATTTAAGATTCGTATTCTTCTAATCATTTAGCAAACTCTTTCAAAAAGGGCAGTTTGCCCTGCTGCAATGTCAAATTTTAAAATCATATTTCCACATCAGGTTGAGGACTTGAAAACTAAATCCTGAGGTGAAATTGAAAATGCTGATATATACAAATTCAGTGATAAACCCTAATTGTCCTATTAGTTACGCCACAGGATAGTACACATTGTGTGTAGAACAAGCCATATTTCTTGTATAAAAGTTAACAGTATGATCTCAGGACTCGTATGATGAGATGACTAACTGTTTTTTTAAATTATAGCCTACACACAACTGTTGAGCTGCTGAGGCTGGGAGACCTACTTGGTTTTCTAACTGTTATTAGGAATTCATGAAAATTGATTACCTGAAGAGCTGTCAGATCTTTACTATTTGATGGCAGGGATGATAAAAGCAACTGTTTGTTGTCAGGGTGATTTTTTTTTCTTTAAAAAAACATTTATTAGAACTGTTGGAAATCATGCTGGTTAAAACAGGAGTTTGCAATTTTCTAAGTATTTTATGTCTCTTGGAGGGGATTCATTATAATAACAGAGTACTAGGCGACTCTATTTGTGTGAAACAGTGACCTCTTTGGAAATGCTAGATGTGTAACAAAATGAATGTTCACTGCCCTTACAGAGATAAAAATATTGATCTTAGGAGCTCCACGGCCTAAAGACTACAGGTTATTAGAAAATAATGAAATGTTGTCTTTCTGTTTCAGCATCTTAACAGTGCCGACTATCACCAGAGTACTTAATTATCCAACGAGCACAACTTTAATAACAGGCGGAGTTCTAAAAAGAAACAATAAAAAAATTCTGATTTTATTTGTTGCTTGTTTTTCCCCCAAGAGGTTGAAATTAAGTGACTTCTTCCCCCAATGCCTGTAACATATTTTTGGATCAGCACTGTTAAGTAAACATGATACTAGAGGTTAAGAAATAGTTTAGTAAATTAAAGCCATCTGGATAGTTGGATTTAAAATGTTCTTCATTGCAAATTAAGATGACACCTTTTTGGTTACTAAAATAATTCCACTTTCCCACTAGTTTCCCAGACTCATCTTGGTGTACTGCATTCCCTATTCTGAGCTGACTCACCTTGGCCTAATTCCACTGGACTAAAAACCTCAGCAGGACTGAGCTATGTGCTCTTTACAAGAGCTTCACTTTAAATATAAAGGCTGTGAAGGCATTGGTAGGTGAAAAGTAAACAGAGAACACATCTGTGAAACATTCCATAATTTTTATAAAACTACAGCTAGATAGGAGGAATAAGTTCTAGTGTCTATAGCACTGTGGGATGATCATAGTTCACGACAGTTTATGACATAATTTCAAATATATAAAAGAGAAGAATCTGAATGTTTCCCAACACAAAGAAATGATAAATATTTGAGGTCATGGATATGCTAATTACTCTGATATGATCACTACACATTTTATGTATCAAAATATCCCTATGTACACCATAAATTAAATGTAATAATTATACATACATATGTATAATGAATTATACATATGTATGTATAAATATATGTATATATAAATATGTATGTGTACAAATATGTATGTGTAAATATGTTTACTTAATTATACATATAATTATATGTATGTATACATAAATGTGTATGTGTATAAATATATATAAATATGTATGCTTAATTATACATATTTATGTATAATTATATTCATGGAGTATGTAGGGATATTAATGTATAATTATGTGTCTATTTAAATATTTTAATTTAAAATTTTTTTAAAAAATTAAGTAAACAGAAAAAGTTATCCCATAATCTAACTATATATTATAAATTACAGGAAAACTGGTGTGGTTCTATTAACATCAAAGAAATAAAGATAAGAAATATTACAACAAAAAGGAAGATTTTAAGTGATAAATGAGTCCATTAATCAAGAAGACATAACAATCCTAAATGCATTTCCACCCAATCACCACAAACACAAGAATACATTGAAAAGTAAAATCACTATAAGGAGAAGAAAAAAAAGAAGTGCAGGTAGTTATTTCAATACTCCACACTCAGTAATTGATGGACTAGGAGACAAAAATCAGACAAATAGAAAATAGCACTATGAACAAATATAAGTTAATGGGTATTTAAAATAAACCTCACCCAACAACTGCAAAATACTTTTTTTAAGTATACATAGGACATTCACCAAAGCAAGTCTTACTAAATTTGAAATTATACATAGTATGCTATCTGACCACTACAGAACTATATTAGAAATCAATACAAATGGTATCTTTAGAATACTCAAACATTTTGAAATTAAACAATGCACTTTAAAATAATCCATAGGGCAAAGAAATAATCACAGAAGAAATGAGAAAATATTTCAAATTGAATGATAATGAAAATGTAACATAATGTTCTGGTTTGATATTAAAGCAGTGTTCAGAGGAAAAGGTATAGCTTTAAATGCTTGTTTTAGAAAAGAATAATTGTCTAATCTTTATGATCTAAGCTTCCCCTTTAAGAGTATATAAAAAGAATATTAAATTAAACCTAAAATAAATAGAAAGAAGAAAATAATAAAGATATAAATGGAAATCAATGAAATGAAAAACAAACAGTGGAAATAAATCAATAAAACAAAAATTGGTTCTTTGGAAATATCAATAAAATGATAAAACTCTGTCTAGATTGATCAAGTAAAAACAGATAACACATTATCAATATCAGGAACGAAAGAGAGAACATCACTATGGATCCTACAGATACTAAAAGAATAATAGGGAAATACTATGAACAACTTTCAGTCAATAATTGTGAAAATTTAGATAAAATCAACAAACCTTTGAAAGATACAAACTAACAACACTGTCATAAAAAATTAGAAAATCTGCACAGCTCTTTATCAATTTTTAAAAATGAATTTGTAATTAAAAATTCTCCCACAAAAAAAAAAAAAAAACACCTCTAGGTCTAGATGCCTTTACTGGTGAATTTTGGACATGGTTATTTGTTGTGGTGGGGAGCTGGAAGAAATCTGGAATCCCAGCACTGGGAAAATGGATAGTTTACAAGGCAGGTCATGGAACATATACTGCAGTTAGAAGCAATGACACAGATATCCCTTTAGCTATGTGAAGAAAGTAAGAAACAGAATGAGATATGTTTATGTAAGATAAAAATGCATATATACAAAACAAGAATACACATTTTGCAGGAACACACACAAAAATACATTAAAAACTTTTTTTTTTTGAGATGGAGTCTCACTCCATCGCCCAAGCTGGAGTGCAGTGGCGCAATCTCAGCTCACTGTAACCTCCACCTCCCCGGTTCAAGCAATTCTTCTGCCTCAGCCTGCCAAGTAGCTGGGACCAGAGGAGCATGCCACCACACCCATCTAATTTTTGTATTTTTGGCAGAGATGGGGTTTCACCATGTTGGCCAGGATGGTCTCAATCTCTTGACCTCATGATCCACTCCCTCAGCCTCCCAAAGGGAAACTTTTTAGAATTGTTCCATGTGGCAGGGAGGGGAATAATGGTGTTGATTAGGACAAAAGAAAACAGGAGAGAGGAAGAAAAAAGAAAAAGCAGTATGCATGAAGATATTCTATACACAAATATATACACAAAATTGAGACACAACACACATTTATAGTCATACAAAAGTGATTATGGTATATCCATTAGAGAGATTGTTAAGATTACATAGAAACTTTGTAAATACTTGTTATGTATGATGTTAGATTTCAAAAAACAAGAGACAAATGATGTCGCAAAATGAATATGACTTTTATAAGGGAAGAGAGTGCCTACATACACACACACACACACACACAAATATATATATATATGAGAAAAAAGATCTTGGCCAGGCACTGTGGCTCATGCCTGTAATCCCAGCACTTTCAGAGGTCGAGGCAGGAGGATTGCTTGAGCTCACGAGTTCAAGACCAGCTTGGGCAACATGATGAAACCCCATCTCTACACAAAATACAAAAATTAGCTAGGAATGGTGGTACACACCTGTACTCCCAGCTACTTAGGAGGTTAAGGAGGGAGGATCACCTGAGCCTGGGAGTCGAGGCTGCAGTGAGCCGTGATCATGCCACCGCAATCCAGCCTGGGCAACAGGGTGAGACCCTGTCTCAAAAAAAAAAAAAAATCAGAAGAGAAAATTAAAATGCTACAAATGGTAGTATTAAAATGTTGTGATTATGAATAATTGTTTCCCTTTTTCTATTTACTCTATGTTTATGTTTTTATAATGTTGATACCCATGCCCTCTGTTTCATGATTTCTTTGTCATTCATATCCTGCTTTTCTTTTTTTAAACAGTATACTAATCATTTGCAAACAAATACAGAAAAAGAGCAAGTTTTTAACCTGCACTTAAGTGAATCTAGACAATTCACAGCTCTCCAAACAGACTGCAACGTTGGTAAATTCATCAGTTATCAGCAGGTTGAATCCTAGCTTCCATTTTGTAGTGTGACATAATTCTGAATTATGGATCTCCATAGTGAAGGATGCCTTCGTTCTCCTGCTTAATGCAGATGAAGATCTTTGGAGTACTTTAAGATTTGGAATTGTGTTTATAGGAACCTTAAGGTTAGAACTTGAAATAATTATATTGAAAAATTGAATCTGTGCCCACAGTTACTGCGGCCACTCATATAGAAATTTTACTGTGTCCTCAGGGCTAGGTCAGTTTGGGGAGGAAGTGGGGAGTAGTTTGTTTTATTCCTTTTTCCTTTCTCTTTTAACTTTTTATGGTGGTTGTCTCCCTATTTTCATATGGATGATGTTAGCATAGAAACTTATTTTGAGAAATTGTGCTACAGCATCTTTGTTTTCATTCTTCACTGTTGATAATTCTAAATGTGAAAAAGAACCCTTTCAATGGGAAAAGATTAGCCTAATATTAAAGGGAAAGTGATCAGGGATGACTTCAGAATAGTCAAATATTCCAATTTTGTTTAGACCCAGAGCCAGGTCTATTTTGTCACTCTCTAGTTTAAATTTCAATCGTTATTTGCGGAGATGTATAAAGTATGCATTATGAATGAAGACAAAACCGTGGAATTTAATTTGCCAAGGGATCCTTTCACAGAAGCTATACATAGCTCCAGACATCAACTTTAGCCCAGCAAGGAATCCCCAGAGAGAAGAAATAAATCTCAAATATTGTTCACAGATGTGCAGTAATCAGAAACCACCCATATAATAAAGAAGTGCTCAGATTTTTTCTTTATCCTTCTAATTTTTTTCCCTATGTCTCTTTCTATGTTACTCTCACTTGTTCCTCTCTCTTAAGACATATAATGAAAGGATGTCTCTGGGTCTTATCAGACATCTATGGTTTTCCTTTCCCTCCATAACTGTCAGAAAAAAGAAAGTGGATAGTAGTTATCTGTAAAGTATCCTGTATTTCACCTTTATTATCTGTATGCTACACTATCCTAGATCTAACCCCTTGACAGTAATAAAGAGAAAATCTTTTTAAGGAATTGATCTACATTGCTGCTTATTCTTCACCGCAGGATGTGATCCTTTCATTTATTACAGAATAATCGTCCTTATGCCAAAGTGTATGATGCAATATGCTGAAAGCATATTCTGAGCTATTTATCAGAATTAATGGCAGTGAGGCACATGGAGGAGATTTGAGTGTCCTGCAAGGATAGCGGACAGGGAAGGGCTTAGGTCAGTTTAGCTCCTGGCCACTCAAAGAACCATAATGGCATGTTGCATTTAAGCAGATCACTCAGTGAGATCAAAGAAATGGCTGCCATTTCATTCTCCTTCATAGAGTGTTTTTAATGAGGGGAACTTTGTTGAGAGACAAGGACGATGGAAAGAGTTTGAGCTTTGAAGTCAGACAGACTTGGGTTTGAATTCAACCCAATTATCTACCATTATCTACTATGGTGTGACCCTGGGAAAAAACTTGAGTCTGTCTTTCTCAGTTTGCTCACCTCCTCTAAAGTGTTGGGGGAACAGGGGCGGCGGGGAGGGTGGAGGTGGGCAGGAGGCAATAACACCTACCATGAAGGATTGTTCTGAAAAGTTAAATAGAGACTCTAGGACAGAGCAGGCACAAAGCTGGCATTTAATAAGTAAATATTAAAATTTTTTAAACTATGTTTTATAGCCCATGTGAACAATATTGATAATAATAGCTTTGAGCAGTAATTCTCAAAGCTTGTTTTGAGGGAACCCTGGAAGTTCTGATAATTTTATAACAATACAAAGATGTTATTTGTCTTTTTCTAAGTCATTCTTTTACAAGTGTATAGCAGAATTTTCAAAGGCTACAAGATATGTGATACTACAATAGATTGAATGCAGAAGCAAACAAGAGAATCAAGCTATCTTGGAATAAGCGAAACATTAAAAACATTTACATACATGTAAAACAAGGCTACTCTATTTACCATGATACTTTTAGAAAATACAGTTATTCCAGCCTGGGCAACATGGCAAAACCCCATTTCTACAAAAAATACAGAAACTAGCCAGGTGTGGTGGCACATGCCTGTAGTCCCAGCTACTTGAGAGGCTGAGGTGGGAAGACCACCTGAGCCAGGGAGGTCGAGGCTGCAGTGAGCTGTGATCACGCCCCTGCACTCCAGCCTAGGAGACAGAATGAGACCAAGAAAGGAAGAAAGAAAGAAAGAAAGGAAGAAAGAAGGAAGGAAGAAAGGAAGGAAGGAAGGAAGGAAATAGAGTTATTTTTCATAAAATTGTTATGTATACTACCAAGTAGTGAGTGGTCTTAGTGTATGATGTGTGTATTTGTGTACTGGTTTAATGTAAAAAGTATTACAGTGGTCATAATTAAACTTTTGAAAAACCCTAGTTTAAAGCATGGCCTCAGAGTTGTGTGCACAGGTGAGGGGGTACAGTTCTGACAATGACGGAGTGCCTTACATTGATCACGTAATGTATATCAGACTAATTCTCCCTCAAAAAGAAATATAGGCGAAGAACAGTGGCTCACACTTGTAATCCCAGAGCTTTAGGAGGCCAAGGTGGGCAGATCGCTTGAGCCCAGGAGTTTGAGACCAGCCTAGGCAACATGGTGAAACCCTGTCTCTACAAAAAAATACAAAAATTAGCTGGGCATGGTGGCATGCAGCTGTAGTCCCAACTACTTGGGAGGCTGAGGTGGGAGGATCACTTGAGCCTGTGAGGTGGAGGCTGTAGTGAGCTATGAACATGCCACTGCACTCCAGCCTTGGCAACAGAGCAAGACTGTCTCAATTGAAAAAAAAAATGAAATTATAAAGTTTGGATAAAGTCATTTTTAAAAGGTTTAAAGGCCTGGAGAACAATAGAAGAACAGGCAGATTCCACATTTATATGGATTTTCCCTTGCAGGCTCTCCTTAGTCTACTTGGCTCAGGGCAACTAGACTCAAGGAGAAAGCTTCAGGGTTCTTGGACTGAGAAGCAAGAAAATAGAGTTTGGGACAACTGAGAGTGTAAAAATTGAGGAGTTAATTCTTAAAAGGAGAGAGCCACAGAGAAGGAAATCCCAAAATCTATATATAAATTTACCCCAACTCTTTGACTAACCCCAAAACAGTACATGTGCAAGTGAGACCCCAAAGATTCTAGTAGGAAAACAATATCATCCAGAGGTCTGAAACAGCTGAGCAGAGTTTTGCCATACTCTGAACCTGGCTACTCTTCACCACAGGGGAAACAGAATTCAGAGTTCACATGTTACCAAGTTAGATGGATTTGGTAAATACCCTGGGCGACCCATTGAAACCTCTGAAGGGCCACGCCTTAGGAGTAAAAACTGTCTCAAGAGGGATTCAATCTAAGATTAAGAAAATGCTGAAATAGAACTGCCATAAGGAAGTGCAAAACCAAATATCCATAAGTTCAAGGTGATCTGTCAGTAATTTAACTGCCTGCTGCAAGAAAAAGCATCACTCTTCCAAAAAAAAGAAAGAATCCATATTCTATATACTATATCAACATATTTACAGTGTTAGTATACAATAAAAAATAATTTGACAAGTAAAGAAATAAGATGGTCAAGAGAGCAATCAATCAATAGAAACAGACCCTCAGATAATTTAGATATTAGAATTTGCAGGTGAGGATTTTAAAATAATTATGGTAAACGTATTAAATGGTCTACAGGAAAATATTAATAAAATGAGTGAAGATATAGAAAATTTCAGAAAAGACATAGAAACCATTAAAAAAGAATCAAATGAAAGTTCTAGATCTGGGAAATTATAATAGCTATAATTCAAAAGTCATGGAATGGGATAACAATTGATTGGATATAACAGAAGAAAGAATTAGTAAATTTGAAGACAGGTCAACAGAAATCATCTAAACTAAAGCACAGAGAAAAAAAAGATTGAGAATAAATCAACAGAGTCCCAGTGGCCTATGGGACAGCATTAAGCAGTCTAATATATATGTATTTAGAGTCCCAGAAAAGAATAAAAAGATCCAAAATACATTTGAAGAAATATTGACTAAAAATTTTCAAAATTTGACAAGAAAAACCAGAACAAAATAGCAACTCAAAAAAATATAAAAAACTCAGTGAATTGCAAGCAGAATAAATACAAAGAAAACCACATCTGGGCACATGACAGACAAACTTATAAAGGCCAGATATTATACAGATAGACACAGACAAACTGGTAGATCTTAAAGCATGACTCTGCAAAAGATGGAATT
Organism: Homo sapiens; assembly: GCF_000001405.40. Taxonomy (NCBI): domain Eukaryota; kingdom Metazoa; phylum Chordata; class Mammalia; order Primates; family Hominidae; genus Homo; species Homo sapiens. The sequence goes on along the minus strand of NC_000010.11, from coordinate 125,389,232 downwards.
GTGTTGGTTCAAATTCTGGCTCTACCACTCATCAGCTGTGAAAATATGGGTACATTACCTTATATTTCTATACTTTAATTTTCTTATCTAAGAAATGAGAATAATAATGTTAACTTTTTTAGGTTTTTCTGAGAATCAAATGAGTTAATTAGTATAAAGAGTTTAGTACAATATCTGGCATATAACAAGTGCTCAGCAAATGTAATCTATTAATATTTAACATTCTTCTGTAATTGTTGGTCATTACTATTAGACAAGGGAAATAAATAAAATTTATAAATGCTAGAAAGGGGGGAGGCAAAAATAATTATTTTCAGATATGATTGTGACTCACATCAACCAAAAACTTAATAGAAACAATAATACAGCTTACTAAGGGTTCTAATTTAAAATTAATATATAGATAACTTATATAGTCAATAACCTGTTAAAAATATGATTTAAAGAAATATAAGGCCAGGTGCGGTGGCTCATGCCTGTAATCCCAGCACTTTGGGAGGCTGAGGTGGGTGGATCACCTGAGGTTGGGAGCTCGAGACCAGCCTGACCAACATGGAGAAACCCCATCTCTACTAAAAATACAAAATTAGCTGGGTGTGGTGGCGCATACCTGTAATCCCAGCTACTTGGGAGGCTGAGGCAGGAGAATTGCTTGAAGCCAGGAGGTGGAGGTTGCAGTGAGCCGAGATCGTGCCATTGCACTCCAGCCTGGGCAACAAGAGCAAAACTCCATCTCAAAAAAAAAAAAAAAAAAGAAAGAAAAAGAAATATAATGGGAAATCCACTATAGTACCAAAAATACAGTACACCTAAGAATAAAGTAGATGAAGAGCACATAAGATGCACATAAATAAAATTGTAAAACTCCACTGAAGAGCATAAAAATTATTTTTAAAATAGAGAAACATATTTTATCTTAGGGGGAAACATTCAATATTTCATTCTAAATCAAACTAGAATTCAATAGTCTCAGTCAGATGTCAACAGAACATTTTTTGGAACTTGACAGAATAATTCTAGAGCTTATCTGGAAGAACTAACTTCTGAGAATAATATGAAAAATTCCAAAATAGAAGAATAATGGCAAAGCACTTGCCCTGGCAAACAGCCTGTCCTGGTAAGAGCAATAATCAGACGAGTGAAATGGAATAGAAGGTATACATGCAAACCTGAGGTTAGAAAAGAAAATAGTATTGAAGGATGATGCCTAAAATCAATGGAAGAAGATGAATCGCTCATCAATGGATGACATGGGAAATTTTGCTAGTCATTTGTAACTCTACCTCAATCCTTACACCATAATAAATTGCAGGTGTATCAAATGGTTCAATGTAAAATTGTAACTATAACTGTAGAGCTGTTAGTATAAAGCAGTGGGGAATAGTTTCGTGTTCTTAGAATAGAGCCCTTCTCAATGTAAATACCAAGGCCAAAAAACTATTAAGAGATAAGGTTGAAAATTTTATTATATAAAAACATTTAAGTTTATTCATGAAAAAAGACACCATAAATAAGATCAAAGACAGACTATAAACTGGAAAAAATTGTTAAGATATATGACAAAGGGTTAATATTATTAATTTACAAATATGACAATTTCAAACAAGGCATATCAAACAGAAAAATGGGCAAAAGACTGGAATAGGTTAGTTACAAAAGCATAAATGGCTTTTAAACCTAAAAATTCAGCTCACAAATGCTTAAAGGAATGATAATTAAAACTACTGTAAATATTTTCCTATATCAAATTGGCAAAGACTTAAAAGGGTGATAAAACATAACATAGGCAAGAGTGTGGATTAACAGGCACTTTCATCTTCAGTTAATGGGAGTACAAATTGCTAAAACCTTGTTGCACAGGAATTTGGTGATAACTATCAAGCTGTAAGAATAGCAATGATTACTGTTGTCTTTTATTGGCTTTAATGGGCATTACCTCTAGTGTTTTATCAAGAAGCAGAATATTGGTATTGTTTTGTGTGATGTAATGAACACACACACCACACAAACACATAAAATTTTATCTAGGAAGTATCCATTTATTTCTATTTTACTATGGGGTTTTTAGAAATAAGGAACAGATATTGAAATTTATTAAATGAGTTTGGAATCTAGTGAGAGTATATGATAGAATACATGAATAGAGTTCTCTATATTAAGCCATCTTTACTCGTCTTTACTAAGAACTTCTTTTGGCCATTATTTCTTTAATATTTCACATTAAATAGGACATATATAAGATATATATATATACTAAATATCCATATGAATGTTCTATATTTCAATAGGAGATGCTGATTTTTACGTGAGTATTGAGATCAGCCTACTCATTGTCTGTCAGTGGACTGATTAGTTTTTTTCCATGCTCTCTTTATAATTTCTGGCTTTCTAACAAGATTTTAGAAGTTTTCCTTATTTCTCTGCTCTGGAAGAGCTGATGAAGCACAGGAATTATCTGTTCCTTGAAGGTTTGGGTGATTTGTCCCTGAAGCTCTCTGGGTTTTAGAACTTTGCAGTTTAAGATCTCTGTAACAACTTCCTCAGCCCTTTCCTTGGCTAGGAGCCTATTTGGATTTTCTAATTATCTTTCAGTTGGTTATAGTCTTACGTATTTTTCTTGAAAGTCATTTATTTCATTTTTTTATTCAAGTTGATTAGCAGAAAATTAAACAAAATACTACCTTAGAATCCTTCCCATTTATCAATATCTATGCTTAGTTTGCCTGTGTGAATCCTAGTTTTGTATATTTGGGCTTTCTCTCTTAGTTCTTGACTAATCTAGCTGGTAGATTCACACATGACATTAATTTTTCCCACAAAGAACTGTATCTTGTGTTTATTAATTATATCATTTTCTAATTTATTAATTTCTAATGTATCTGTCATTTACTTCTTCATTCCTAAAATTTATGAATTACTTTTTTAAAAATAGACTTTTTGAGCACAGTCTTAGTGTCACAGCAAAACTGAGCAGAAAATACAGTTTCTTTTAATTACTGGATTTGGTTGCTTGGATCATGTTTTTCTCCCTTTTTTATTTAATAAAGTGCTTAATGGAAAATGTCCTTAAGTCCAACTTTTGCTATATCTCAAAGGTTTTGAAGTCATATTTTTATTGTAGCTATTTCTAGATATGTTATCTAGAGTTACAAGTTTTATTTACTTTTTTGTTCAAAAAATACATCACACAGGAAGGTTTTGGTTTGATTTGCAGGGTTTCGAGGATTTGTTACTTTTCCACTTTTGTTATTAGCTCCAAGACTGAGTGTTTGTCAGAGACTGTCACAGTTTTTTCTTCTTTAGAGAACACAATAAGTTTTTATTATGGTTTAATTGTAAAAATGTGTACATGTATCATTACCACTGGCACTGTTAAAGGTGTGCTGTGTATATAATATCAATTAGATCTATCCTGTTAATTATATTATTCAGACTTTCTCATACTGATTTGTTTCCTATTTGGTCACTAAAGAGAAATTTAAAGTCTTTCATTACAACTTTATTTCTATTTGTTTTGTCCTGAATTTCTAGAGAATTTGCTTTATGTAGTTCAATGAAATTTATTATTTAGTTAATAAAGATTATGATAATTTTATCTTAGCTACACAACTCTTTGTGTCAGAAAAAACCCTTACCTTGCAAGTGATAAAAAACTCAACTCAAACTTTTTGAGAGAGAGCCAGCATGGCTGACTAGACACAGCCAGGAAGAGCCTCTCCCACTGAAACAGACCAGACCATCGAGTAAAACAGCACACTCTGAACAGATCTTCAGAAAGAAAGCATTGAGCATGGACAGAGAGAGGACACACACGCTGGGCTAAAAGGGGAGAAAGCTAGGAACCCTATACAGGATGACCAAGCACCAAGACTCATTCCTGGATCTGAGCAGCTCCTAAGGAAGGGATGAGTGATATACACATGGAGTGGCTAATTCTTTCCATGGACCTCCAGGATCCTAGCTGTGGGAGACCCCCACAACCACCACAGACATCTGCCTGGAGTGTTGGCAGAGACAGAACTCTGGAGAGTTAGCAGAGAGAGAACTCCAGCCTGCACAGAGCCCAGAGGTGGAGGAATGACTGCAGTGGAGCACAGCTATGAGTGCCCACCCCCGCAAGGCCCACCATACTCCTCTAGGCAGCTCTAGCCTTTGTTGGCTGCCAGACCTGGGCAGAGCATGGCTGTCTTGCCCATGGGAAAAAAAACAGTCTGATCTGAGCATCCCTCTGTCTGCCAGCCTCTCCAAGGGTTCCTGCCTGGCTGCACCTACTTGCAGTGCAGCCTCAGCTTGCCAGCAGTCACTGCCATAGCTCTTTTACCAGCGGACTCCACCTAACCATTGGGATGCTTTTGCAGACAGACTTCTGCCAGCATGCACCTGCTCACAGCCCTCCCCCACCAGTGTGGACTCACTTGCAGCCTTCCCTTACAGCCCCCTGCCTCATTGGCACACATGTGCATGGACCTCCCCCCACCACTCCTCCAACCAGCACACACATCCATGGGGGTCTGCCGATGTCCTGCTGGAGTGCTTTTTCCAACAGCCCCCATCTGAGTGCTGTTGCTAGTGGACTGGGAACAACTGAGTCCCTCCAGTACAGCAGGTGCTTAACCTAAAGGGGCCAGAGAACAAAGCTCTAGGCATAGTCCTAGCACCCCAGGGTTGGAACACATAGCCCAGGAGTGCTGAGCTGAGCCTTGGCCCTCTGAGAGCATCCAGAAACAAAGCCAATTGACTAAACCCCACTTATACCACAGCAAAACCTTCAAGGGCATCAGAGGATATAAAACCAAAAAGCCCCAACCAAAAGATAGCAACTTCAAAGATTAAAGGAACATCAGCCTACATAGACGAGAAAGAGCCAGTGCAAGAACTCTGGCAACTCTAAAAGCCAGAGTGTCTTCTTACCTCCAAATGACTGCACTAGCTCCCCATCAATGGTTTTTAACCAGACTGAAATGGCAGACATAGAATTCAAAATCTAGATGGCAAGGAAGCTCATCAACATATAGAAGAAGGCTGAACCCCAATCCAAGGAACACAGTAAAACGGTCCAAGATTTGAAAGATGACATAGCCATTTTAAGAAAGAACCAAACTGAACTTCTGAAAATGAAAAATTCACTGCAGGAATTTCAGAATGCAGTTGGAAGCATTAATAACAGAATAGACCAAGCTGAGGAAAGAATCTCAGAGCTCAAAATCTGCTCCTTAGAGTCAATGCAGGCAGACAAAAATAAAGGAAAAGAACTTCTAAAAATGAACAAAAACTCCAAGAAATATGAGATTATATAAAGAGACTAAACCTATGAATCATTGGCATTCTTGAAAGAGATACAGAAAGAACAAGCAACTTGGAAAACATATTTGAGGATATTGTCCATGAAAATTTCCCCAACCTCACAAGAGAGGTTGACATGTAAATTCAGGAAACTCAGAGAACCCTTGTGAGATACTATACCAGGCAAACATCCCCAAGACATCTTAAAGGCAGCTAGAGAGAAGGGGCAAGTCACATAGAAAGGGAACCCCATCAGGCTAACAGTGAACCTTTCAGCAGGAACCTTACAAGTCAGAAGAGATTAAGGGCCTATATTCAGCACCCTTAAAGCAAAGAAATTCCAACCAAGAATGTCAGGTCCAGTCAAATTGAGCTTCATAAGTGGAGGAGAAATAAACTCCTTTTTAGACAAACGAACACTAAGGGAATTTGTTACCACCAGACTTGCCTAAGTACCTAAGGGTACCTAGGTACCTAACACTTCCTAAGAGGTACTTAGGAAGTGTTAAACATGGAAATGAATGACCAGTACCTGCCACCACAAAAACACACTTAAGTACCACAGCCTACTGACACTATAAAACACTATGTAATCAAGTCTACATAACAACCAGCTAACAACAGGATGACAGGATCAAATCCTCACATATCAATATTAACCTTGAATGTAAGTGAGCTAAATGTCACACTTAGAAGACACAGAGTAACAAGTTGGATAAAGAAGCAAGACCTAACTGTATGTTGTCTTCAAGAGACCCATCTCACATTCAATGACATATATAGTCTCAAAGTAAAGGGATAAAAAAAAAATCTATCAAACAAACAGAAAACAAAACAGAGCAAGGGTTACTTTCTTATTTCAGACAAAACAGACTTAAAATCAACAATGATCAAAAAGGACAAAAAAGGGTATTACATAATGACAAACAAGAAGTCTTCTTAAACAAAAAGACTTAAATATCCTAAATATATATGCCTCCAACACTGGAATACCCAGATTCATTTTTAAAAGTTCTAGGCCAGGTGTGGTGGCTCACACCTATAATCCCAGCACTTTGGGAGGCTGAGGCGGGTGGATCACCTGAGGTCAGTAGTTCAAGACCAGCCTGGCCAACATGGTGAAACCCCATCTCTACTAAAAATACAAAAAAATTAGCTGGGCGTAGTGGTACACACCTATAATCCCAGCTACTTGGGAGGCTGAGGCAGGAGAATTGCTTAAACCCAAGAGGCAGAGGTTGCAGTGAGCCGAGATCGCGCCATTGCACTCCAGCCTGGGCAATAAGAGCGAGACTCCATCTAAAAAAAAAAAGTTCTTAGAGACCTATGAAGAGACTTAGATAACCACACAATAACAGTAGGAGACCTCAACACCCCACTGACAGTGTTAGACAGATCGTTGAGGCAGAAAACTAACAAAGATATTTGAGACCCAAACTTGACACTTGACCAAATGGACCTAACCAACATCTATAGACTACTCCACTCAGCAACAATAGAATATTCATTCTTCTCAACTACACATAGAACATACTCTAATATCAGCCACATGCTCAGCCATAAAGCAATTCTAAACAAATTTTTAAAAAATGAAATTATACCAACCACACTGTCAGACCACAGCACAATAAAAATAGAAACCAATAACAAGAAGATCTCTCAAAACCATACAATTACATGGAAATTAAACAGCCTACTCCTGAATGACTTCTGGGTAAAGAATGAAATTAAGACAGAAATAAAAAAAACTCTTTGAAACTAATGAAAACAAAGACCCAACATATCAGAATCTCTGAGACACCACTAAAGTAGTGTTAAGAGGAAAGCTTAAAGTGCTAAACGCATATATCAAGATGTTAGAAAGATCTCAAATTAATGACCTAACGTCACACCTAGAGGAACTAGATAAACAAGAGCAAGTCAACCCCAAAGCTAGCAGAAGAAAAAATAACCCAAATAAGAGCTGAACTGAACAAAATTGAGTCATGAAAATTTATACAAAAAATCAAAGAAGCCAAAAATTGGTTTTTTGAAAGAATAATAAGATGGATAGACCACTAGCTAGATTAATAAAGAAAAAGAGAGACGATCCAAATAAATACAATCAGAAATGACAAGGTGACATCATCTCACCAATCCCACAGAAATACGAAAAACCCTCAGAAACTATTATAAACACCTCTTATGCACATAAACTAGAAAACCTAGAAGAAATGGATAAATCCCTAGAAACATACAACCTCCCAAAATTGAACCAGGAAGAAACTGAAGTCCTGAATGTCTAGACCAATATCAAGTTCCAAAATTGAATTGGTAATTAAAAAACTTCCCAACCAAAAAAAGCCCTGGAACAGATGTATTCACAGCCAAATTCTACCAGATGTATAAAGAGCTAGTACCAATTCTACTGAAATTATTACAAAAAATTGAGGAGGAGGGATTCTTCCCTAACTCATTCTATGAGGCCAGCATCATTCTGATATCAAAACCTGGCAAAGACAAAATGAAAAAAGAAAACTTCAGGCCAGTATCCCTGATGAACATAGACGCAAAAATCATCAACAAAATACTAGCAAATTGAATCCAGCAGCACATCAAAAGGCTAATCCACCACAATCCAGTAGGCTTTATTCTTGGGATGCAAGATTGGTTCAGCATATGCAAATGAATACATGGATTCATCACATAAACAGAACAAAAACAAAAACTACATGATTATTTCAATAGATGCAGAAAAGGTTTTTGATAAAACTCAACATCTCTTCATGATTAAAAAGCCCTCAATGCACTAGACAGCAAAGGAACATACCTCAAAATAATAAGAGCCATCTATGACAAACCCACAGCCAACATCATACTGAAAGGGCAAAACCTGGAATGGAAGCATTCCTCCTGAGAACCGGAACAAAATAAGGGTGCTCACTCTCACCATTCTTATTCAACATTGTACTGGAAGTCACAGGCACAACAATCAGTCAAAAAATAAATAAATAAATAAATAAATAAATAAAAGGTATCCAAATAGGAAGAGAGTAAGTCAAACTCTCTCTCCACAGGCAATATGATTCTATACCTAGAAAACCCTATAGTCTCTGCCCAAAGGCTCCTAGAACTGATAAGCAACTTCAGTAAAGTTTCAGGATACAAAATCAAGGTACAAAATCAATAGCATTTCTATACACCAATAACCTTCAAGCTGAGAGCCAAATCAAGAATGCAATCCCATTCACAATAGACACAAAAAGAACAAAATACCTAGGAATACAGCTAACCAGGGAGGTGAAACATCTCTACAATGAGAATTCTGAAACACTGCTGAAAGAAATCAGAGATGACACAAACAAGTGGAAAAACATTCTATGCTCATGGACAGGAAGAATCAATATTACTAAAATGGCCATAGCAATTTATAGATTCAATGCTATGCCTATCAAACTACTAATGTCATTTTCACAGAATTCAAAAAACAACTATTCTAAACTTTATATGAAACCAACAAACCCTGAATAGCCAAGGAAATTCTAAGCAAAAAGAACAAAGCTGGCTTCAAACTATATTACAAGGCTACAGTAACCAAAACAACATGATACTGGTACAAAAACAGACACATAGACCAATGGAACAGGATAGAGAACCCGAAATAATACCATACACCTGCAACCATCTGATCTTTGACAAAGTCAACAATAACAAGCAATAGGGAAAGCACTCCCTTTTCGATAAATGGTGCTGGGATAACTGGCTAGTCACATGCAGAAGATTGAAATGGGACCCCTTCATTTCAACATATACAAAAATCAACTCCAGATGAATAAAAGACTTAAATGTAAGAACTAAAACTATAAAAATCCTAGAGAAAAACATAGGACATACCATTCTGGACGTAGACCTTGGCTAAGATTTCATAATGAAGTCTCCAAAAGCAAATGCCACAAAAACAAAAATAGATGAGTGGGACCTAATTAAGCTAGAGAGCTTCAGCACAGGAAAAAGAAAACTAGTGACAGAGTAAACAGGCACTACAGAATGGGAGAAAATATTTGCAAATTATGCGTCTGACAAAGGTCAGATATTCAGAATCTATAAAGAACTTAAACAAATCAACAAGCAAAAAACAACCCCATTAAAAATGGGCAAAGGACATGAACAGGCACTTCTCAAAAGAAGACATACAGACGGCAAACAAGCATATGAAAAAATACTCAACATCACAAATCACTAGAGAAATGCAAATCAAAACCGCAATGAGATACCATTGTGCACCAGTCAAAATGGCTATTATTAAAAAGTCAGGCTGGGCATAGTGGTTCATGCCTGTAATTCTAGTACTTTGGGAGGCCAAGGCATGAGGATCGCTTGAGCCCAGGAGTTCAAGACCAGCCTGGTCAACATGGCAAATCTCTGTTCCTACAAAACATTTAAAAATTAGCCAGCATAATGGCATGCATCCATGGTGCCAGCTACTTAAGAGGCCAAGGCAGGAGGATTACCTGAACACAGGAGGTTAACGTTGCAGTGAGCCATGTTTGCACCAGCGCACTCCAGCCTGGGCAACAGTGAGATCCAGTCTCAAAAAACAAAAACAAGAAAAGCGAATGCTTACACACTGCTGGTGGGGATATAAATTAGTTCAGCTACTTTGGAAAGCAGTTTGGAGATTGCTCAAAGAACTTAAAATAGATCTACCATTCGACCCAGCAATCCCATTACTGGGTATATACCAGAGGAATATAAATCATTCTACCAAAAACACATGCATGCATATGTTCATCACAGCACAATTCTTAATAGGAAAGACATGGAATCAACCTAGATGCCTATCAACAGTGGATTGGATAAAGAAAATGTGGTACATATACACCATGGAATACTATGCAGCCGTAGAAAAGAACAAAATCATGTCCTTTGCAGCAACATGGATGCAGCTGGACGCCTCTATCCTAAGCAAATTAATGTAGGAACAAAAAACCAAATGCCACATGTTCTCACTTATAGGTGGGAGCTAAACACTGAGTACACATGAACACATTATGGGAACGACAGACACCAGGGCCTTCTTGAGAGTGGAGGGTGGGAAGAGGTGAAAGTCAAAAAACTACCTATCCAGTAGTACGCTCACTACCAGGGTTTGTACACCAAACCCCAGAAACACACAATTTTCTCCTGTAATGAATCTGTACATGCACCTCCTGAACCTAAAATAAAAGATGAAAAAAGAGAACTTGTTGAAACAATAATAGAATTTACTAGTTCTTGTAACTAACAAAATAAGCTTTAGATTAGGCTTGATCCAGCAGCCCCAAATAATGCTACCAAGAACTTCATTTTTCTTTCTCTTTCTACTCTGTCTTTTTGGGCATCTGCATATATTGTTTTGAGGCCCATCCAAAAGCTAAAAAGAGTTTATTGCCACCCCAAGACATATGGCTAATAGTGGGAGAATGGTAACCTCTCAAAGGGGAATCAGGATACTATTGAGGGAATCGCTTCTGGAAAAGCAACCAACAAATGTCCATGCACCACCTTCATAAGGTAGTTGCTTCATTCAATGCCTTTCTCCTTAAAATCTCCTTTATTTGATAGTCATGCTACAGCTTGCTTCATTTCTTTTTTTTTTTTTCATTCTGCTTGTCTTATCTTTGCCCATCCTATGTAGTGTGTTTCAATATATTTATCTATTTGTGTCATTTAGAAATGAAACCACATCCATTGATTCACCCTCATGAATGATATGTCTAAACTCTCTCTCTGTTCACTCCTGCCCTGCATGAGGCAGCTAACATTTTTTCCTGGTAACTCTCAGGCTCATTGTTGACCTTTATACCCTTGCCATGTGTGAGTGCTCATGCTTGTGATGCCCTGTCTCCTAATTCTCCACCCCTGTGTTCAGACAAGCCCCAATTACTGTCACAGCCATCACTGTCCTATCTATGTGTCCATGAACCTCTGCCCACTTACTGCCACTGAGACCATTATACTTCTTGATGTTGCCCCTTTAGTTCCAACCCCTTTTACTGTCTAAGGGCCCTTTTAATTTTATTTCCACAAAGTTAATTTCTACCACTCCTGCCTGCACTCACGTTTTCTTCCCAAAAGGTTGATTTCAAGCCTCTAGTGCTATAGCAGAGGCTGTGTCCTGCCCATGGTCCCCCATTCCCCAACTTTCACCTCTAGAAGCCAAAGGAGGCTTGCTGCAAATGCTGCAATGTTCTCCCTGCAAGCTTCATCTCTGGCCAGCAAGGGGCTGAGCTATGGACAGGAAAAGCCAAACATTTTAAAGAGGGATGCCCAGAAAGCAGCTTCATCCACTGATATGGGAGCCCATGGCTGGGATAACATAGGCATTTCTTCACTTTCTGCTAAAGGTCCCAGGGGGATGGAGCTCACCACAGACACTGACTCATTAATTCATCCCTTTTTGGCTTTCCTCCTGTCCTATCTCACTTCCCCATGCCACTGCCAGTATATCCTGGAATCACCTCCCAAACCAAGCTACATAGGCCTTGAATCTTTGTCTCAGGGTCTCCTTCTGGGGGAACCCAAACCAAGACAGACCCCAAAGATAAGAACAACACTATTTTATGTTTTGCCATGAAAAACTTAAGTTAAAGTATTCAGTGAATAATGAATATGTCTCTTTAACTTCTAAGTACAGTAGCCCTACTGATAATTACAGCTTATTTGATATAAGCTCAATTGAACGCAATGTCGACCACCTTCTATGTGCAATGTGCTGAGCTAGGTGCCAGTGATGGAGACAGAGGATTAGCAAGCATCAGGTCCACCCACAAAGGGCTTAGAAGGAGAAGGAGTTAAGTCATTTACATAAATCCCTTTGATTCCTGAGAGTGTTATTAGTGTGGAAGGTGATAGAAGCACCTTTTCTTTTGAAAATCTGTTGTTTTTTATATAAGACCTTAGGAGACTTTAATTCTAATCACTTCCTCCAGATATCGGTGCTATTTTATAAATGTTCTTATTTATCTTTAACCAATGGAATTCCTAATATTGTTTTACACAGGTTATGTCTGTTTAGTTGCACATATTCTCCTCCCTCTGCTTCCTCCTGCATCTCAAGGTAAGATCTCATGGATTCCATCCATCTGGAGCACATTCCTTTGGCCTAGAGTCCATATTTTAGAACTTCCTTTAGTTAGAGGTCTACTGCTAGCAAAGTGTCTCAGTTTTCTCAGAAGATACTTCAGTTGGTAAATTATTCTAGGTTGATAGTTATTTTCACCTAGTATAGTGAGGATGTCATTCCACTCTGTTTGGGTTTTTGCTGTTCCTGTTGGGAAGTCAGCGTTCAGCCTAATTATTCTTTTGAAGACAAGAGGGTAATTTATTTCCCTCTGGGATAGTTTTTGAGATAGTCTCTGTTCCTGGTGTTGCTCAGTTTCACTGTGGTGGGTCTAAGTTTAGGGCTTCCTTTTATCTATCTATCTTGTTTGGGATTCACTGGACTTAATCTGTGGATTGGCATCTGTCATGAGTTCTGGGAAATGACTGGTCATTGTTTCCTCAAACATTACCTCTGTGCCATTTTCGCTGTCTTCTCTTTACAAAACTCTGTTTGGACAGTTATGTTGGACCTTCTCATTCCTTTCTTCACATCACTTTATCACTCTTTCTCCTTTTCCATACCTTAATTTCTTTGTGCTTCACTGTGGGAAAGTGTTTAGACCTATCCTTAAGTTTATTAACTCTCAGCAGCTGCCTCTAATTGCTTTCCATTGAGTTTTTAATATTAATCACACTGTTTTTTATTTTTTAAATTATATTGTTTATTTTTCAAATCTGCTCAGTCATGATCTATAACCTATTATTCTTATTCATTTTATTCCTTTAAGCATATTAACCGTTCTTACATTCTCTATCTGGTAATTTCAACAACAAAAGTCTTTGGGGGACTGATTCTTCTCTATTTTTCTGTTGGCTTTCACTCTTGATTATACAAGATGTTTTCTTGTGTTTTTTATTATGTGTATATATTTTTTGGAACTGTATAAGTGTAGGTTATTTGAGATCTAAGTTGAAGGTGGATTTTCACAGGAGGATAGAGGCGGTTTGCTTCTGCCAAGCACCTGGGAAGATAACCAGCCTGGAACCATTTTAAATTCACTTGAGATGAATGAATTATTGCCTCAGTTAGAATGAATTTGGCTGCAAATCTGCATGGGGGCAGCCTGCACTTATGAGTTCCCATAGAGGCACACTACCCCCAAATGCAAGCATCTCATCTCCCAAAATGCAAGGAAATATATTGTTGAACCATTGTGCTGGTTCAACAATATATTTCCTTGCATTTTGGGAGATGAGAGAAAGGTGGTTTAATTTCCAGTTCACTCTTACATTGACAGTGTAACCTTTTAGAGCGAAGTTTCTCAACCTCATTATGACTGATATTTTGAGCCAGATAATTCGTTGTAGGAAGTTGTCTCATGCAGTGTAGGGTGTTTAGCAGCATCTTTGATCTCTACCCACTAGATGCCAGCAGCACCTTTCCAGTCATGACAATCAAAAATGTCTCCAGGCATTGCCAAATGTCCCCGGGAGGCAAAATCACCCCAGTGAAGAAACAACTACTGCTTTCAAGTACCAGCAGGGGTTCCCCTTTTACACTCCATCCTTGGGTAGATCTTGAGCCTTGTCTCCTGTTCCCATGGAATTATGAATATCAAAGTTCAAGGTTACCCTGTTCAGCAAAGTAGGTTGGAAAAACTGATCTACTTCAGTGCATCATTTCTTGTTGGCCTCTGAATATTCTATACTCATTTCCCGCTCATTGACACTTTGAAAAGGGATGTGTGTGTGTGTGCGCACACATGTGCATGTATGTATTTCAGGGTTTCTTGTCTGCCACATTACTGGGAACAGGAGCTCTTTTAACTTTTTTTATATCATTATATCCTTTTACCAAGTCCCCATTATCCTCGCTTTTATAAAATTTTTACTTTTAACAGGCAAATAATTACTATCAATGGTTGCCTGAAAAAAAAGAATGGTGAAATAGGAGCGAAATGACAAAATTACAGATAATTTCTTTTAATCAACATTTCTGCACCTCCTCCCATTATCAAGCTTTATAAGAATAGCTTTAAAATTACCAAAATTGAGTTTCAGTTTCTTCCCCTTTACTTTTCTGTTCTTTATCACTCACATCAGTGGAGTTCTGGAGGTGGCTCACACCTGCTCACGAGGGCTGACTGTGCACATGTCTCCCCAACTCCACAGTCAATGAAGCCATCTTGGAGGTTGAAATAGGCCATGTTGGGAATATTTACACCCTGGAAGTCAGCAAACACTACAAATCAGGTTTCTTGTTTCTCATAGAGCTGGTTGGCCAGCATGTAGCAGCACACCACAGTCACAAATGGACAAAACACAGATTATAAGAAAGACAGAACTTGCTCATTTCGTTTCTTGATAATTGACTCAAATGTGTATGTCCACCTCGGTTTTTTCTTTTATTAATGGGCTAAATTATGTTCCCCTCCTCACTACCAAATTCCTATGTTGAAGCCCTAACCGCAGTACCTCAGAATATGGCTGTACTTGGAGGTCAGGTCTTTAAAGAGGGAATTAAGTTAAAATGAGGTCATTAGGGTGGACCCTAACGCAATATGACTGCTGTCCTTATAAGAAGGGAAAATTAGGGCACAGACACACACAGCGGGAGAGTCATGTGCAGACACTGGGAGAAGACGGCAATCTACAAGCCAAAGAGAGAGGTCTCAGAAGGAATCAACCCTGCAAACACCTTGATCTTAGATGTCTAGCCTTCAAAATTGTAGGAAATAAATTTCTGTTGTTTAAGCCCCCCAGTCTGTGGTACTTTGTTATGGCAGCTCTCTGAAAGGAATGCATCTTTTTACCTTGATTTTTTTGTATTCCTAGTACACCGCCACACCCAGCATGCAATTCTGGGCCCAAGAGTACCTGCGATTGGAACATAGCACCAAGGAGGCAAAAATCATGGACTTATTCACAGGAAGGACAGGGAGAAAAATTATCTCCACGACTGCTGAATGCCTTTAACCTCAACTTGCAACTAGGCAAAGATGTTTGCCTAATCCAACCTGGTTGCCTAAGGCCAACCCAAGAGAAATCCTGACCGCCCATCAGTACTTCCTAAAAAAATGCCCTTAACATTCAGGCCCTGCTGGTGGTGATGTCATCTTCCTGAAGTCAGCATGTTCCATTTTTCGTAAGCATTATCATAACGTTTCCTGGCTGGAGTCTAGAATGCCAATTCTCTCTCTCATTGCTCTTGCTACGTCACTCCTAAAACCAGCTTGATGTGCCGTTGAAGACAAGATTCCAGTCTATCCTAATGACAGAGAAGAGAATTTCTCAAAACCTTGATTTTCTATGAGAAACTTTGAACTCTTCCTATTCATGCTTATTTATAATTTATTTGAATAAATCCTCTTATTACTCAACTGAACAGGAAACCTAAACTTTGACTCAGTGGATGCCTGGAGAACAAACGAGGTCAGGAAAGTGGGATGTAAGTGGAGTTTCCTTACAGGGAGTGCTCCTGGTCCAATGGGTCTTATTTCTAGTTGGCACTCTTTTTTTTTTTTTTTTTTTTTTTGAGACAGAGATTTGCTCTTGTCACCCAGGCTGGAGTGCAATAGCACGATCTCCGCTCACTGCAACCTCCACCTTCCGGGTTCAAGTGATTCTCCTGCCTCAGCCTCCTGAGTAGCTGGGATTACAGGCACATGCCACCACACCCAGCCAACTTTTGCATTTTTAGTAGAGATGGGGTTTTGCCATGTTGGCCAGGCTGGTCTCGAACTCCTGACCTCAGGTGATCCACCTGCCTCGGCCTCCCAAAGTGCTGGGATTACAGGCGTGAGCCACCATGCCCAGCCCTACTTGGCACTCTTTTGCTGCTGTGTTTTTTCATTCTTTTATTTTTTCTTTCCTTTATTTTTGCTTTTCTAATCAATAACTCACGGAGCACAAAGGGGAGCTCACACCGGCTCCTTGATTTGCTGTATACATCACTTGAAGTGTTACATTTTAGAACCTAATTTTTAAAAATCATTTACACTTCAGGGTAGAAAAATAGCAACATTACTAGAAGATTCAATTAAATTATCCCAGGTTAATGTGTTCACTGTCAGCAATGAATAACCACAAGTGTATAGCCAATGAATAGACTATAAAGCTCTATTTCTTTCGCAGATCTATAGTCTATTCTGTGGGCATATTAAAATATATTTTCTAATAAAAAAAAGAGACACGCTTTTGTTTACTCTTTTTCACAGCAAGTTACTACCTATCATTCCCAGGACAATGGTTTCCTTAAAACTACAATAGCTTTTATCTCTTCAAGCCCCAGAGGACACTGGGAAAATCTCTCACTTGGGTTAACTTTGCTGAATATATTTAACCAGTAAATTATTTGCCTTCCCAACTGGAAGAACCAATATACATTTATGTTCTAGAAATGGGTTGTTTTACTAACTTTATGAGTGAAGACCTCAATAGTAGCAAAGCCGAGGGACATTTAATTAAGTTATATTTGCTTTTTCATGATCTTTAGCTCTAGCTTATAAATCAAGAATCAATGAGTACTTAATTTCCTCTTATAGCATTAAAAGTAATTGCTTCATAAATTCACTTTAGTAATCCAAATATTTGCACACAGTACAGCACAAAGAGAAGTTGTTTCACTGATGAGATCCTAACTTTTATTTTATTAGTAGAAAATGGAGCTTGCTCATTTTATAGCTTATGATTTTCCTGGCTGCCTCAAATTCTTTTTTGAAGCAGACAGGACATAAATTTAAAATAAATACAATTATGACTTTGCCTGAGAAAAAAAAAGTCAGTCTACTTATTTAAAATATAAAAAGAAATCATATATTTCTACTAAGTAGAGTATAACCATAATGAGTACATTTTTCCCAAACAATTGTGTATGTTCAAAAGGCAACAAAAACATTTCCAAGCCTGATTTAACCTTTACTTTACCTGCATATTTTAATTGAGGGTGGGGAGGACAAAAAAAGTCTTCATAAAATTGTTGTCTGTCTTGCTGAGCAATTGACTATCTCTAAACTTGCTCTGCCCCAGAAGCTGAAAGCATTCTGTATTCTCTTAACTGCTCTGTTAACAATATTTCCCAAAATTTAGTTACAACATGAAGACCTACAAAACTCATCTGCAATGTCTGAGTCATTCAAGTCTCCATGAACAAGAGACCATTTGCCTGGTGGTACAGATGAGAACTAAAATGAGAAACGATCTGAGCCCAAGGTCATCTGGCAAGCCAAGGTCATCTGGAGCTGGCAGCTGAGGGGGCTGGGAAGGAACTCACGTCTTCAAAGGGCACACCCAGGGCCATGGCTGCCCTCAGCTACTGCAATTTATGGATTGTTTCATTGTACACATATTTTGTAGTACCTACTGTGTGTCAGATACACACAGTAGGTATTCTAGAAATAGAGTAAGCAAGAAAGCCATGGCTCCTGGTGATAGGGAGCTATATAGTCTAGTGACAACATGAATGAGCCTAGAAAACATTATCCTGAGTGAAACAAGCCAGTCACAAAAGACCACATATTGTATGATTCCATTATATGAAGTGTCCAGAACTGGCAAATCTATAGAGATAGGAAGTAGATTAGTGGTTGCCTAGGGCTGGGGAGGATGGCGGGATGCGGGAATTGCGGGGATGGGAGGGGAGGAGGAGGATAGATAAAGGATGCAGAGTTTCTTTCAGGGGTAAGGAAAATGTTCTAAAATTGATTGCGGTGGTCCATGCACAACTCTGCGAATATACTAAAATCATTAAATTTAAGTCACCGAACACTTTAAATGGGCGAATTGTAAGGTGTGTGAACTGTATCTCAATAAAGCTGTTTTTTAATAAAAATTGACACAGCACCTAGAGAAGCATGCCTCCCGACCGGGAGGTAGATGCTCACTGGCTTGGTCTCCAGCTGTCCCCCGCTTACAGGCCTCCTCTGCACACATTCCCCAAAGGCTAGGCCTGCCCTGGCACTGGGGACAGCCCAGGGGGCATCATGAAGCCACAAAATTGTTCCCCACCTCCTACCTGCCCGCCCTCTGCATTCCCGCTCTAACCTTGAAGAGCGTGTGGGGCGCCTCTGGGCGCGCATGCGCCGGTTACACAGGATGCACTCAGCCGTGTCTGCATTGTCAGGCGCTTCTTTACAATCAGCAGCAGCACGGGCCCTCAGAAGGGCGCCCCCACCCGGACAGCTGCTCTTTAGTTCTCTGGGATCCTGCTACCTTCTGACCCCAGCCCCAGGGCTCTTGGCTGAACGCAACTTACAGAAGCTCCTGGCGGTCTCCTGTGAGGCACACCCGGGGTCAAAGCATACCCTCGGCTGATCCATAGTTTAAATGACCTCATTCCAGAAAATTATCAGTAGAAACATCGGCACTACAATTTGTCTTGCCATTATGAGATTCACCTTTGACACCTCCCATCTTGGTGCATTCTGCCTGCAACCCTGGCTTCTGCGGTCCACCTGGTGATATTATCTTTGCAGGCCCCACTCAGGGCCGCGGCCTCCACACACTGATCAATATTCCCTTCTGTGTTCTCATACAGTCGAGGCACACTGATTTTGTGATATGGAGCCTGAGGCTCCAACTGGCCTACAGGCTTCCTAAATCCAGGGGTGCCCGCTTCATCTTCCCAGGGCCCCACACCCAAAGAGGCGCCATCCCACTGGGATTATTCAACTTGAATTGAGTTCAGTCATTTAACAAGCAGAGACTTGGATGGGGAGCATGTAGGCAGAGGCATCACAGTACTGCTTCCCAAAGCCTGAAAAGAAAAACAAGCGTGTTTCTTTAGTGATATCAAATGAGACAAAGGAAGGAAGGAACCGCCTGAGGTCACAGACAACCAACCGTCGGAGTGGAAGATTTCCATTGAAGCTCGATGGAATAATCAAGATTTATTTTTTAAATATTGTTATTAAATAAACATTACAGAAACTTTTGCATATCCAACTTATTTATAGCTTAAGGCATTAAAAAACCACATTAGTATGTTGAATTATAAGAATTCACTGCAGCCTGCTAACTGACAGCACATCAAATTATTTGCAAATATTTTCTGGAACAGTAACCTTGAAGGATGCCAGCCCCATTCACTGTAACCTTATCACAAGACAGGAACTGAGGCAGAGATGAGTTCCAAAGCAAAGGAAGCTTTCGTTCCCTGCAATCTCTGTGTTGGGTGTCTGAACAAGGAGTTTGTCCCCCTTCTCTCAGCCAAAAGCCTTGCTTGTATCTCTTGGGCATTTACATTTCTCTCTGCTACACTTTAAAAAGATGGTATGCAGAAGCATCCCTTGAGGGGAGAGCATAGTTCTGTGAAAATTACGTAATCATTTTAACAAAGAGTCTCTAATGGATATGAAAAGCAAAGTCAAAATAAAAATGAACTTCAGGGTGAGAAGTACAAAATCTTCGTTTCCCCCACAACCCCATGGTGCATCTTCTGTGTTGCCTGAGAGGGCAGCGCACTCAGGACCTCGTATATTTTTGGCCTTGTGGAAACCATGGTGGCAGATTCCTTGAGAGAGTGATTTTTCTTTAATATCCAATATCGTTGCCTTTCAAATGTGTTCATTTTTACCTAATATTCAACATTATCTTCAATACTTCAAATAAATTCCTTTCCATCAAGAAAATATATTTCTTTTGATGAAAAGCTATTATGACCCATTTAAACAATTGTGAAGTGGTTGGGTGGTTTAAAAACGATATCTAGATCATTTTGCAAGGTTGGCACAACATCTGACTTCTAAAATCAGCATTTGCCAAATATGTTAGCCATACTACAGTTGCTAAGCTAACGAGAAAACACTAATCACTTGGCATAAATGTGGCCATGTTAAAATTAAGCAAAATTGATTGCCTTCAACATAACCCTTTGTTTTTGCCTCCAAAAATCTGCTTTGCACATTTGGTACAGGTAAGAACACATTGCTTACCCTGACACCAACATCTTTCATGTCTTAAACAGCTTCTGTGCTTTTCTTTGTTCTCTCAACAATAAAAATGAGCCCATATTTTGCCACTCCTCTGTGAATCCAACACTTGTTTATTAAGCACCTACTATGTGCTCAGTGCTATAATATTAAATGTAACTCTGTACTCTATGGTGCCCAAGGACTACCGTTGTGTAAATTAAGTGCTGCTAGGAAGACTAGACTAGTGTAGTCTAGCTAGTGAATCCGGCACACTGCTGCTAGATAATAACACTTCCAAGTGACTTTACAACTTAAAATCAAAATGAATTGTTTCACTTAGCTTATCAATTCTCTTATATTCTCAACAACATATTTTTAAAAAGCAAATTTAACACAACTACTATGTGTATGACTCTGTGGTAAGCACAAAAGGAGGAGAAGACATAGATCTCTCCTCCAAAGGGGTATATAAGTGAGCTCAGCAGACAAAGCACCCAGTTTATAATGAGATAAATATGTTAAATTCATAGAGCTGCAAAAAATGTATCAAGAAAAGAGAGGAGGAACTACAACTTATTGACTATCTACTGTGGCCAGGATGTTTCACATATGATGAGTCTCAATCCAGGCATGTGTGTCCCAGGGGTATCCTATAGCACACAACCAACGGGCAAGTAAAAAAAACACATGCCACAGAAACTGTCTGAAACCATGCACCACTCAGAAGAGAATTTTGAACATATGTGTCTCTGTAAACTTGAAAGATTAACACATATATTTTCTTTTCAATTGAAACCTGTTAATTAAATGTACATGTATGTACCTGGGCCCACTCCTGACCTACTACATCAGAATCTCTCATGTTTGCCAATAAGAAACATTAGCATATATTGATTATGCTAGTTATATTAACTGATTTAATCCTTAACCATTGAAGAAACTAAGGCTCAGAGACCTCAAGGCATTTGCTCAATGCAACAAAGTTAGCAAGTGGCAGAGAGGAATTGGACATAGGGTCTTTCTGAGTCTATTGAGATGATCAGGTGGGTTTTGTCCTTTATTCCATTCATGTGGTATATGACATTGATTTCCATGTTGATCCAACCTTGTGCCCTTAGGATAAATCCCACTAGGTCATGGCATATTATCCTTTTCATATGTTGCTGGATTTGGTTTACTAGTATTTTGTTGAGGGTTTTTGTCTCTATATTCATAAGGAATGTTGGTCTGTAGTTTTTTCTTGTAATATCTTTATCTGGTTACAGATATCTGAGTAACGCTGGCCTCTTAAATGAGTTAGAAAGTGATCCCTCCTCTTCTATGCTTGACTAAGTGAAGGACTGGTGTTCATTCTTCTTCAAGGTTTGGTAGAATTTAGCAGTGAAGTCATTTGGTCCTGGGCATTTATTTGTGGGAAGTTTGTTGATTACTAATTTAATCTCTTTACTCCTATTTAGATTTCCTATTTCTCCTTAAGTCAGTGTAGGTGCTTTTGGTATTTTTGATCTTTATAGGAATTTGTTCATCTCATCTAGGTTTTCTAATTTGTTGGTA